>NC_000023.11:15167791-15470821 GCF_000001405.40 Homo sapiens
ATTGCCTGTAAGGTCTTCTGTGATTAGACTGAACCCATCTGAGTAATCTAGTTTCCTCTCCATGTTTTACGGTCCAGTATCCAAAATTACATTGACAAAGTCCCTTCAGGTTAATACCTAGATTAGTGTTTGATTGAATAATCAGGGGATGGGAATCTTAGGAGGCCATCTTTGGAATTCTGCCAACCATATTTCGGGACTTGTGTATCTAAAGCAGATGGCAGCCCCAGGGCCCAGGAAGCAGGTTGTGTCTGATACATTTGAGCTTGCTAAATTTGGCCACTGCTTCTCAGAGGCTGCCACCTCTGAAATAAGGCACTATGAAAAACCAACAAAATTGCACAGCATTCTTTACACTCAGCCCCCATCTCCTTGAGATGTACCACTCTACAGTGTAAATATCGCTGATAGTTCTTTATGGGCAGGGTTTCCCAAATGTTCCTAATGATAGCATGCAACTGTTTCCCAGGGCTCTCCTCTAGATCCTTATTCAGTGTATCTGGGATGGAGCCCCCAAAATTCATATTTTTTGAAGGACCTCCATGTCACCTTGTCCTAAGGGAAGATGGTGATACACTGTCATAAGACTAAAGCCCTTTCCTGACACGAGGCTCTTGCATTTACTATTCCCTCTGTCTGGGTTACAACTGCCCTTGCACTTTGCAGGTCCAACTCCTTCTCATCCTTCATGTCTCAGTTTTTGTGTTCTCTTCTCAAAATGATGTTCCCTGACCACCTTATCTACTTGAGATTGTTCTGTTCCTAATTATATTTCAGCCCCCAACCACTTTCATTTCCTGAACAATGCTGATCATAATCTGTACATATTTTGTTAAAGCATTTACTTGTTTCTTATCTATCTCCTAAACTAGCAGGCAATATTGACCAAGGCAAGGATCCTTTTATATTAGGCTCAACAAGTGTTCATTGGATGAATAAGTGAATGGAAAAATTGCAGAAAACTTATGAGCATGACACCACACTCCAATAAAAGCTAAAGTCCGCCAGGGCAAAAACATTCCCTAGGAACTCATCTATTGATTTCTCCATTTTCCTGATGAAAATATGTGAAAAAATAAAATATTTTTGTCCAGTTTGAATAAATAAACTTTTTGGAGGTGGATGCAACAGCAAGTCAACTGAGAGAAGATTTGTGTAGTGCTAGTATTTCAAATATTAAGGAAAACAGAAACCAATTTGTTTCATGAGCACTTATTGCTATCTACCCATATGATAGTCCTCTGCTAAAATCTGTACTCAAATGTATATACACTGTCACCTAAACGTTAGTGAATAACCTAAACTTTAGGTTAAAAAACTACTTCAAGTGCTTCTCTCTTGGTTACTGTAAGTGCTGGGTCTAAGTCCTACCCTTTTAGGAGCAAAAGCTTCCATGAAGCAAATTTTGCTTCAGGATTTATTTATGTGTGAGTAAGCAAGGGGAGTACCTCTCCCTTCCTTCACCAGCCCTTAGATCTTTGCTCCATCTTTCTTTGCCTTTCTCTGTGCCCTAGGAGGCTGACCTCTATGGGCTTCATCAATTAACCCCCTATACCTCTGGCTTCTGGTTGCATTCAAGTAACGGAAGGTATACCTGGAGAGCAATCAGAGCACAGGAAACTTTTTAAAAGATCAAAGTAATTATTCCCCTGGCTGTCTCCCAGTTCCATACTATTCTTCTGTGATCACACTTCTTGTCAGTGGCCCCTCTTCTATGGTTGCAGCTATCACTGTGCCTGGTAGCTCTGTTCCCTCCCTTGTCTCATCACGGCTAAGGGTGCTAACATCTTCCTGATGTTGTTACACTCTGGTGCCCCAACATCCTTTAATGGTTCCATTAAGTCTACCCATACTTCTAAATAATTCCTTCAGTAAAAATATCTCTTCAAAACTCCGGGCTCAGTGTACTGTTTTCTGCTTGACTTCTGACCTATATGCTCATTTTCCTTGGCCCAATTTCCCATTTCACTTGTGTGGTTACAAGACCAGAGAAGCTAAGAGGGCATTTCTAGGCTATTGTCTTCTTCTGCCTACTATTTACAACCATCCAGGATGCTAGGCAAATGTCTTCCACCAGTCTTTTTTCTGTCTCCATATTTCTGATATTTTTTTAAAAACCGAGAAAGACAGAATAAAAATTGTTCACAACGGGACAAGGATTTTCTTTTCGGCTTAATAGAAATTAGAGCTTAGAGTTTAAAGCTAATTTAAATTTCTTTAAATGAGGAAGTTTACCTTGACTATTTATATTTGCAAGCTTAATTGTTCAGCTTTGGAGCATTTTCAATAATTTTTGAATGATAATAAATTATTTGAGTGGCCTCTTTTATTTATAAAGTGCTTCATTTGGCTGTATTTCAAAAAATGCAACTTGGCAAATGATACTTGTTATATAAATGGTTCAGAAAAGAAAGAAATAAAGAGCTGATAAGGTATCCATTTTCGAATCACTGTAAATGGGTCTTAGCACTTGAACAACGTTCATCAAATGAGTATTTACCATTGTGCCTAATTGCAAAGAGGCTACTTTCTACAATTGGGTTGTAACATACCCTATGCCTATTAATGCAACTGAAATTTTATACAGATAAATGAGGTATTATGTGGAAAATTCTTTGGATCTTAGGTGAAAAGGAGATACCAGTAAGGTGAAAACACTGGACCTGGATCTATCCTTAGCTATGACACATTCTAGAAATAAAATTTTCAACAAGCTACTTTGCCAATTCATGCTTCAGGTTTTAGTAATAAAAAATTCTTGCTTCATAAATAATAAGTTAGTTTGTGTTTCCTCCAAAGCAGAGCCTGAGACAGGGACTAGAGTGCAGGTGATTTATTTGAGAGGTAGTCCCAGAAAGTAGAAATAAGAAAGCAGGGTAAATGAGTCAGGGAAGCAGAAAAATATAATTAAAAACTGCATGAATAAACTTGTTACCACCGTGGGTAACTTGAACTCAAACTTATTGGGAACTCTCTGAGCATCCATGTAGAATGTTTCTCAGAATTGTTCCTCTGAAAGAGGGGGGACAATGGCTAGAGCACTTATCCAGAGACTCTCCACTTGAAGGTTTCCACCACTGGATGTTAACTCCTAGCACCTCCAACTGTGCTTGTCCAGAGGTTAAGAGGGCCTCTAGGGCCCTAGGGCAGAAAAGAAAAGCAATGCTCTCTGTCCTTGAGGTTGAATACATTTATGGTGCAGGGAACTGTCCACCGCAGAGATGCTAAAACCAGAGAGAGGTGATAAGGGGGAAAAATGCGTCTGTTGCAGGAAATATGCTTTAATTACTTTCTGTTCAGGGCTTAAACTAAGGAAGTTGTGGTGGGGAAGGGGAGGGAGGAAAGTTTCAAAAAGGATTTGTGGTAGAAATACCAAAGTTCATGACTAATCAAATGGAAAAGTCTGGAATGAACTTGATACTTCTAGCATGGAAGGCTGGATAGATAATTGAGTTAATCACTGAGGTAGTAAATATGGTGCCAGGACAGTTTTGTTGAAGGAAAACAAAGAGATCACTGTTAGACACAACTTGGTTCAGAATAAAAACTTTGTTCACTTTCTAGTCTCCCTGATGTTCAGAGAGCCAATTCTCTTCCATCACAATGTTATTCCAGAATTCTCTAATTCCTTGTGGTAACAGGATTCTCAACTTAGGCCAGTAAATGGGCAGCCAGTTGAGCTACCTTTCCACAGCAGAGCAGGTTGTAAAATGAACCAATGAAGATTTTTCATAGTGGGTGATATTGGGCTTGGGAGTATTTAGTCCTCTTCGTGTCTGATGTGGCCTTCACATGGAGGGATAACAATGTAGTCCTCCTGGCCTCTCCATATGAGAATGACTTACCTGTTTGGTATGAGATAACAAAATGAGCTTGCATAATCCTTCTCCGTTCTCCTCTTCCTAGCCTGCCTGCAGAGGGTATAGGTTTTTTATTTCTCTTGTCTATTCCCTTGTATCAGAGACCTATGGTTTTCAGGAATGCGATGAATTGGTACATTAAGTCTGATTTATTGTAGAGATATGCGTTAAGAAGTCCACGTGTCCACAAATATAAGCCACATTCTCCAATATCCTAAATATTGGTTTTCCCTGTGGCTCTAAATCCCAAGTGGCAAAGAGGGATGCTATTAGGGCTTCTTGAACCTCCACAAATGAAGGCTATTCAACTAGAAAGAACCACCAGAATCTTACCCATAAACTGCAGCTCACTCCAGAAAGGTACTGGTGATAAACAGAGAGACTTAATAATTGCTTAGGAATAGGGTGAGTTTTTAAAATGAGACCAATAAAAGAGGGTGCATTTCCAAGAATTTAACAAAGACGTAGCCAGAAATCTAGACACTGACCCCAGGTGACCAGACATACAATTGTTTATGTAATTAGAGTACACAGGAGGAATACACTGGAATATTGGAAACATGAGGGGATAGAAAAAAAGACTGCTGTTTGGAACAGAATGTCTTTATAGGACATCTATTTCACTGAAAGGGACAGCGTTTTCTGGCTATTTCTCTTTCAGGGTCAGACAGCCAATTTTCCCTGTTACCAAGCATTTTGGCAAAATTATTATTTCTTTGTGCTTGAAAGGGCCTTAGAAAATTAATCCAGCTCCCTCATTTTTCTGTCCCCTCTAAACATAGGTACACAGAGCTTTTCATAAAGGGCCGGGTATTAAATATTCTGGGCGCCACAGGGTCTTCGTCACAACTCAGCTCTGCCATTGCAGCAGTGAAAACGCCATGAACAATACATAAGCAAATGGCCATGGCTGTGTGCCAAGAAAACTCAATTTGCAAAAATATGCAATGGGCCATATTTGACCTGCAGGCTGTAGTTTGCCAACATGTGTTCTATACCAGTGTTACTTAAAATATGGCCTGAGTACCAGTGCCCATTCAAAACAAATGTTTATTGTAAGTCCACAATGAGATAGGTACAGAAGTTGACAGTAAACATGTAGAAACTTGCATCACAATTTGACATTACTGATATCTAAACACATAATTTTAAGTAATATTTTCTTATTATATTTACCAAAAGTATCAGTTGTTGATGAATTGGAAATAAAACACCTGGTCCTTCACCCATACAGTTTGAGAAGCAAAACTAAATTCCATTCTCATCCTCATTTTCCAGACGGGGAAGGAGATTCAGAGAACAGAGCTGTTCAGTGTCATCCAGTCAGTTAGAGGCAGAGCCAGAATTTGAACCCAGGTTTTCCAATTCCAAGTTCAGTGATGTTCCATCATAAGGTACAAATGTCATAGGCTATGTTAATGACTTCATGCCTTATAACCTTCCTGCGTGGCTGCAGCTATAGCCTTGAGCCCTTAAGTGTGCTCAGAAAGTTAGATGATCATATACCAAGTGATTTTCTGTCAAGGTGAAGAATAGAACCCTTCAGCTTCTGAACTCCTAACCCTGTGTCTGGTGTTATCTGGGCCCAGATTGTTGCTCCAGGCCAGTCTGCCCTTTCCCAATTATGTATTTACGATTCTGCAACTTTCAGGCTAAATAGATATGAGAAAGTACAAAGAAAAATTAATTTCAGTATCCCTTTTCATTTCCTCCCATGCAAAATTGCTGCATTATGAGGTGAGCCCTATAGCTCTCAATGAAATAAAAAGCACATTCTCCCAAATATTCTGCCTTTCCTTCTATTCCCTACCATCTGCCCAAAAGATTTGTAACCCTCACTTACATAGAAAAAAAAAGATCTACTTATATACCCAAAGACAGTTCAGCTAGCTATTCAAAATGCAGTGAGTAATGTGGGACAAATGCAATGTCAGTGGAAGATAGAGCAGCTGACATCATTTGTAGAGGGCTCTTAAAAACCTACAAGTCTAAACGATGCCAAAAATTCATCAAACGTCTCCACAAGATTAGCATAAAAAATGGTTACTTAAAAATGAATGAAAAGTATTGATTCAGAAATGAAAAAGAAGATTCCGGATAACGTAATTCAGTCTGTGAGATAAAATGGCCACACCGTGGTAGGTCAAGGATCAGTTTTAGACACAACTGCTTGAATTTTATTTAGGGGACATTTTAATGCTTAGCAGTCTCAATTTCAGATTCCACTGATTTGGCACCATTGGTAAATTATTTAGGATTTTGGCCAAAGTTTGCCTGCTCTGGATAAATGCTGCATAGATTTGAGACAATTACTATTGGACATTTATTGTGGATTTGATTCATACTAACAGACATTTCTAATTCTACATCATTTTTCTCTTTTCCTTAAATAGAGCCCAAAAGAGTCTTTGCTAGATGAAATGACAAGCTACTTTATTTTGTTTCTGAATATCTGCATGAAACAAAAGGCACTTAATTTTAAAATGTCTTATAATTCAGATGCTCCATAATTCTGATGGGCCTTTTCTTTTAATTAATCTAGTGCTGACTAGGATTTTCAGAATCACTTCATTGTTGATATGTCTAGGGCAATGAAGACATTCAGGTTTACATGTATTCAAAAATGTTCACCAAGAGGAAATGAAAAAAAAGTGCAACTGCTATGGAAAACAGTATGGTAGTTCCTAAAAAAAAAAATAGGATTATGGTATAACCCAGCAATCCCACTTCTGGGGAGATATCCAAACTAATTGAAAACAGAACTCAAAGAAATATTTTCATATTCATATTTATTGCGGTATTACAAAAACCAAGAGGGTGGAAGCAACCCAAATGTCCATCAATGGATGAATGGAAAAAGAAATCATGGTGTATACTTACAATGGAATATTGTTCAGCCTCAAAAAAGAAGAAAATTCCTTCACATGCTACTTCATGGATGAACTTTGAAGACATTATGCTAAGTGACATAAGTCAGTCACAAAAAGACAAATACTGTTTGGTTCCACTTATATAAGATATGGAATATAGTCAAACTCATAGAAACAGAAAATAGAGTGGTGGTTTTCTGGGACTGGGAAGAAAGGGAAAGGGGTAGTTGTTGTTCAATGGGAATAATTTCAATTTTCCAAGATGAAAAAGTTCTAGAGATCTATCACACACCAATGTGAATATACTTAACACTACTGAACTGTACACTTAAAAATAATTAAGATGATACATTTTGTGTTTTCTACCACAATTTAAAAAATAAATTAATTTTAGAAAATACTCACCAAGCCTCTACATATCCCATCATGGAGGCTTAGGAGGTAGTGCTGTAGTGGGAAAACAACCTAGACTGTGGCATTAATAGACCAAGGTTCAAATCCAGCCCTGTCATTGTGTCAGGCAAGGTAAAGTACTTTTCTAAGCTTCAACTCCCTCATCTATGATATATTTATCTTATAAGACCATTGATCAGATTAGAAGTAAACATGAATATAAGGCTTCTAGCATGCTCAAAAACTGATGGCTACAATGATGATAGTGAGGATGGTGAACATGATGATGATGATGATGATGATGGTGACAACTTGTTGCAAGTTGCTACAGGAGAAATAAAAATCAAAAATAATTCTCAGCCTTAAAGGCCTTTTAGTGTTTGGGTTTTTTTTCTATTTGTTTCTATCTAGCAGATAGGGAAAACCCCCCAGGATTTTTTTTTTTTTTAGGATGCTGTGGGGAGCCAATGACAAACTTATTCCTTTGTTTCATAATGGAGTAATTTTCAATGACGAGCCCACAACCTTCTATTCCAAACTCTTTATTTCCCGGGAGCAAAATAACCTTCTCAAATCATGACCTGAGCCTAGTTGCCACGAGTTTTGAAGACACTGCCTATGAACGAGACAGTCTGTGTTTAAAAGCCAGGAGTAAACCACTCCACAAAACACTTTGCCCATTCTTTCCTTGGATAAATTCATTTCTGCTCATATACGTTAGTTGTCATGCAGCCTGTGTGATTTATAGTTTATAGTCACAGATTATGCCATGCATTATAGTTACTCTAGCATTTGTCTGCCCTATGGATTATTTTTAGGGCCTTCCTTTTGAAATTTTTATCTTAAGAAAAGCCTGTCATGGATCATCATGGTTTTGGCTGCAGAGAATTTTTAATAAAGTATACTGGGTTACCTTATGAGTAAGAAGAAAACTAAAAGGGCCAGATAGCTAAAGAGTGGTGGGTTTTTGTTTTGTTTTGCCTTAGGTGATCAATAAAAACAAATAAAGTTCTTAAACAAGTTTCAGATTTTGATTATCTAGGCCAGGGGCTGGCAAATTGTTTCTGTAAAGCCAAATAGTAAATATTTCAGGCTTTGCTGGCCACACTGTTTCTGTTCAGCTCCACTACTGGAGCACAAAAGCAGCCATAGACAATATATAAATAAATTAGTGTGACTATATTTATGGATACTGAAATGTGTTCCAATAAAGTTGTACTTATGGATACGAAAATGTGAATTTCATATAATTTTCCATTGTCATTAAATATTTTTCTTTGGATTTTTTCCAACCATCTATAAATACAAAAAATCATTGCTAGCTTGTAGGCTGCACAAACATAGGCCGCAGACCAAATTTGACATTCATGCTAGAGTTTGCTGAGCCCTAATCTAGGTAAATTGTTCTTTGGAATATTGTCAGTACCAAGAAGTGTCCTAAACACCCACAAAATAAAGTCCAAACATCACAAATAGCATGCCAAGGCTTTCATTATCTGAACTGAATCTTTTCTCCCATTACCATGCTCCAATCATCCTCTATCCAGGTGTATCCAGTTTTTCATCATTCCCAGGACTGTCATATCACCATGCATTTTCCTCTCTTTTCCTCTACCATTTCTACATGGTAAAAACCAACTCATGTCTTAAGGTACAGCTCCACTGCTAAGTTCTTCATGAAAAAAGTTCCTTTATGCACTCCTTCCCCTCATTGGAACTAATTTTTAATGTCTTTCTGGTTCGCAGCCCTTTATGTATATCTCACCTGTGAGATGTATATTGTCATGTATCCTTATGATATTTTAAAATCTATTTTCTAATTAGGTGGTCATCTCCTTGAGGAGAGAAGATGTGTCTCATTAATAGCTGTGTATTCTTCAAAAGTCAATTCTCAACTCAATGCCTTGTACGTAAGAAGTGTTCAATAAATATTTGTTAATGAGTATATTTATTAATGTACGCAGACATATAATCAGAAATATGTTCACTAACCCAAATCTACCCTCATTCCCCTTGAGCCCTTGTGGGAAGTGGATGAGGAAGAGCTTTCCTCCGAAAAGGAGACAATTCCTGAAGAGCTACCAAACATTTTGAACTACTTGCAATCTGAGCCCTTATTCATGCTGGCGGCAAGTGGGCACAGCTTTTATGACTCCTAAGATGAGAGTCATATCACAAGGGAGCACTTCAGATAATCTTAGCAAGGCTACAGCTTTAAGCAAGCTTAGAAATTACCTAATTCCAGTAGTCCTTGTAAAATTAGAAGGTAGAGTTCAGAGAAATTACAGAACCTGCTGAAACCCCCATAGAGTCAAGACTGGGGCACAGAAGCTCTGAGCCAGAGCTGGTTCAACTACACTTTGTTGAATATATATTTGCATTCCTTTGGAGTGAATACTTAGAAGTAGAATTTCTGGGTCCAAAGTAGGTGCGTGTTTAACTTTATAAGAAAAGTATACTGTTTTCCCAAATGGTTGTACCGTTTCACATTTCTACCAGTAAGAGAAAATTGATTCATTTCTTCCACATCTTTATCAACAGCTATTCTGATGAATCTGTGGAGTATTTCATTGTGCTTTTAATTTGCATTTTCCTGATGACTAACGATGAAAATATTTTTATGGGCTTATTGACCACTCATATAGCATCCTCAAGGAAGTGTCTGTTCCAGTCTTTTGCCTAGTTTTTACTGAGCTTTGTCTCTTTTTTATTGAGCTACAGGAGTTCTGGAGATTGTCACACTTTAAAAGGAGTTTGCAAGTAGTTTTTAGAATATTTGACCAGAATAAATGTATTTTGCTGCACAGTATTTCATTACTGCCTTATCCGTATAAACAATTTATACTCCTCATTATATTTCTAAGTAGTGACACAATGTATATTTTTTCATTCAGTAAACTGACACGTACTTTCAACTTGCAGCTGAAACACTTTGTTTCTGCCACAGATTGCCACAAAAGCCACAATATTCCAATCTAATATATACAAATAGATGTGGAGTATATTGAATTTCTCATACTGTCATCAGCCCTGTTGACCAAAAGCTATTTGTTTCACAAAGCCCTTCCTGGGTAGATGGGCCAATGTTGATGTTCACGGATTTTGCTGTTCTAAATTAAATGAACCAACCAACAAGCCTTTATTGAGTGCTCTAAGTCATCTCTGTAAGGTAGTTCACGCACTACATATTAAATTCCAGTTCACAAATCCAATTCCTCTTTTTTTGCCCTAAGTTTTATTTGCTTTCTTTTGAAAGCCTGTATTGAGTCTTTTCATCATTTTTAGCAGCCAGATATCCAATGGGGAAAACAAATTATTTCACTGAAACTTTACGTCATCATAATTCCAGTACAAGTAACAATAATAATAACACTAATAAAACCTAAACTTTTCATAATAATTGATAGTATGCACATACAATTCAATTATACCTGATGACTACTACATAGAATAGAAATTACCTTTCTGTTACACTGATAAGGAACTAGTTTAAAGAAGTAAAGAAACTCATTTGAAGTCATTTAGTTGTTGACCAGTAAGGAGAAAATCTGAACTCTTGTCTCATAAAAAGGCTCACTGACCTTTCCACATTGTAAGGAATGTTTTCCAAAGATGAAGAGTCTGTTCCAAAATTAGACATGATATAGCAAATGTAATTCCTGCTAAATGCTGCTAAATATCAGATAACCTAAAAATTTAGTTCCTTTTTCAGCCCATATAAAAATATTTTATTCACAAATTCTAATTATTTAAAAAGATAACTCAAAGAATCAGAACAGCACAAAGAAGAAATCAATAATAAGTTGAAGCCACATCACAGTTAAGGTGTTTGAAAACTTTGAACATCTTTTCAAATTGCTGCCCTCCTCAATTTCCCCTTCATTTTCCTTCTCATGGTCTACACGCACACACTCACATGCACATGCACACACACACACACACACACACACACGAAATTGTTGGGATCATATTCCTATATATCTTTATTGCCAAGTGCCCTGCACCAGCCATATCAGAGATTCAGGACCATACCTCACACATGCTGGGAAGTACTATTCCACTCCAACATCCCCATTACATGGCCAACCTGCTGCCTCCACACTCACTAAGTAGTATTGTGAACTGGATCATGGCTCTTCAGGGCAATGCTATCCTTGCCAGGTGACTGCTACTTCCTTCCCACCCTGAACTTTTCAGAAGGGAACACTAATATCCTATCACCCTGCTTATCCCAAGTAAAGTATATACTGTCTTCCATATCTCATGTCAGTATAACAAAAACCAGGCTATGCCTTTTATGAGACTTTGTTGTAAAGCTGGCGATAATAGAAAAAAGTGAAAAACAGAATAGTTTGATAGCAGTGCCCAAATAAAGACCCATCTTTAGGGTCCCTGAGGAGGTGAGTTTTCAGCTTTGCTCCCAGCCAGCCTTTACAGGGAAGCTTATCTCCTACCACTAGAAGCTCAGGGGCTTCTTCATGTATCACCCCGATCCTAGGTTTCAGATAGAGAAGAATTCTTTACTCCACTATAATGGCAACCCAATCAATCCTCATTTCATACACCAAATTAACCTCTTTTCTGTTTGATCAAGAGGGAGAATGACATATTTTCTAGGTGCAAACACTTACTCAACTGCAAAGATATGATCCAATCTTATGACCTCAACATAGGTAAGATGACATCTATTAATGGAAAACTTTATTAGGTATTGAACGTGAGAATATGATTGCATCTACTGATTGACCTAGGGCTCATTAGACTTTTAAGCAACCAATCCCAAACCTGTTTGAAGCCAGCTTCCTGACATCAGTACCAACCAGAGAACTATACTCATGACTTGCCTTATTTGGTGAACTTCCTATTTTTTGCCCTGTGTCTCACCTTTTAAATTTCTGCTCAGGGAGATGTGCTGAACTCACACATGAGTGACATAGCTCTCCTTTTATAGGCAAACAACAAATTCAGTTACAGAGCTACTTTGATTTTTTTTTAATCATTTATCACCTAAGTTCAATTCCCAGAGTTCCCATTATTCAGTCTTAAGTAAAACCTTGTAGAAGAACAACAAAATTCAGCAGAGCTCACTTCTGGCTTGCTTCACCAGTCTTCTCAGCTGAGTTCCTTCTTGTGCTTTTGTACTTGGGATTAAAAATTACACACACACACACACACACACACACACACAGAGAGAGAGAGAGATGCTCCTCAACTTACAATGGGGTTACACTCCCAATAAATCCATTGTAAGTTGAAAATATTATAAATCAAAAATGCATTTAAGACAACCTGATGAACATCATAGCTTAGAATAGCCTGCCTTAAACGTGCCCAGAACACTCACATTAGCTTCCAATTGAGCAAAGTTATCTAACACAAAGCCTATTTTATAACAAAGTGTTAAATAGTTCATGTAATTTATTGAATACTGTACTAAAAGACAAAAATGGAATGGTTGTATGGCCACTTGAGGTGAATTTTCTACAGAATACATATCACTTTTGTACAATCATAAAGTCAAAATATCATAAGTTGAAGCATCATATGTCAGGGACCATCTATATACACATACATACACACACAGACACATGGCTAAATATATGTTATATGTTAAATATAAAAATATGTTCTTTACTTAAATGGAATCATACTAAAATACTGATTTTTTCGCTCAATAATATGAATATCTTTCCATAACAATAGCTATAGATCTCCACTATCCTTTCTAAAGTCTAAATAATTCTCTATTGCATTTATCTGCCATAATATCTTTAACCAGTTCTGACTGATGAACATCAAGGCTGTATATATCAGGCTGCCTTTGGCCAGAAGTGACAAAACCAAATTCCAATTAATTTATGCACAAAGGAGAATTTGTTGGGCAATATAATTGAAAATTTTGTTGATAGATCAGGAGTGACTGGATCCTCAGACTAAACTGTCAACAAGGATTGATTTCTACCCATCTCTCACTTCTACTCATCTCCACTTCTAATTTTCTGAATTTATTATCTCTCTATGTTGCTGGAGAAGCAGTGCCAATATATTGAATCTTAGGAAGATTATGATTGGCTTACATTGGGTTATATGCTGGCCTATAAAGTAATCACTGTGGTCAGAATAGATTACTTTGACTGATTACTGTGAGTCTTCTCACGGATGTGGGAGAAAAGGCTGGAGAGCGATGATAGACAGTCTTTCTAGAATCTTATGGCATGAGAGAAGGGATTTCCTCAAGGTAAGATCAGAGTGTATTTATCAGAGGAAGATAAAATAAATATACCAAAAGCTGTTGAGGAAATCAGTAGAAAACTATAGCTAAATCTCTTCAAATACTGATATGAGAATGTTAAATAAAATATCTTCAAAAAATCCACCAGCATGTGAAGAAATAAGACACTTTAACCAGTTTCATTCAGTTAAAAAATTGAAGTTTTTTAAATGTTTGGTATTAACAATTATAAGTTATAACTACCATGTTGACACATGGAAGAAGAAAAAGACTTATCATTAGGACCAGAAAGAAGAATGAGAAAAGGGTACTGGCCTCCCACCTACCTAAGTTAGTTCCCTTTTGAAAAACTTTCCTGGGAACCTAACCCAATAATTACTGCTTACCTCTCATTGAGGCTCCTTCATCCTCAAGGGATGCTGAAAAATACAGTTTATTTAAAAGTCTGGGCACACTGATGCTCCCAACAATAAAGGGATCTGTTACTGAGAAAGACAGGAAAAATGGGCAAGGAGAAGTGGCTGCTAAACTCTAAATAGACTTAATTTATTTGTATGTGCTCAACCTATCAGAGACAGAGAGATGTATGATACATTCTACCACTATTATTCTATTTCTTGCAAAACTTTAAAAAAATACTTCTTGATGTTGTGTTAACTGTGATATAGTGGCTTCTAATTCTTTTTTTTTTTTTTTTTTTTTTTTTAGACGGAGTCTCACTCTGTTGCCAGGCTGGAGTGCAGTGGAGTGATCTCACTTCACTGCAACCTCTGCCTCCCGGGTTCAAGCGATTCTCCTGCCTCGGCCTCCTGAGTAGCTGGGACTACAGGTGCCTGCCACCACGACTGGCTAACTTTTGTATTTTTAGTAGAGACGGGGTTTCACCATGTTGGCCAGAATGGTCTTGATCTCTTTTTTTTTTTTTTTTTTTTTTTTGAGACGGAGTCTCGCTTTGTCACCCAGCCTGGAGTGCACTGGCACGATCTCGGCTCACTGCAAGCTCTGCCTCCCGGGTTCATGCCATTCTCCTGCCTCAGCCTCCCGAGTAGCTGGGACTACAGGCGCCCGCCACCACGCTCGGCTAATTTTTTTTTTTGTATTTTTAGTAGAGACGGGGTTTCACCATGTTAGCCAGGATGGTCTCGATCTCCTGACCTAGTGATCCACCCACCTCGGCCTCCCAAAGTGCTGGGATTATAGGCGTGAGCCACCGCGCCCTGCCCGGCTTCTGATATTTATATCTTTGCTGTGTATTTCACACTTTATTGTTTTAAAGTGATCCTTTTGTCTTAGTCAATGATTTTAAATTTCTAATTAAGCCCTTGTTTGATTTTAATTTGCATTTGCTTAATATATTTCCCATATTTTTTTATTTTTAATCATTCTGATTCCTTTTGTGTAAATTTTCTCTTATATTCCACATATATTTGTATTCATTATACCTTTTTCTTGTACACAGCATACTTCTTGTTTTTAAATACTCAGTTCTATCTTTTAATAAATAAATTTATTATTTTAAATTTAATAATAAAGTTAATATATTGGATTATGAATAACCTTTCATGATGTTTATTTTTAAGTGCTTCCTTGACATTTCTTTATTTTTTTAATGTTTATTTCAATAGCTTTGGGTACAAGTGTTTTTCTGCTACATGGATGAATTATATAGTGGTGAATTCTGAGATTTTAGTGCACCCGTCACCCAAGTAGCGTACATGGTACCTAATATATAGTTTTTTTATCCCTAGTCCCCCTTTCCGAGCCTCCAGTGTCCATTACATTACTCTGTATGCCTTTGTGGACTCATAGCTTAGCTCCCACTTACAAGTGAAACATACGGTTTTTGGTTTTCCACTCCTGTATTACTTCACTTAGAAGAATGGCCTCCAGCTTCATCCAGGTTGCTGCAAAAAAACATCATTTAGTTTCTTTTTATGGCTGAGTAGTATTTCATGGTGTATATATACCACATTTTCTCTATCTACTCATTAGTTGATGGGCACTGAGCATCTTTGCAATATGGAAATTGTCCTGCTATAAACATACATGTGCAAGTGTCTTTTTCATATAATGACTCCTTTTCCTTTGGGTAGATACCCAGGAGTGGAATAGCTGGATTGAATGGTAGATCTACTTTTTAATTCTTTAAGGAATCTCCATACTCCAATCTTTCCATAGAGATTGCATTAATTTATATTCCCACTGGCAGTATATAAGCATTCCCTTTTCCCCACATCTATGCCAACATCTATTGTTTTTTGACTTTTCATTAGTGGTTATTCTTGCAGGAGTAAGGTGGTATCTCACTGTGGTTTTAATTATTTAAATGCTCAACACAATGAGCAATTGAACAAACGTTCATTGTGTTGAGCATCTTTTCATGTGTTTGTTAACCATTTGTATATCTTCTTTTGAGAAATGTTTATTCATGTTCTTTGCCCCCTTTTTGATGAGATTATTTGTTTTTGTTTTTGTTTTTTCCTTGCTGATTTGTTTAAGTTCCTTGTAGATTCTGGAAACTACAGTACAGTCCTTTGCTAGATGCATAGTTTGCAAATATTTTCTCCCATTCTGTGGGTTATCTGTTTACTTTTATTATTCTTTTGCTGTGCAGAAGCTTTTTAGTTTAATTAGGTTCCATTCATTTATTTTTTGTTTCTGTTGCATTTGCTTTTGGGGTCTTAGTCATAAAGCCTTTGCCTAGGTCGATGTCTAGAAGAGTTTTTCCAACATTGTCTTCTAGACATTTTATGGTTTCAGGTCTTATATTTAAGTCTTTGATCCACCCTGAGTTGATTTTTTTATTAGGTTGGTGCAAAAGTAATTGTGGTTTTTGCCATTTGAAAGTAATACATAGTGAGAGATATGAATCCAGTTTCATTCTTCTATATGTGGCTTGTCAGTTTTCCCAGCACCATTTATTAAATAGGATGTACATTCCCCAGTGTATGTTTTTGTATGCTTTGTCAAAGATCAGTTGGCTGTACATATTTGACTTTATTTCTGGGTTCTCTATTCCTTTCCATTTTCACAGTATTGATTCTACCCATCCATGAGCACTGGATGTGTTTACGTTTGTTTGTGTCGTTTATGATTTCTTTCAGTAGTGTTTTGTGTTTTCCTTGTAGAGGTCTTTCAACTCCTTTGTTAGGTATATTCCTAAGTATTTTAATATTTTTGCAGCTATTGTTATGTTGATATTTTGATGAGAATTGCATTGAATCTGTAGATTGCTTTGGGCAGTATGGTCATTTTCTCAATATTGATTCTTCCAACCAAGGAGCATGGGATGTGTTTCCATTTGTTTGTGTCATCTGTTATTTCTTTCAGCAGTGTTTTATAGCTCCCCTTGTAGAGATCTTTTACCTCCTTGGCTAAGTATATTCCTAGGTATTTCATTTTTTTTTTTTTTTTGCAGCTGTTGTAAAGGGGATTGAGTTCTTGGTTTTATTCTCAGCTTGGTCGTTGCTGATGTATATAGTAGTGCTGCTGATTTGTGTACATTGACTTTGTAACCTGAGACTTTATTGAATTTGTTTATCAAATCTAGGAGTCTTTTGGAGGAGTCTTTAGGATTTTCAAGATATATGATCATATCATCTGCAAACAGAGATAATTTGCCTTCCTCTTTTCCAATTTGGATACCCTTTATTTCTTTCTCTTGCCTAACTGATCTGGCTAGGACTTCCTTGACATTTTCTTTTTTTTCCTTTTTTATATCATCATTGTTGTCTTTGTCATCTCCCAGCTTCATTCTGGTAAATTTATAGTTATGTATTTTACTTTAAATTATAATTTTGATAAACACATTTTATCTCTTTAAAATATATGTATTAATTTCAAAAATCTAAAATGGCACAATATCTACTAACAACTTCATGGGAGATGAGAGAAAATTCCTACTCCCCTCACTTCTCAGTTTTATTTTGTTTTGATTTTTGTCTGCTTTTGTGATTTTTGACCCAATTACTTATAGTAAAAGTGTTTGTTTATATCATTGTGTCAGGTAAGATTAGATTCACCTGCCAGCTAGAGACGCTCACATAATGGCTCAAACAAACAATGCTTGTCATTTTTGTTAAAGCCCACTTGCACCTCAGCCCTGCCCTAGTCGGATCCTCAAAACTTCCATCCGTCACCTCCAGTAACCCTGTGTGAGCTTCACATGAGGAAAAGTTGTTAGCTCCCAAGACTTCTCTCAACTTTGACTAGCTTTATTGTTCCTGATCATTATTTTCCAGAGACTTGGTAAAAAGGTGTCCATATATTTCTATAGGAATTTTAATGTTTTATTGATTACTTTGTTTAGTCTTTTCCACCTTCACTCTTCAAAGGTAAAGTACATCCAAATTGCATGTTCCAAGAACACCTTCAGTAGTTCAGTCTATAATCTAAAGAGAAAAAACAAGGCAATCAATTTTCAACAGCATCTTTTCTCATTCTCTGCCAGAGCCAGAGGCACATTACCATGAAAACTGTGTTGTCTTTATGAAAACAAAATGTGTATTCCATCAGTGGACACAAGGGAGAATCTAATTAGCTTGCACTAGAAAACAACTATGTTTAATCTTCTTAGATAAAATTATATGAAGTAAACTTAATCAGTTCAGATTTACTCAGCAGGCTCCTTGTGAAGTTTTAATCTCATAAGAAGTTTGTTCTTGCTTATCTTTATTCAGAAAGTTTCCCACTGTAGACAGGATTGACTTGGGAGATGAAATCCTATGCCTCGAAAAGGAACGATATTAAAAAATATTTCATGACTCTTCAGGCATGAGAACTGACTAATCAGGATGAATGCCTACTGTAAATAATGTGTCCAGCCACGTGGGTGTGCAGAAGCTGAAAACAAGTTCTGCCTATGAGAAGCCTTGTCTCATAGGACAAGACACATCCAGGGCCCTCTCTACCTCCTTTCGATTTTATTGAAATCTTGCGATTCTCCTTCCAGTTGGTACTCTATTATCAGTTTCAAAACCCTTAAGCATATTTAAAGAAAATAACCTAGAATTTGTGGAGAAGAAATTAAAAGGGGTGAAATTACAGGCAATATTTTCAGGCAAGTATCTGAATTCAATAATTATCTATAAATATATAATTACTCTAAAGGTTTACCCAAAGGCCAATACCTAGAGCCTGGAGAACCGACTGAAAATTCAAGGAATAGAAGTTCTGGGCAGAGGTCCACAGTGAAGGTTAACTATTGGAGGGTTGGCTAAGAACTTAAGAACTCACGTTCATAAAAATAACTGGTTTCCTCCATAATTAAAAAAATTTTAATTGCATAGTGTCAAAAAAGAAGAAAACTTCTAAAATTTGAAAACAAATGAACCTAATTCGATATCCAATTGGTAATATAACCAGAGAAAATAATTATTTCAAGTCTTTAAAACACAGTCCTTTGACTTTGCATCCTTAGAGCATTCATTATAAGGAAAAAAAGAAATGCAAAGAAATCTTAAACATCATTCAGCAGTTTTATGCTTAGTGGTAATACTGCATTGTTATCTTGAAACTATTTTTGTATATTAAAGTAAGTGTATTATATAGCCCAAGATTATTCAGTATAAAAGAACTAAAGGTGTAAAACTAAATAAGTAGAAATTCTGCAATGTTAAATTTAAACTGGAAAAATCGATATACTCATTTTGTGTGTGTGTGTGTGTGTGTGTGTGTTTGTGTGTGTGTCTTCTAAGGCTATCTTCTGATAACATCTGGAAATAATGACACGTCAAAAGCTATGATCCCTAAATGCTATAAACTATTGAAGAGAAGCAGGGCTATTTAGAGAAACTGCTATTTTTAAGCATAGGATATGGGAAATGCAAGGTGAACTTCAGACAGCCTGTTGAGCCAGAAAGCAAGGAAGCACTCAAATATTAATGGGATTTAGTCAGGAGAGCGTGGAAGCTAGCTTGAAGGGGCTCCCATTGACCAAATTTGGGGCCATTTAAGAATCCAAAAGAAATAATGAGGCTGTATATTTTTGAAGAATTCAAATTAATTTTCATATTATTCCAACTAAAATTAGTTGGAAAGTTCATACACCTTCGCTGCAATACATGAAAATGGTATGTCTTCCAAAAAATGGCTATCACTGATTGAAATACATTAACTATATTAAAATCCATGTGTCTGTAAGAAGGAAACAAGAAAACACTCTTTTGCCATCTTTGGAGAAGATTATTACACCTATTACTTACCCTGGAATTTGTATTGAAGAAACAGAAACATTTATCTTGGTTTGCTATTGGAATCATATTTGAGTAACCAAATTAACATAGCTAATGAGAAAGCTCTTTCTCAAACTAGAATGACAGCTGACAAGTGTAGAATAAATGATTAAATTAGAAAGCCATCAATTGGTAGCCTCTCATGTAGCCCTTCATTCAGACAAGGATTATCCACAGATGTTAAAACCACTAGGTAAACTGGTGATGGGGAATTGAATAATCACATGTTATTAGAGAATCACCTCAGATATTACAAACTGTTTGCCAGAAGGGCAATGTAACTTAACAAGGGAGGGATCCAGTTGTTACCAACCTAGCCCAGTGATCAGTTATCATTTTTTAATAAGAATGGGACAATCAGAACTTATGAGGTGATGTCATAGGAAATACACACAATGACTTACTGAAGTTCCTTCCAATATGTGTTTAATGTTAATTATATCAAGCCTAAAGATTTGACTTCCAGTTTACAGGAAACATAGGGGATAGAGAAGCAAGTAAAATGACACCAAGAGGTAACAACTGAACAAGTCTAGGAAGTCGAACTATTATGTGAAGCAGTTGGGCTCCACTGATCACCAAAAGTGTTAGGAAAACACCAACAATCTTTGCACGGTGTAGGCTAGAACTTATAGGCAGAAGCTTCCACACTAGGATGTGTGCAGAGCAGAAGGCATTATGTATGATATTATAAAAGAGGGAATTCTTTTCATGACTGGCTTTGCAAGTAGGAGGAGCCTGGGAATTGTGGGCTCAGGAAAGTGACAGACAAGCACTGTGGGTAGTTGAAAGCATCTGCTGACAGAGCCTGGCAGCCTTGTGGAAAGTTAAGGCTATGTGCAGTACCTCCCGCTAGGAGGAAGGAGAGCCACCATTCTCAGCTAGCAGGAAACCTGGAGAGAACCAAGTGTCATTCCATTTGGTGGAATCCATTCTACTTATCTCCTTCTGGTGATGCTCCCCTATGGGGACTTTTGGCCTGGTTTCTTCAGCAGGTCAATGGGATGAAAAAAATGTTTTTAGATTAAGAGATTTAAGGGAGACAACAATCACATGGAATGGATGCTTCTTGATTGGATCCTGGTTTGGCAATTGTAGAAATTTGAACATGAATTGAGTTATATATGACATTAGGGAATTATTGTTAATTTTGTTAGATTTATAAAGATACTATGATCATATAAAGACTCATTATTTTATCAGAGATGCATACTTAGGTATTTAGGGGATGAGATGTTATAATGTCTGTAAGTTACTTTAAAATACTTCAGACAAAATAGATGAGGAAAATATGGGAAAATCTACGTGGTGGATTTCCATTATGTTTCTATTTTTCTGTTTATTTGAAAAGTTGTGCACGCTCTCTCTATATATATATATGTAACATATACATATATTCTAATAAATGTTTCATGGATTAAATCAAGCCTGCAGATTTAATTATATATTTAATTAAAATATTCAATAAAATATTTTAAATAAATTATATATAAATAAATATAAAAGAATGTGTTTTCTGTATTATCATTTTCTACCAAGTACTAAATGATTTGCAAGCAAGCTGAAAACTGTAATTAAAATAATTAGGTGGTCAGTAGAAGTCTAAGCAGGACTAAATTAATAAATGTGCTAACTGGATGGCCCTGCTGAGAACCTTAGCTTATTTGGATTTAACTGTGGCATACGTTATTTTTAATAGCAAATTTAATATTTGTATAGCACTTTGTTTTTCTACCATTGTTTTCAAACATTAGCAGAATTTTGAAAAGTAAATATTGCTTCCACTTTAAGCTCCCTATTTCCTCCCCAGAAAAAAAACCGTTATCAATTATATGCAGATTCATTGTTTGCCTTCTATATTCATAATTATCTACCTTGCTTTTTTGTTTTGTTTAGTTTTTAAATGTTTATCGTAACTTTTAAAAGTTTCAGTTATTAGATTTTAGTTTTGACCTTTATTAGGGAACATTTCAAACACTCAAAAGGTAAATAATAGTTTAACAAAGCCCCAAAAAAGCCTCAGTTAATGAAGTACCCATTATCCAGCTACAGTAATCTTTTGCGCAGGGCCAACCTTGTCTCATCTATACTCCTTTTCCTTCCCACAATTCATCAAGTATTAATCTTTATAATTCATAGATAGTTATTAAACAAATCCCAAACACTATGTCATTTCACTCAGAAAGCTTCATTACGCTGCTTTGGAATAAAAGAGTTCTTCTTTTCGTACCCTTAACATCATTATCAAGCCTAACAAAATAAAATAACTATTTAGTATTATGGAAATATCCAGTCAGTGTTCAAATTTCCCTTAATGGTTCGTAAATGCACTTTCAAAGTTGGTTTGTTATAAGGATTCAAACAAGGTCCGTGTATTGCATTTGGTTGAAATGTTTCTTAGTCCTATTTAATCAATATGCTGTTTAGTTGGTAATGTGTCTTAGAGATCATTCTAATGACCAAGTTTTTAATTAGCTGCCTAGTAAGCCATTGCACAGGTGTTCCATCATGTATTTTGTCAGTCCCCAGTGGTGGATGGTTAAACTTTTCTCAGCCTCTTACTGTTATAAACTGTGCTATGCAGTAAATAGTCTCAAACATGTGGCTCTGTACATGCTTGAGATGCAAGAATACACATAAGACAAATCCCTATACAAGGCATCATTCAGTCAAATGGCATTTGCAATTTTGACAAAAATTGATAAATTGTCTACCAAAGAGATTGCCCCAAGGCTACACCTGTTACCGCTTACCCATACCCACACCAACAATGGGTATTATAGAACTTTGTGCTGATATGATAGGTGAAAAATGGTAACTAATGTTTTATTTTCATTTTCTTAACTGGGAGCAAAACAGATTATCCCTTTGTTTATAAAATATTTGTACTTTATTCTCTATGAACTGTTTGTGACCTTTGACTATTTTTCTATTGGATTGTTTGTCTTTTCTTGTAGATTTCATGAACAATATATTTAGTAGGGAAATTAGTTAGTTTTATATGTGTTGCAAATTTTTTTCTTGTTTTACTGTTTGCCTTTTAATTTATTTGTGGTTTTATGCACTGGATTTTTTCTACATAAATTACATGCTCTCCTTTATCCACTTCAAGGTGATAAAATTTCTTTCGTGATTTCTTTACATACAGGGCACTGGAATGTTCAAAGCCCTCTGCATATGTTATTTTATTTGTAACAAAAGAGAGTGACAAGAGTTGGCTAAGTGATTCCACTCACATCTTCTAACTTCACTTTGAGCACTTGCCTGGTAAACATTAATAAATATGCAAGCATGGAATCCCCCCTAAATTCATCCCAGAAATATTCTACCAGGAATACACTCTTTAATCAAATAATTATTAGAAATACTGGATAACTTCCTGGATGGTCTCTATTTTCCATTATTACCTTTAGTGATGTGATTGAGAGTAACTGAAGAGGATGGTGAGTAATGCTATTTTTTCCTGAATATTATTAATAGAATTTCCAGTAGTGGTTAATTGAGTAAGGTATTGAGTGAAATTGGTGACCTAAAAAGTCCTTCTGCAACAAAAGCAAAAACAGTTTTCAATGGAAGAAGTCTGAAGTCAGGTTGAGTTAGCCCCTTACTGCATAATACTGGATAATAGAGGAGATACTTTAGCTCCTTTTGTTGGAAAATAGTGCTGAGAAAAAATAAGAAGTCAGTCAGAAGTTAAATGAGTTGCCCAAGGTCACACAGAAAGTAAGTGGTGGAGCCAGGATTTATATCTAAGTTTCCAAGTTTGCACTCTAGCCATCATTCTATGTTTTCTCAAAAGAATAATCTAGAAACCAGAGAAGATATTAGTGTGAGGCAATTACTTGTTGAAAGTAAATTTTGGGTGTTACTGGTCCTCATTTATCTTGCAAGACAATCGTTTCTGCTTCTAATGAAACTACTTTGCTTATACAACCCATGAAGCATTTGTCTTGTAAAAACATGCTATGTGTAGCATGTACACCCTCCTGCCCGCAGTTGTCGAGGGGGTCACACTAAGCCATATCAAAAGAAATTCAGTAGTTAGTTGTTACTTATGAATATTGATTTTATATGTACATGTGTGCATATATGTAAGAATAAAGTAAGTAAAATTGCCACATAAATTAAGTAAAATTGCCCCCCTTTTTACTGTGAAGATATCAAATCATTTGATTAGGGAGAAGTTTCCATTATTAAATATGAAACGCAGAGCCTGAGCAGAGTCAAGGAAATAAAACACAGATTTTTCTTTTAAAAGCAAAATTGGGACAAGGTACAAATAAAAGGAATTCTACAAACCCAAAAAGTGTATGTATCTCGACCCAATGAAATCTTATGGGTATACTGTAATTATTACAACTTTAATTGAACATTCTTCATGTGTTAGGTGTTAGATTAAGGCCTTATTTGGATTATCCCATTTCATCCTCATAATAACTTTTGAATTACATACTATCAATTTCCCCGTTTTACAGATGAGAACACTAAATAAGGCTCAGAGGTCAGGGTGGATCTATAATTCAGAGTTAGGGCTATGCAACATTGACTGTCTAATTGCCCACAGTTACTATGTGCTGAAATGATCTGCTAGAGTTTAAGGACCCAGCTTTGTCAATATGGCACCAGCTTATCCTCCAATCTATGGTATGACTCAGCTAGAGAAGGCTTAAAGAAGGAATTTTACTTGAGCTAAGTCTTATAAATCAGAGGATAAGAAAGATCTGAGTTAGCAGAGAAAAGAAGGAAAGGCCATCCAAAGAAAGAAAACTAATATATTGGGAATCATGAATATTAATATTTGATAAGCAGCTTATGCATTAACTTTAAAGATGTTATGCCACTGGCTTCTTTTTAAGAGTAATGTCCCTAGACACTCTGTTTCATCCATAACAAATCTAATCAGTTACCAGCTTGCCAAGAAACTGCTAAAATCACCTTCTTCCCTGAGACTCAAATTCCAGACACGTTAAGACATGGGGTGCTAGGAATGGTTTAAGGTAGAGATAATAAAATGTAAAACTGAGTCCTATTTTGAACTTTTCAAGTCAAAGCAATGAGAGCCTTCACACAGAATCTACAATAAATGCAACCTGAAAGTTGAAATGAATTTAGCATGTTAATGTTCTTCATGATGTGATCAGTCTTATCAATTACAGCTACAGCAGCCCTGAGCAGTTTGTGAAGAATTGCCAATAAAAATACTAAAATCAGCTCTGCACAAGATGGGAGTATCATGACATCTGTTTTCAAAATTACTCTGCTGTAATTGTTGAATCTCATTATAGTTGGTAAAAATTGTATTCTTTCACCTGGGATAAGTGCCTGTGATTTTAAATAGCATCACTTCAGAAATGACAATTGTGAATCCATGCTAATTACATCGCTGTGCTGTACTTGCCAAAAAGAGAGGATTCTTACCAGTGATTTGTACCACTTTGGGTGTTCATGACTGTGGGCAGCAATGAACCTCACATCAAACTGACTTTGGCAGGGAAGTAATGTAATAACACATGGGACACGAAGTCCAGAAGTAGTGTGAGCTTCAGAGATTCAGCTGTGCCATCAAGGACTTGAGTTCTTTCTGTTTCTCCCATCTGAGGCTTTGAAACTTGTAAAAAATAAAAAAGAAAGAAATAGCTTCTTCTCAAGCCTATAGGGTTGAATTCATCCTAAGGCATGCTCCCCTTGTAGTTGTAGGACAGCTGCAGGTAAGAATCTATACCTACCCCGTCCGCCTTCAGTTATGTCTCTCGAGTGAGAGGGAGGCTTTTCATGGGTCTCTCCTAAGACTGGTGAAGCTTCCTTCCCACACACCCCAAGCAAGTCTCTCCCGGCCTGTCTTTGGTCCAAACTAGCTTAGGCCTGCCCAGCCCTGAAATAATTACTGGCAAGAAAGATGGAATTTTCATGACTGTCTTAGAGGCTAAGTGGTTGGGGTAGACTAGATTCTGGAGAGTTAGCCACAATACTCATCATACTATAATTTTTAGTTCAATATTAAATATTCTCAGAGCATCAAGGAAGCCCTCTTTGAAAAACTGAGGTAATCCCAGGAAGTATGATTTAATTTAGTAGACAGTCAGCCTCCTTTGATGCATCACAAGCCATCAACACTAGAAGTGGGAGTACCTACCATTCCATCATTTTCAGTGGTCCCAAAGGATTTGGTGACAAAATAGGCCATGTTCTGAGAAGCAGCCCCTAAAGAAAACTTCCCTAGGTAGGTAGGTTTTCTGATCTCTCTCTCTCTCTCTCTCTCTCTCTCTCTCTCTCTCTCTCTCCCTCACTCTTTCTCTCTCTCTCTTTTCCTCCTCCACCCTTGGCTTGAAATTTGCAAAAAGAAAGGAGTAGTGTCTTCTTAAAACTAGGCTCCACAAGTTCACGAGCTTTCTTTCCACACTGGTATAAAGCAACATCCTCATCTTTTACCTTTGCCAGCATGGTTCAGTATTCATCTGCTCAGGTACATGACTAGATTTTATAATAAAATTTGGAAACATTCGGGTTTAAAATAGCTGCTTTTTTGTCGGTTGCTGTATAGTTAAACTAATTCACATAGAGTCCTGATTTGAGCCAAGATTATATATTTGTAAGGCAGTACATCCCCCACTGTAATGTGCATACAAACGACCATAATTTAGTTAAAGTGCATACAGTAAATCCTCAGAAAGAATAATGTTAATGTCAGCAAGACCAAGGGTATCTCTAGAAGGACATGGTGAGATGATGGCATACTGGAACGAAGGTGGGAAGAGCAAAATAAACCTACTAAGGAAGTTGTGTTGAAATTTTGTATTGTATTTCTACAGAAAATGGAGGACCAAATGGAGATATTGGATCTGCTTTCTGTTGTCCACATGACTCAGGTCAACCTACTATTTTTCGCACATAAGCCTCCAGACGTAACAGATGAATTCAAGCATCCAAGTTTCTTTGGCTTATTCCTCCCTTGCATTTCCCAATCCTATACTCATATTAAGCAGTGTACTGACTCACAATACTGCAATTTGAGAATGCTATATGCAGAATCCTGTGATCAGTTTTCCAGTAAGCCATCTGGCCTCAATTCTCTACAATGGTCCACTTATTTGTGTATGTTCCTACCAAGCTCTGGAGTCCCGATGACAAATGATACCTATCTGTTCCTTTACCTTCTTTTGTGACATTCTCAGTCACATACCTGACCTAAGCTTGAGAGACCCTACAAGAGTAGGTTTGCACAACAGAACCAGAAAGGATACCTCTCTCCAACATCTTCTCAAGTGTATCTTCTCCATTCTCTCTTTCAGGCACACACACACACACACACACAATTTGTAAAATCTAGAGGGAATCTCTATTACTTCAAAGCCCCTTGCTGGAGGGTACTCCAGAACTGTGTGAGTAAATTTCTTCTTCCACATTTTAGACATGTGTTAGGGAAAATGATAGGCAGAGAATGATTTTATTTGTCTCACCTAGTTAAGTGCTTCTTCCAAAATAAGCATAAGCATTTCCTCTTAAGCGTTGCTGAAAACCATTCATCCAGTTTCTGCTTAGACTCTGCTGAGACAGCCCATTTCATCGTTGGGTTTTTGCTTGTTTGTTTGTTTGTTTGTTTGTTTGTTTTGAACAGCTATTTGAGAAGTTCTATAGTCTTAGCTGAGAGCTGGCATCACTGTATCACTTCCTTACTTTGGCTCTACCTCTGTATTTTTCCTTTTCTCTTCCACTTGGAAATCTTTCAAAAAGTTAAAGACAGCTACCACTTCCCCTAATGTTTCTCATTTCCCTGTGAAACACGACTGGATCATTTAATGATTCCACATTTAACATGACTACCACATTTTATTATCTTAGTAATCCTCATCTGTTCCTTGTTTATGAATACCCATCTTGAAATTCCTTGCCCAGGACATTATCCAATAAAGTTTAAACATTGGGACAAGTCTCTATAGAACACTGTACTAAATATTGATCCAGAATAAAAATCATTTGTTTGTTTGCTTATTTTCTTGCTTGTTTAAGTGGCCAATGAACAATACAGACTTTTATGCTGCTTGTGTCAACTAAAAAACATCTAGGGCTTCTTTAAAAAACAAAAACAAAACAAGAACCAGCTCTTTCTCATCCCAGAAGATAGTTGATATAGTACAAAAAGCATGGTATTTAGAATAAAAAAGCATGCATTCACGTTCGGACTTTTGCTGCTTACTGACCTTGGTCAAGTCATTTTGTCTTTTCTGGGACTCCATTCCTTTCACCTGGAAAACAGGATTGTTCAGAAGATCTGACTTACCTAACTGATAGGAGTCTTTGGAAAATCAGTTGGGATAATACATGTCAAAGAATTTTCTTGATTGAAAAACGTGATACAAATTTGAGTAATGCTCAGTTATGCCATGTTTGTATAATCCAGTGCTAATTTCATTCCTGAAGAAACTTGTCAGAAGTAATGCATCAAGGTATGTCCTGAGTTTCTGAAGTGGAGTTGATGAGTTTTGAACATAAGTTTTTTTGTTTTTCTTTTTTTTTTCTTTTCTGAGATGGAGTCTCGCTCTGTCACCCAGGCTGGAGTGCAGTGGTGCGATCTCTGCTCGCTGCAAGCTCCGCCTCCCAGGTTCACACCATTCTCCTGCCTCAGCCTCCTGAGTAGCTGGGACTACAGGCGCCCACCACCACGCCCGGCTAATTTTTTGTATTTTTTAGTAGAAACGGGGTTTCACTATGTTAGCCAGGATGGTCTTGATCTCCTGACCTCGTGATCCGCCCGCCTCGGCCTCCCAAAGTGCTGGGATTACAGGCGTGAGCCACCGTGCCCGGCTGTTTTGAACATAACTTTTAACCTAGGGTTTATTCTAAACCAATTTCAATATGATCACTTTCTTTTCTATGCCCATCGTTTGGGTTTTATACTTGTATTTAAAAAAATTTTAAGGCAAAAAGAGAAAGAAAAATATAAGAAACACCTGTGTACCAGCCAACAAAAAAGGGGGAAAGTATTTCATGCATTATTTTTATTTTTGTGTTTTGACATTGTAGTCAGTAGAACATTAATGATGTAGTTGAAATCTCCTTCATCTTTTCTAGTTCCATCTCCCACACTTCCCATAGTCAACTGCCAGCACAGAGGGGTGTGCAACCTCCTGCCTATGTTTCATATTTTACTACAAAAATAGACATCCATGAACATTTAATGGTGCTTTTTTTCCCTTTTTTTATTATTATTATACTTTAAGTTTTAGGATACATGTGCACAACGTGCAGGTTTGTTACATGTGTATACATGTGCCATGTTGGTGTGCTGCACCCATTAACTCGTCATTTAGCGTTAGGTATATCTCCTAATGCTATCCCCCCCCTTCCCCCTCCCCCAACCCCACAACAGTCCCCGGTGTGTGACGTTCCCCTTCCTGTGTCCATGTGTTCTCATTGTTCAATTCCCACCTATGAGTGAGAACATGCGGTGTTTGGTTTTATGTGTTTAAAGTTATATGAATGTTATTATACTGTGTGTATCTGACTGCGAATTGCTCTAATACTCAACAGTGTGTTTTGAAGGTCAGCCTGTACTGAAACATATATTTTACCTTTATTCATTCTTTTTGTTTTTCTAACTCTGTCATCCAGGCTGGAGTACACTGGTGTGATCATAGCTCACTGCAGCCTCTGACTCCTGAGCTCAGGTGATCCTCCCACCTCAGCCTCCTGAGTAGCTGGGACTACAGGTGTGCACCACCACACTCAGCTAATTTTTTTTTATTTTATTTTTTGTGGAAACAAGATCTTGCTGTGTTGCCCAGGCTGGTCTTGAACTCCTGAGCTCAAGAGATCCTCCTGCCTTGGGCTCCCAAGGTGCTAGGATTACAGGTGTGAGCCACTGTGCCTGGTCTATTTACATTTATTCATTATAACCAATGCATTTAATCTATACACTTAGAATAACGTATTTATAAATTCCTCTGTTAGCCAATAATCAGGGTTTCCCCCAGTCGTTTTGTAATTATAGATGATGCTGCAATGCACATTGTTCTAGAGCTCTCCTGGTGAACCTGTGCCATATTTTTCTCAAGGATTTATCCTTCAAAGCAAAATCATGGTGCTCCAGGCCATACACATTTTTAACAATAATAAATTTTTCATATTTCTAGCCAAAATTCAGCAGTAAGAAAAGTTATTCTCATATCACATCTTTCCAACATTTTGCATTGTCAGATATTTTTACGACTATCAGTTTGATGGGTTTGAAATAGTGTCTCATTTTAATTTCTGAGTTTCAGTTTGTTTTTGTATAGTTGTTGGCATGTCTATTTCCTATTCTGCAAATTGCCTGTTCCTATTTGTACTATTTTCCTAATGCTGCTGCAACAAATCACCACAAACTTAGTGGCTTAAAACAGCACAATTGTATTATCTTACAGTTCTGGAGATCAAAAGTCAAAAATGGGTCTCACTGGGTTAAAATCAAGGTGTTGGCAGAGCTGCCCTTCTCCTGGAGACTCTAGAGTTGGGGAAAATCTGTTTCCTTGCTGATCTGTGCATTGGAGGATGTTTGGCAGCATCTCTGGCTTCTACCGCCTAGAGCCAGTAGCAAACCCCCTAGTTGTGACAACCACAAATGTCTTTAGGAGCAAAATCACCACTGGTTGAGCTTTATACTGTAAATCACACTCTTTTGCCTCCTATGATACTAGCTGAAGGTTCTATCAGTGATAAAGCTGGATGTACCAACAGGAAAGAAAGATTCCCTGTCCTCTGCAAGTTAGAGTCATATCAGTAAGTTAGACAGGTAAATATAAGACTTCAAATCTTAGCAAAAAAAGATGAGCGGCCTAAAAGGCATAAAGGCAACAACAAAAAATAAAAAAAATATGAAGTTTATATTCTAGATTATTTTATATTTGAGAACACGAATGTGAATATTTCCAGTTATAGTATGCTTTGAAATCAGACTTCTGCCTTTATTTTCTAGGTTATATATCAATGAATATTGTCTCAATATGTCACATATACAATTGAAGTGAAAACTTCTTTTCCATCTTAGTCTATTTTCATTTTATATTAAGAAGAAATCATAATCACTTGTGATGTGTAGTGGACAAATTTCACCATGAACCAGAAAATTAACTGAGAAAATAATTATGATCTGAACAACAATGTCCATGTAATTTTAAGATCTTTCCATAATATCCAAAAGCCTCAAGCTTTCATTTGCTTTATATTATTAAATTTTTCTGAAGACCCAGGACACGTGCAGTTAGAATTTTGACTTTTTGTCAGTTTATTCTTTCCACACTTGAGTGGAAAGAATGGACCTAGATTGAGATGCTGTATTAGTCCATTTTCATACTGCTATGAAGAAATAACTGAGACTGGGTAATTTATAAAGAAAAAGAAGTTTAATGGACTCACAGTTTCACATGGCTGGGGAGGCCTCACCATCAGGGTGAAAGATGAAGGAGGAACAAAGGTACGTCTCTCTGCAGGCAAGAGAGCATGTGCAGGGGAACTCCCCTTTATAAAACCATCAGATCTTGTGAGACTTATTCACTGTCAGAAGAACAGCATGGGAAAAACCTGCCCCCATGATTCAATTACCTCCCACTGGGTCCCTCCCACAACATGTGAGGATTATGGGAGCTACAATTCAAGATGGGATTTAGGTGGGGACACATCATTCCACACCTGGCCCCTCCCAAATCTCATGTCCTCACATTTCAAAACCAATCATGCCTTCCCAACAGTCCCCCAAAGTCTTAACTCATTTCAGCATTAACTCTAAAGTCCACAGTCCAAAGTCTCATCTGAGACAAGGCAAGTCCCTTCCACCAATGAGCCTGTAAAATCAAAAGTAAGTTAGTTACTTCCTAGATACAATGAGGGCACAGGCATTGGGTAAAAACCATTCCAAATGGGAGAAATTGGTCCAAACGAAGGAGTTAAAGGCCCCATGCGAGTCTGAAATCCAGCAGGGCAGTCAAATCTTAAACCTCCAAAGTGATCTCCTTTGACCCTATGTCTCACATCCAGGTCATGCTGATGCAAGAGGTGGGTTCCCATGGTCTTGTGCAGCTCCACCCTTGTGACTTTTCAGGGTACAGCCCCCCTCCTGGCTGCTTTCATGGGCTAGTATTGTCTGTGGCTTTTCCAGGTGCACAGTGCAAGCTGTCGATGGATCTACCACTCTGGGTTCTGGAGGATGGTGGCCCTCTTCTCACAGCTCCACTAGGTAGTGCCCCAGTGGGGAGTCTGTGTGGGGGCTCCAACCCCACATTTCGCTTCTGCACTCCCCTAGCAGAGGTTCTCCATGAGGGCTCTACCCCCGCAGCAAACTTTAGCCTAGACATCCAGGTATTTCCATACATCCTCTAAAATCTAAGCAGAGGTTCTCAAACCTCAATTCTTGACTTCTGTGCACCTGCAGGCCCAACACCACGTGTAAGCTGCTAAGGCTTGGGGCTTGCACCCTCTGAAGCAACTGCTTGAGCTATATCTTGGACCCTTTTAGCCACAGCTGGTAGGCAGGGAGGTAGGGCACCAAGTCTCGAGACTGCACAAAGAAGCAAGGCCCTGGGCCCAGCCCACAAAATCGTTTTTCCTCCTAGGTTTCTGGGCCTGTGATTCACTTATGGGGGTCTGCCAAAAGCTCCAAACAGCATCCCTATCTGCCACTGACACCTCAAGCCCCATTGGGTCTGCTGGGTCATATGGCCCAAGTGGCAGAGCAGCTTGCATAGCAGCCTGGACCTGTTGCAGAGCCTTCTCCTGTTCTGCACCCCACTCAAAACTGGCAGCCTTTCAGGTCACTCAATAAATGGGCCAGAGTAACATACCCAAGTGAGGAATGTGTTGCCTCCAAAATCCAAATAGGCCCACTAGGTGTTGTGCCTCTTTCTTGGTTGTAGGAGGGGCCAAATGCAGCAACCTATCCTTCACCTTAGAAGGAATATCTCGACAGGCCCCACACCACTGGACCCCTAGAAATTTTACCAATGTGAAAGGTCCCTGAATTTTGTCAGATTTATTTCCCATCCCCTGGAACACAAGTGCCTCACCAATAAGTCCAGTGTGTTTGCTACTTCTCGCTTACTGGATCCAATCAGCATAATGTCATCAATGTAATGGAGCAGTGTGATATCTTGTGGAAGGGAAAAGTGATCAAGATCTTATGAGACTTATTCAATATCACAAGAACAGAATGGAAAAACCTTGCCCCCCATGATTCAATTACCTCCCACTGGATCCCTGCCATGACACGTGGGGATTATGGGAGCTACAATTCAAGATGAAATTTAGGTGGGGACACAGCCAAACCATATCAGATGTTAAGATAAATCTTCCAGTTTTTTGGTCAAGCTGATCTAACATTTTATTATTGTAAAATGTATCCAGATAAGCCATGCACTGCTCACAAACTCTTGCCATTTCTATAAATCTCAAAAATATGAATCACCCCTGAGGAGTAAGGGAGGCAGAGCCCCAGTTAGAGTGACAGGGTGAGACATTGTGAGTTATCTTGAGCATTCCTAGAAGCAATTGAGAACTAGAAGAGAGCTGGGAAGAGTCACCAGCCTTGGCTTATGGACGAAGCCTGAAGTTCCAGCTCCTCTAGTTTTCCACTCCTGAGAATGAGGGAAGAAAGCCCATGGAAAGACATGGATCCCAGACTGTTCAGTTTAGCTGCATGCACAAGCCCGTTGAGGGAAGGGAGCCCAGACTGCAAATAGAGCCAGATGTGCCTTCTCTGAGGATCAGAGAGGCTCTTATGTTGGGGAGGAGGTGAGGGAGTGGTGGAAAAGCAGAATCTCTGCAGAGAGTTGCTTGGTTTTCCAATTTACAAAGTGTGGAGGAGACTTTAGAAAATGTTGGCTCCAGAGTTAGAATTTAAATGTATTGAACTGGCAGAAGCTATAACTCTCACAAGGCCAATTTATAGCATCTACTCAGAGCAATAATGTTAATATCTGTTAAATATTAATAATGACTGATTTTGCCAAGGTCTTCTGCCCAAGTTTCATTGCCTGATGACACTATCCATTTTTCAAAGCCCACAGAGATAGTTAAGATACAAAGTGTTTAATGCTTCAAGAGAGCTACATGTAGAGGGCAGGAAGAAAAGAGACTACGATGCATTAGAGAAGATTGAAATAATAGTTCACCATGGAGGGACCATAGGGGTAGTGGGAATAGGTGAGTCTTGATAAGGGAGCACAGGCCAGATTTGAAGGGCTGTAATTGCCCTGGAGGAGGCTGCTTGGTCTAAAGGGGATGGAGAGTCCCTGAAGGGATGAGGGTGGAAGTGTGGACAAGAGTGACCTGATCAGATTTGGTCCTTAGAATCATCATTATGGCAGCAAGTGGATTGACCAGTCAGAAGGTGGGAAACCAGGTGAGACATTATGGCGGGTGGGGTAGAGGGTTGAGGTTAAATGAATGGATTCAAGAGCTCTCTACAGAAGAAAGAAGAGAAAGGACTTAGACAGATGCTGTCCCTTCCCGACAGCACTTGCCTGCAGGACTTCAGGCCAATGTGCTTCCAGGAACCCCAGTTACCCTTCTACTGTCATGTCTCCTGCATTCAGCTTTAACCATGGGTAGAAGCACAGAATGGGAGTCAGAATCCCCAGTTTTTAATTCCATTTTTTCTACTCATAGGCTCTGATATCTGGGGTAAATTGCTTAACTTTTCTACTGAACCTCTGTTCCTGTGTCTATAAAATGAGAATTTATTTTTACCTTACACCATAAAATTGGTTTGAGACTCATATATGATAGTGCTATAAAACTGATACAAAAGAATACATAATTGTGTTGTACTATTATGCCTTTATGTCTAGCTCTTATCTCTGCCAATCTACACACACACACACACACACACACACACACACATACACACAGAGAGAGATGAAAAACACGCATGCACAGATACATTATATGGATGGGAACAGCTTCTTGACATAAGAGAAAATGATGTGAAGTGAAAGCCCAGGTCCTAAATTTGTATCTAACTATATCTATGACTATAAGCAAATCATATTCCCTTGAGCTTTCAATTAATAATAATAGCTAAAATTTACTCAGTAGAATTAATTAAAACTAATATTTTCTAAAAAGAAAAAAAGCTTTAACTGCTTTGCATTTTAACTTATTTAATCCACACAACAACCCTGTAAGGTAGATACTGTTATTATTCTTCCAATTTTATAAATGAGGACACTGAAGCAGAGAAATTAAATAGTGTGCTGAAGCCTACACAGCTAATAAGTGATGGAGCTGGGATCCTACCATAAGCAGTCTGTTTCAAGAGCTCACGCCCTTAACCACTATGCATCACTTCTAGATACAGGAAGATTATTTGCAGATAGGTGTTTCATTCTTGTTTAAACAATGGATTATTTGTATTCTCCATTTTCATCTTTAGCTCTCTTTGGTAATTTGCTAACATTTAGATTTATCTTATTAATTTCCTTGGAATAATCTTCCCATCAGTATTTCAGGCTAGGCAAACTCTACAAAGACACGCTATGAGTCATCCCTCACTATTTCAAATTACTTGACACTTGGTGACTTCAGCTATTTCTCTAGGAAGCCAAGTTTCTCATTTCATATCCCAGTAATTCTCTGAATGAAAGTAATTTCTAAATCCACCCTCTCAATTTCCTTTACCACTTGTTTGTGGTCACCAGTTTTATTTGGCCCTTTCTGCATGTTCTTAAACATAATCACACATGACCTCATCCAGCAGCCTTTCATTCTGGTAAGCCACAGCATTTCTCATTCCCTGCCCTAATATCTAAAGGTAAATAGAAAAAGCAAACTCTACTTTAATGAGGATTTTTTCAATGGATATTTAGTTTTTTATATTCTGTCACGTGCATAAAATGCATATAATACATTGAATTTAGAGTTTTTCTCATGCTTTTCTAAAAATAGATCTTGAGTCTCTCTATCTACACACACACACACACACACACACACACACACACACACTACATCTTTTAAATTCTTTCACCCTCATCAGGGACCAGTAAAAGATTTTCTAAAACTCAACAAATACCTTTGACATTTCACCCAAGTATTCACTCGTAGCTTCAGCAATGATGAAAACCATAGGATAACATATTCAGAAGTCTTCCCTTGTGCTGGGGTGGAGCTCTGTACCTATGTATAAACAGCCTATCTTCTACTTGGGCATAGTCAAGAAAAGTAATAACTGGTTAAAATCTGCCCAACAGTCATTTCACAAACTGTTTCTATAGTATTTAGTCCAATAGTTCACAACGTGGGGTAATTTGGCACCCCAGTGAACATTAACATTATCTGGTGGCATTTTTGACAGTTACTGTTGTTCATGTGTGGAGGGTGTTATTGGCATGTAGTCGGTATAGGCCCAAGTTGCTGCTAAACATCTAACAATGCACAGGACAACCCCTCACAGAACAAAGAATTATCCAGCCCAAAATGTCAACAGGTTCTCTACTTGAGAAGCTCTTACAACCTCTGTCAACCTTTAACACAGTTTACGCTTTTGCACAGTTCAATGTCCTAAAATGTGCTCTCCTAACAATTATGTAACATTTTAGCCTGCAGACAACTTCAGTGCAACTAAAGTTCCCATCATAAGTTATTCATTCTGGAAATAAAGGCATGGATACTATCAGGTTATAAAGGCAAATCAGGCCCCAAACCTAAAGTAACCAGCAAAATCAGCAATCCACAGCCCATTTTTGACTGTTTCTAAAATTCTTTATTTTAAAAAACAAACAAGCCAACCTAAATAAACAAGCCAATTTTCTTCTTGTAATTTCATTTCCTGTTCTCAGAATTTCAAGTTTCTAAGAGTTAGTGTCATCTGATCTCACTTTCGGCTTGATTTTGTTTTCCTGTGAAAGGATATGTCATATCAGCCCTCTTGAGTTTCTAAATGAGAGAATCTAATATTCTGACATATGACATAGCAAAAACTACGCCTCCAGATGAAATCTAAATCTGAATAATCAGAAAGAGGCTACGCTGGAAAGGGTTATGTCTTTTCAGTTCTCATACAGAAAGATACCCTTTATTCTTATCCACCTCATTTTCACAATGAGTTACACTTGGAAGAAAATGGCATCCTCTCAGTTACTGACAGCGATAGCTTTCTAAACCCAGTCTAATGGCCCTCCTTTGCTTGGCCTGGTGTCACCAAGGACTGTTGGCTCACTCCAAAATCAATCCTCTTGGCTACTCTCTTATTTTCATTATGAAGAACCCTTCAACCCCTCTCTGGGATGATATCCAGGAGCCACTTTGCCTAAACAAAGTCATTGATTTTAATGGAACAAATGAGAGGGTCAATTTGTATTGTATGGCACCCTGACAAAGATGGAAAAATGCTAGGACTCATTTCTCCCAAATTCTATCCCTAATTATAATAACAACTCTGCAAACAAAGAGATCTTTCAAAAAAGTAAATTAGATCATGCCACTCCCAAGCTAAACTCTCTTCCATAGCTTTCCATTACTATTAGGATACATTTTCAAATCTGCTGTACAGTCTATAAGACTGTCTTCTAATCCCTGCCTTTCTCACCAATCTTAATGCACTCCCTCTCCATTGAATTCTGTTCTCTCCTTTCCCAGATCGCATTAAGTCCTCTTGCCTCTTCCTAGAAAGCTCATCCTCCTCACACATGACATCTTCCTTTGCTTAGCTAACTTCTTCTCATCTTTCAGATCTTGATTTTAATTCATTTCCTCAAAAGAGTCTTTTCTGCTTTGCATCACATCTGCTAAAATTTTACTGATACATGGCCAAGGCCAAAACCAAAAGGTGAGAATATATACTATGATAAGGCCAGTGCGAGAATATGGATATAGGGAAGGAGGAGGAATTGGGACCACATTTCTCCTCCATGTGTGTACAGGTGATAGGCATCTAAAAGTGCTCATCTGGACATAGTCAACTCATGTATAGAGTTGGATGGTTATCACTTTCAGCTTCCCCCTGTAAGCATGTCTTTTCTTTTTAGACAGAGTCTCGCTCTGTCCCCAGGCTGAAGTGCACTGGCACGACCTTGGCTCACTGCAACCTCCACCTCACCTCCTGGGTTCAAACAATTCTCCTGCCTCAGCCTCCCAAGTAGCTGGGACAGGCGCGCACCACCACACCCAGCTAATTTTTTTTTTTTTTTTTGCATTTTTAGTAGAGATGGGGTTTCACCATGTTGGCCAGGATGGTCTCGATCTCTTGACCTCATCATCCGCCCGCCTTGGCCTCCCAAAGTGCTGGGATTACAGGCATGAGCCACCACGCCTGGCTTTGTAAGCATGTATTTTACCCGAAGCCCATCACACCCACACAACAGCTTAGAAATATCTGGTGAGGTTCGTTCCTCCAAAAACCTCAACAGCTTAGTCTTTCTCTGAAATTCCAATGAAAGTCAATCTAATAGAGTAATTAAATACAAGAGGCTGGAGACAGGTCCAAAAGCCCTTCTGAACAAGAAAGTAGCTGTGTGCCTGAAAAAGTTAAAAACAGTCCTATTGAAGTCAACTCTGATATTCTCAACTGACCATAAGTAAAGCTTACAAAAAATGAACTATGTTTCCATAAGGCCACCTTATGACCATGTCTTGGAGAAGGCTAATTCCATAACCACAAAAATGATTTAAAACCCCTCTCTTCTCATCACCATAAGTGACTGCCACTTCTTTACCAATGACCATTCAAGCCTTGCTTTAATCTTCCTGCCTTCTAGATTAACATTACTAAGATATTCAGTCACCAAATTGTCTTGTTCTATCTTCTTGTTAACAGAGAATCTAGAAGAGGTCTTGATTCCTTAAATTCTTCTTGGAAGATTTAGCACAAGTCTAAACCCTCTAAGGAGGGCCTTCCAGATCTGGAGTTCTTCTTGGGGGTGGTATCCCTTAAGGCACCAAGCTCAATAAACCTAATTTGTTTGAGTGAAGATGAGTTCTTGGGGGTGTTTGGTCAGCGGGCTTCAACTTGTTCCCTTTAGTACTCATTCCTATTCAAAGAGTTAAGTGCTCTGACATAGACCTGGTTTAAGACACACTGAATTACAAGCACAGCTCAATAGCAGAAAGGAGCCTTAAATGATATCACCAAGTGAATGTAGGATTTAGCCAGACTAGGCAATGTGCCAGCTACTAGACAGGTGCAGGAAGCAGTCACTGATAAAGCACCATGTTTCTCTTCTATAAATTCTGAATTGAATAGTCAGTAATGTATTCAGAGTGCCTGAATTTATTCTCCCATTAGTGCCTAGACTTCCAACAAGATAAAGTTAGGTTCTGTAGGATAAAATGTTTTCCCCCTGTATTAGCTCCTTATCAGACTCAAACCTGCACAGAGTAAGCAAAATCAGTTCTCACAGGAACTTAGAGACCCATTCGTCAGAGATAGTGTGGCCTGAATTCCTGGTTCATTTACCTTCACATTTTTTCTTCAGTGAGTATTTTATACTCTTTTTATACAACATTGCTTTCATTTGCATTCATTGAAGAGTGGAAATGAATAGTGAATTCTCTCTTCCACCACTTTTTTCCAGATGCCATCAAAACCACACACTATCATATTACTAGAAGACACATGCACACAGTTGCAGAAACATCATTAATCATAGTATTATCAGTAATTTCATATATTTTCTTGAAATAAATTATTATTTGAAAACAATAGATGTATATTCAGTATCAACCTGAATACAAAATTAAAAATGTTAAATCCTATTGAAATATTTCCCCAGGTATTCAACCATAATAGCTGTAGAAGCAGTAACCTACTTTTTCAGCATATTCTGAGTACTCCAGTTCTATAAATGAAGATAACTTTTTTATTCAAATGAGGAAGAAAACGGGTAAGTACTTTGTGAATATTGATTACACTTTTATGAATGTTACCATAGAGGCCTGAGCTCCTGTCTGCTCACTTGGTTTTTCTTTCTTCTTTACTTAATTAAAAAGAAAAGTATACAAATGTTGTAAACATTAGGGCTGCTTGTAAATTCTCCTCCTTCTGGGCATTGAGTCTGTTTGTATTTCTCCACCCTCTTGAACTCAAGGTGGCCATGACACTCGCAAAAGCAAAAATGGACATGTATTAATTCCTTCCAAAAGAAAGATTTAAATTGCCACTGAGACCTCCTATCATTTCATTCCTCTCACCACAATGACTAGTGAGACTCCTGATAGTATAGGCTTTGTCAGCCTGGGTCCTAGAATGATGAGACATAGAACAGAACCTCCCCCATGCCCTAGCCAACTTGTGATGAATATGTGTAATGTGAGAAGGAAATAAGCCTTCATTAAGTCAGAGATATTTTTCAGGGAAGTTGGTTATCACAACATAACCTAAGCCATAACAAAAGTGGGCATGTTTATTATTAAAAATGTTTTACAAACAAAAGCATATAGAACTGCATTGGCCAACAGAGTAGCCACTAGTTTTCTGTGGCTATTTAAAATAAAAAACAAGTAAAATTAAAGATTCATCCTCTTAGTCGCACTAGTCACATTTCAGGTGCTCAACATCCACATGTCACTAGTGGCTACTGAACTGAACAGCACGAATATAGAACACTTCCTTCCTGGTCCATCACAGAAAGTTCTATTGGACAGCCCTGAAGAGTTAAACAGCAAAGTACCCAAATCACTACCCATACCCCTTCACGAACCCCTCCCTAAAGGTCATCACTCCTTACAAATTGTTATGTACCATTCCAGTCCTTCATTTATGCTATATTACTTTTTCTGTGGTTTTGTGTTACAAATATAATTATAGTCATACATCACTTAGCAACAGGGATACATTCTGAGAAATGTGTCATTAGGTGATTTTGTCCTTGTGTGAACATCACAGAGTGTACTTACACAAATGTAGACGGTACAGCCTACTATACACCTAGGGTATATGATAGAGCCTATTTCTTTTAGACTAACCTGCACGGTATGTTCCTTTACTGAATCCTATAGTCAATTGTAACATAATATAAGCATTAATCTAATTCTTTGCCCATGTTTCACTTTTTCTCTGCGTTGACATGATACATAATATGTATTGTGTTGTGGTTTCTCTTTTCTATTTAAATAACAATAAAGTCTGGATATTATTTTATGTAATTTATGTTCTCCTAAATTCTCTTTAGTGCTTTCATAATTTTGATTTTGCATATAGCTCTTAAATCCAATTGAAATGTATTGTTTAGTAGATAAATAAATAAATTTTTGCTTGTTTGTTTGTTTATTTGTTTGAGACAAGGTCTCACTTTGTCACCCAGGCTGGAGTGCAGTGGCATGATCTCGGCTCACTGCAGCCTTCTTCTCCTGGGTTCAAGCAATCTTCCCACCTCAGTCCCCCAAGTAGCTGGCACTACAGGCACACACCACCACGCCTGGCTGATTTTTGTATTTTTACTAGAGACGGGGTTTCGCCATGTTGGCCAAGCTGGTCTCAAACTCCTGAGCTCAAGCAATCCACCTGCCTCGGCCTCCCAAACTGCTAGGATTACAGGCGTGAGCCACTGCGCCTGGCCCATAAATAATTTAAATAAATATATTAAAATAACATTGTGTGAGTTAGGAATTTAACATACTGATTTCTCCATGTAGATGGCAAATTTTGTTAATTTCGTTTTCTGACTAGTTCACCTTTTCCAGGTAAATTTAGTTATCTACCAGTTACAAATAAACACGCCTCAGTTCCTGAATTCCCTTTTCTGTTCTATTAATCCATCTCTGTTTGTTTTAAGTACTATCAATTTTGTTTGAAGTCCTGCAGCTTTACATAGTATAAAATATTTTGTTTCTAATATGGCAAGTTATCTTCAATATTCCTTTTAAAAACTCTCGACTCTTTTTTTATACTTTTTTACTCTATATGAATTATGGGGTTCGATTGCCAACTTCCTTTTAAAAGTTCATGTGGGAATTTTGATTTGGAAATTGCTGAACTTATAAATGAATTTGGCAAAGCTTACATCTCTACAACATTGAGTTTTATCATCCAGAAACATGACATAACTTCATTTTCAGATATTATTTAATATCCTTCAGGAAAGATTTCTCTTTAAATTTTTTTCATCTAAGTCTTATAAATCGTATTAGGGTTAGTCCTGGTTTTATTTTTTTAAGTGTTGTTGTTGTTGTTGTTGTTGGGTTTTCTTTTAGGTTTTTTGTTTGTTTGTTTTTGGTTTTTTTTTTGTTTTTTGCCAGTGTCTCCCTCTGGCCCCCAGGCTGGAGTGCAATGGCGCCTTCTCTACTCACTGCAACCTCTGCCTCCCAGGTTCAAGCGATTCTCCTGCCTCAGCCTTCCGAGTAGCTGGGATTACAGGCACACGCCACCATGCTTGGCTAATTTTTGTATTTTTAGCAGAGACGGGGTTTCACCATGTTGGTCAGGCTGGTCTCGAACTCCTGATCTCGTGATCCGCCCACCTGGGCCTCCCAAAGTTCTGGGATTACAGGCGTGAGCCACTGCCCTTGGCCTTCAGTGTATTCTTTATTGTTACTTGTATTATGAGTATAATCTTTTAAAAATTTCATTTTCAAGTTGTTGATAGTACAAGAAGACTGTTAATGTTTGTGTTTTTATAGCTTCTTAATTATATGAACATTCTTCATAATTTCAATCATTTCCAGAGAAATCTATTGGATTTTCAAAGCAGCTAATCAGTATTATCTTCAGGCAAAGTTATTTTTCTCCTTTCTTTCTGTATTTACGCCTCTCGTGTCTTTTCCCTATCTTCCTGCTTTGGCAATTTTGACATTTTGTATCCTCCCCGGATTTGATAAAAATGCTTCTTACATTTCTCTAAAAAGTACGGAGGAATCAGTTTTACATTTAATTATCAAGTGATTTCTTTTTAGCATGCATGAGATGATTATTGAGTTTGACTTCTTTAATGTGTTGCTATCATAAGTAACACTTATCAATGTCCGAATTCTAAACACCCTTGCATTACTTGGATAAGCCCTACTTAATCATTTTGCAATGCTGATGTAATACACTTCTGGATTTCAAATGCCAAATTTACTTAGGACTTCTACATACAAGCTTATATGTTAGGTTGGCCAATTGTGTGTGTGTGTGTGTGTGTGTCTGCGTCTGTGTGTGTGTGTGTGTGATAGTTTTCTGATTTTTCTATCAGTATAATACTAGCCTCAAAAAGTGAGTCTGGTAGCTTTTCATGCTTTTATATGCTCTGCAATAGTTTACAAAGCATGGAAGCTAACTAGCTAACTGAACCTAAAGGTTTTGGAAAAAATGCTCAAAAAGTGGCACCTGAGTGTAGACTATTTCTGGGTATAGACCTTTGAATATCATTTTAATTTATTCTGCTGATTATTATTGTATTTCTTTTTTCTTTTTCTTTTTCTTTTTTTTTTTTTTTTTTTTTTTTTTTTTTTGAGATGGAGTCTTGCTCTGTTGCCAGGCTGGAGTGCAGTGGCGCGATCTCGGCTCACTGCAACCTCTGCCTCCCAGGTTCAAGCGATTCTCCTGCCTCAGCCTCCCAAGTAGCTGGGACTACAGGCGCGTGCCACCATGCCCAGCTAATTTTTGTATTTTTTTTAGTTGAGATGGGGTTTCACCATGTTGGCCAGAATGGTCTCAATCTCTTGACCTCGTGATCCACCACCTCGGCCTCCCAAAGTGCTAGAATTACAGACATGAGCCACAGCGCCCAGCCTATTGTATTTCATTTTGACACATCTTCTTGAGTCAATTTTGGGAATTCATATATTCTAAAAACTCTTTAATTTCATCTAAATTTTAAAATGTGTTAATACAAAGTTGTATATCGAATCTTCTCATGATGGAAATTTCCTTTGTATCTCATATTATATCTTGTTTTTAAATCTTTAAGATTATTTATGTCCTCTTAATTTTTCTTAACATCAGACTTGTGAAAGGATAGACTATTGGGGGGTATTTTAAAATACTGAGGATTATGTTCTATTGATCAACTCTATATTTTATAGAACAATATCATTAATATCTACTTTATCTTTATAATTTATTATTTCTACTTCATTTAGGTTTTTTCCATTGTTCTTTTATTGAGTTTTGGATTTCAATGCTAATTTCATCCTCTCTGCTTCTCTAAGAAATGTATTTATAACTGTATATTTTTCTTCAAGCCTTTCTATGGCCACACCCTGCATGCTTTGTGTTTTTTGTAGGGCCTTCGTTGACCTTGAGTAACCTTATAATTTGCTTTGTTTTCTTCTTCATCACAAGAATAATTTTGGTTACTTTGGTTTTTATTTTGTCATTAATTTCTAATTTTGTTGCATTGTGATCAGAAAATATGGCCTGTGATTTCTGTTTTGGAGAATTCGTTGTCATGCATGTTTGGAAAGAATATTATCTGCGGTTTGTTGGTTATGAAAATATATAAAGTTAAGCTTCATAAATGTGTAATTAGAAGCTCTACATACCAATGCTTTTGTATTTTTGATATCAGTTTCTGAGAAATTGTATTAAATTTTCTAAATATGTTTTGGGATTTGTCTATTACTCTGTATTTCCATGAGTTTTGCCTTTGTACATTTCAAAGATCTGTTGTTCACAGCTGTCAAATCATCTTAAAGAAATGTATCTATTGTCAATGTGAACTATTTTTCTCTTTCACAACTATTGACCTTCACTTTTATTTTAATAATATTAATATTCCTGCCCTTTCTTTCTTTTGTCCTTTTTCTTTCATTTTAGCATTTTATTATACATCTTTTCAATCCTTTCCTTTTTCATTTTTCCATTTTTTTATTTTACAGTTATTTCTTGTAAACAGCAAACAGCTGGAGTTTTAATTTGTTTAGCCAATCTGAGTTTTTTCTTTTTTTAAAGTTGTACTTAAAGCACCCACATTTAATATGATTATTAATATTCTTAAATTTATTCATACCATCTTAGTTCATTCTTTCTATTTACAAGGACTTCTTTTGGTTTTCTCTTTTTACTTCCTTGCCTACAGTTCTGTTGATTGACTATTTTTTGTTCCATTTAACTTTCCTATAGTAATCTAGAACTAATCATCATTTTCTATTGTACTAGTTGATACTATTATATTTTTAACAAAATTATATTTTAAATGATAATATTTTACTGTATTCAAAGTTAATCAGTATCTAAATCCTCTTCCTGAACAAGACAGAGCTCACACTTCTCTCCTTTTCTCTTTTTTGGCTTCCATGTAACACTTAGGATTTTAGAACCAAAACTGTACTATTATTATTATTTCTCTTTTGCATCTATAATCATGTACAACAATTAATAACTTAATAACTTTTTCTGGAGTTTGTTTAATACTACTATTCTTAATCCACCTTTCTCTCTCCCTCTCTCTCTCTCTCTCCTTACATTTTTATTCTCTTGGCACCCTTCTTTAGATAATCATTTCAAAGAGACTCCAGGAGTCTCTGCATATCCAAGAATACCTTTATTTTTCTTTGCACTTCAATGATAGTTTGCTAGGTTTGCTAGTTTATGGAAACCAAAATTCAAAGTCATTTCCCTCCTGTTTTTGAAAATATGTGGCAAGAGAGCAAGTAAGAAAAAAAATTAATGTTTATCCAGTGCAGGCCATGCTGCCAGCAGCTTTCCATACGCTCATTCCTTTACCATCATAACCCTGAAGTGTAGGTATTAGTTTGCCCATTTTACATAAATGGAAGCAAGCTCAGAAAGTGTTTTTCTGCCAGAATTATACAACAAGTGAATGGCATAGATACTTTCAAGCCAATACTGTTGTACCTCAAAGCTCATGCTCAAATTCTAGAGCAAGAGCACTGTCTTCCAAAAGAAATAGAATGTGAGCCACATATGTAATTTCACATTTTCTAGTAGTCACATTTCAAAAAGCAAAAGTAAACAGGTAAAATTAATTTTCATAACATATTTTATTTTGCCATATATATCAAAAATATTATCATGTTGATATGTAATCAGTATTGAAAAGTTATCAAAAAGATATTTGGCTTTTTCTTCCTACTAGGTCTTTGAAATCAGCATGTCTTTTTATTCTTACAGCACATCTCAATTTGGACTGGCCACATTTCAAGTGCCCCATAGCCATGTGGGGCTAGTAGCCACTGTACTGGGCGGCCCAGCTGTATGCCATGCTACTTTTGAAAGCAAACACTTTCCAACAATGTTAGGAAACGTCTGTGTGGCTGATTTTTTCAATCCCTGTTTGACATGAGGAAGTCTGGCTCTTCCTGGAAATAATTTTATGGCTATTTTGTACTAATTGCAGATACACAATTAATTCCCCCTTGGTCCTAATCCTCATTATTTAGCGCAGCCTCTCCTCCTGGTCTATGCAGCCAAAAGTCAGAAGCACCTTCTTGAAGCCAACTGTTAATCTATTCAAAAGGCAGATTAAACATTTCCCCCATTTGATGCCAGCTGCATATATATTTCTATACACGCCTGAGTTCCCTTTTCAGGCAAATACCTGGCCTCAGTTTAGACAGGGCTTTTTATCGCTCCTGGGACAGCACTGCGGCTGGGGCCAGCATCTGATAGCTTTTCTTTATTCAACCCCCAGGAGTATTAAGAGAAGGAAATACACACAAACAGCAATTTATTTTAGCTCTCTGAAGCATCCACCATTTCAGGTTCTCTTTTGCCAGCATTTCCACCAAATTAATCTCCCAGGCCCCTCACAGAAGCTCTCTAGCTCCCTAGAGCCTTACAACTCCAGAAGTATCAACAACTTAGAGACTGGAGTTTTAAATAATAAAGGATGCCCTCCCTCAAATGGCGCATCTAACAGGTTGACAGGCGGGGACAGTGAAGACTGAAGGAAGCTCCAACTTGCAGCTTGACTTACAAGACAAACAGCAGAGAATAGCAGTTAAAAGGCCAGCCAGAAACTTGTGAGATCAATATATCGCAGCTCTGTCTTACTTAAGAGTCGTATGATCTTGGGCAAGGCATCTAATCTCTCTGCCCCTTATTTCCTTCATCAAAAAAAGTGGGGGGGCTCATAATACCTACTCCCTGGGTCTGTTGGGAAGATTAAAGGATATTATGTGTATAAAGGTTCATTATAGCCCCTCCAACAAAAGTTAGCTGAAAAAAAATTGTTTTTAAATTGTTGATACTGAAGCTCTTCAGGCTTAGGTTCAGACACCAGCTCTACTGTTTACTAGGTTTGAGACTTGGACATGTTTCTTGCTTCTTTAAGATTCAGTTTCCTTGACTCTAACCTGGTTGCGTCAAGGTCTTGGTCTCACGAAGTTGTTGTTAGAATTGAATAAGGCAACATATATGTAAAGTACTTTGTATGGTATGAACTACACATTGAGTGCTCCATAAATCATAGCCCTTGTTATAATTACTTGATATGACATCACAATGACAATATTTCTATTATAATGTTTTTAAAAAATGAAGATTTATTCTAGTTGACATTCCTGGAGAACTACTCACCCAAAACACTGGCACAATGCAGACTCTTAAAGATACAATGTCAATGACTAACAGTCCAATCAACTTTATTGGACATTTGGATTTATGGGCATTTTGTTTATTTTGAAGGAAACTTATTAGAACATTGACAGAGGACATGCAAAACCTTTAAGACAGCCTGATCAAGAAGATGCAGATAGTGCAACATCTGCATGCAGTCAAGTAGCAGCAGTCAGGTAGCCTGCTGGAGTTGTTAGTCCACCTGATATGTTATCTTCATGTTCTCCATCCTCATGCCCCAATATTTATCTCTTATCACTTCTAGTCTCTAAGTGGCATCTACTCTTATTACTCACGTTGCTTTTCATCCTGACCCCTTAGCTATCAATGTTAACTTAACCCTTTCTCTGCTCTTTGCCTGACCCTGGTTGGCCATTAGCACCATCAGGGCCCTGGGTGGATTACAAAATGATACTCATTGTAGCAAAGCAAAGGAGGTGGCCTTATTACCTGGGCATAAGGAAAGCAAGATAAAGAGGCTGCAGCATCAGATAAATCTCATCTCTTTGGCTTAAATTAAATTTTGTGCAGCAAATAAGAAAAAGCTGAAGTGTGGCAACTGATTTAAAATTTGTCTACATGGTGTTCTCTGTTTTCTGTTGCCCCAAGAATCTCAAATAAAGTCAGTGCCATTAGCCATGAAAATGCCTCTAGCAGAGGAGCAGCTTGTAAGCGGACGGTGACAGCAGGATGTACATAAAATGCCTGATGAAAGGCAAGCTCCTCAAAACAGAGGACTTCCCCTGGGAAATTAGGGCTGGCAAGCTCAGGAGCACACTCCATATGCCTCATCTACCATCATCAGCCCCAGCCACCTGTGACAAAATGTCACCACCTTCTAATATGCCTCAGGGCCAGGCTTTTCTCTGCTATTTGCTTTTTCTCTAATGTCTCCCCACTTATAATTTCATTTTTGCTTTCTCTTCCCCTGCTCCTTGTTCATTTAATTATTCATTTGATGAACATATCCTTACCTTTGTGCAAGATCAGGTTCTCTCCATTTCTCAAAATACCCTTCCTGGTCCAGTTGAATCAAATCATGTAGGCTAATGTTTAAAATGCATATTCCTGTGCTTCTTCCCAGCTCTATTTAATGGTACTGTCTCATGGGCAGATCTCAGGGACTTGAATTTGTTACACATCCTCAGGTAGTATTGTGGTACACTGGTGGGTGTGTAAACCATCCACATGGAACTCCCTAGTCATGGAATTCCCTTCTGTTTTGTCTACCTTTCTCCTATAGCAGAATTCCCTCAAAGCAGCAATTCCTACGAAACATCCAGTCCCTCATACCATCTGTTAGACAAGCTAACACTTGCTACTTTAACAGATACACCTCCAAATTTTGTGGCCTAACATAGTAATGGTTTATTTCTTACATAAAGTTTCAGTGCAGTGTAAGCAGTATGCAACTTTTCTCAAAGTGGTAATTCAGGGCCCAGATTTCTTTAATCTTGTGGCTGCACTGTCTTCAGTGTGTAGTTCCCAAAGTGTCCTCCACAGGGTGTACTCCTACCTAAACTTCCAGATAAGAAAGAATATGGAGGAACACAGTGGAGGTTTTCATGAGCCAGGGCTAGATGTGGCCATTCCTACTTCTGTCTGCATTCCACTGGTCACACACAGTCACGTGACCTCAATGAACCTCAAGGAATGCTTGGAAGTAGTGTAGCCATATTCCCAGAGAGCAGAGGTTTCAAAGGGAAGTTGTTCAGTCTATAACACATACAGCTCATTCAAAAAAAAATGTCTTTTCAGCACCAGCTGATAGTGACCATAAGCCTGCAAACTGGAAGGAGCTATCCCAAGACTTAAAAACTTCACTAAAATGGGTTGCAACTGCTGATGTTGGCATGATCCTTGCCACAGAACAGAAATGAACCAATCTATGTTCTCTCTACCACAAACCCCTGCAGGCCACTGGGACCATGCTGGGCCCTAATGGTGAGCTATAGGCTCAGGACTAGAAATCTCAGGTGTCCTCCAAGTGGCTTAAAAAATTGTGCTAGTTGGAAATCCAACCATAGTTAATCCATATGCTAGGACACAATATTCTCAACAGAAAGGAGCATTCAGGTGAGGTCTGGTCACCAACAGAGTGTACATAGAAGAGTCTGTTACAATGATATGGATCCTGTAGCAAATCCAAAGCCCAGAACTTTGAAGGCTGTGATAAAATGGCCAGGTAGAGTAACCCAGAAGAGTCAAAACTCATTATCTCAATCCCTTCACTCTGGGGCTGTAAAAAGACTAGCAGAGAAGTGAAATCTTGCAACTCAATGGTATAAAAAAGGGAAGGAGAACTGCCCTAGGTGACTCTGTTGTGAGATGGGCAGTTGGTAACAAGGAGAAACGCACCAGGGGCTGTTGTTTGATGACATGACAAACTGGAACCATCTGGGAGGAGTCTGTTTATATTTTCACTGGACTCAAAAAGATGCTATAGCTCCATTTTGGCAAGAAACAAGGAATAAATGGGCTTTATTTAAACTGCAGCTGCAGACCTCATGTGTACAGATTAACAAACCAGGCTCCACAGCAACACTTTGGCCAGAAATGCAGAAACAGCAAAATATAATCAAATCCCCAGCCACACTCAAATCAGCCTAGCCAGCTACTTAATTTTTTGGTCAATCTCTGGTTCAAGACCTAATGGTACTTGGTCTTAGAGATGTATAAGACAAAGAAAGTGTCCCTGCACCCACCTCTATAATAATACCTTACAATTGAAAAGAGTCTACTGTTTATATAGCACTTTCATTTTATTTAATGGGGTAGTTGTAAGAACAAAATAAGAAAAAGTGTGAAGTTTTATCTTATTAATCATCTTTATCATCACCAGCATCAGAGTCATCCACAACAATGTCTTCATTTCACACGTACGTTGATCCTCGATCATCTTTGCTGGAAATGTCCCCTTTTATTCTTCACTTCACCCTGGACTTTCAAAATCATACTATATTTCAAGTTTTATAACAAATTTCCTGATCCCTTCAACCAAATTATCTTTCATGGGGCTTTTGATATCATAGGGTTACCTACTTATTTTTTTGTCAACATCTTTAATTCCTCTTTTGGAATAAAATAGTGATGGTTGAATAAATGGATGGATGTCTGAATGGGTAAGTAGGTGGATGGATGAGTAGATTAATGGACAGTAGATGGATGGATGAATGAATGGATGGGATGTATGGGTAGAAGAGACAGAGCTATAGAAAGGTAAAAAGATCAGTAGTATAAAATTACAGTTAAATATTTGGGCTATGGAGCAACGCTGAGTTCAAATTTCAGTTCTGCCACTTATTTGCTATGTGAACCTGGCCAACTTACTCAACTAGTCCTTAGTTTCTACATCTGTGTAATGGGGCAGTATCCTCTTTTAGGGTTATGATTAGGATTAGATGAATTAATTCATGTAAAGTACTTAAAACAGTGTTTGGCGTGGTAAGCACTCAATAGACATTAGCTTATTTTATTTTATTTTATTTTATTTTTGAGATGGAGTCTTGCCCTGTCACCCAGGCTGGAGTACAATGTCGCGATCTCAGCTCACTGCAACCTCCGCCTCCCAGGTTCAAGCAATTCTCCTGCCTCAGCCTCCAAAGTAGCTGGGATTACAGGCCTGTGCCACCACGCCCAGTTGATTTATTATTATTATTATTATTATGAGACAGAGTTTCACTCTTGTTGCCCAGGCTGAAGTGCAATGGTGCCTTCTCAACTCACTGCAACCTCTGCCTCCCCAGTTCAAGCGATTCTCCTGCCTCAGCTTCCCGAGTAGCTGGGATAACAGGCTCGCGCCACCATGCCCAGCTAATTTTTGTATTTTTAGTAGAGACAGGGTTTCACCATGTTGGCCAGACTGGTGTCGAACTCCTGACCTCATGATCCACCTGCCTCGGCCTCCCAAAGTGCTGGGATTACAGGCGTGAGCCGCCACGCCTGGTTGCTTCTTTTATTTTAATAAATAAATAGTGAGTTTAAAAGAAAACCCACATACTGTTTTTTCCTATCCACCCCTCTGTAAGCATTGTGAGGATTCACTCATACTTTGTGTGAACTTTCAAACATACCCACTAGGCTATGAGTCCCTTGAAACAGGGCTATGTTCTGTTCATCTTTGTATAGCCAACATGTTGTTTTATAAAAAGAAGGAATTTAATCAATGTTTATTGAAAATTTGAATGAATGAATAAATGACTACTTGTTAGATTTAACTTACAGCTAACAAAGAGTGCTAAAAATAAATTAAAATTTCCACCATTATCACTTCTCTTCACTTTCCTTCCTTAGGAATAATACTAAAAATTAAATACCCTAGGGAATATGTGGTATTTGTGGGAACTCACCCGTTATATTTCATGAACTATTAGAACCTCTTAATATTAACCAGGAATTAATAATCTTATTCTACTTTGGGAAAGTAGACTTTCTCTGAAAGATAAGATGAAGCACCCTGGGAGGGGCATTTTAGGAGTAGGGACACTTGGAACTGGTGCTGTTTCCCATGAAGTGTCATTGCAGGGTCAGCGTTTGCAGAATGAAGAATTCTGAAGCCAAGACCTAGTACCAACTACTCCTGTCTCTTGTCTTCTGGAAAAGCATGAGCTCCTTTACTGGTCAGTGGGCAGATGCTCAAATGGCCTCTGAAGTTACTCACTACACCCTTCCATTTGGACAATGAACCATGTTGCTAAAAGATGAAACCTGGATATCTGGCTTAATTAGGATGAAGTTCAGGTGAAGCTATCATGAGTCAGAATGAGATGTCTCAATTGGATTACCCCAAAATAAGAGCCTGAGACAGCTTGAGAGGTGATACCAGAAAACAATGAATGAGTGAGTGAAAAAAAGTAGGAAAGGGAAGGAGGAAAAGCCCATCTCAGGACGCATTATTGAAGTCACTACTGTACTAAATGGGAGTTTCATTCCACCAGAGAAGCAGAAAAAAAAAAAATGACCACCCTCAAGATGGGAGGTTGAAGTATTTCCACATTAGCTCCCTTCCCCCATTGTGGGGTAGTTACTGGGGGTACATCCCTCGTATTTTTGGTCTGTGCTCATATGAAGGCCTAGTGAGCTTCTAGGGTGTCAGAAGAAACCTTGAAGCAGCATGCAGAAAGGTGTGTGCTTGAGTTGGGGCCTTGTAAGTGCAAGCTGGCTCTAGATTTGCAAGGAACTGTCCACCTCAGCAGCAGCTGAAATCTGAGGTAAGCCAAGGAGGTATTAGGGGTGTGATGCAGGTACTAGGGGCATCTTCCTTAAGGATCAGCCAAGAGCTTCCCTTCCCCTGAACTTCATCACTGGTTTCTTCTTGAGATAATGGCCATCTCCACTTCCTCACCTACCATTTTTTCTCAATACACCATGATCAAATTTCAAATCAATGAAGCTGTGTTGCTGTTGATTATCATATTGATGATAGCGAAATCACATGGTCACTCCTCAGTTCTTATGTTTTAGAGTTGTTGGTGTACAAGTGGCATTTACATCGCAGGGCTGGATAAGACTACATGGAGGAGAGAGAGACAGAAAGAGAGGGAGAGAACTGAGCCCTTCAAAATTATAAAATCAGGGACATGAATAAAATCATCAAAAGATCCTTCAGTTTGTTGTTCCCTTCTCATGCTGCATATACTCTCTGGGAATTCTCAACCAAACTCATGACTTTTCCTATCATCTACTGCCAGGCCTTCTTGACGTCCAGTGCCAAATCACCATCTGACTGCTAATATCTCAGAAACTTTCTATTCTACATATCCAAAGGACTACTAATTATCCCTCCCTAACCCACCAATGCAAAAGAAACTCCTTCTCCCATAAGCCCATTCTGATTTATAGAATCAGCACCTAGACAGGAACTTGAGTCAGAAACTCGGGTGTCATCCTAGTCTACTTCGTTTCCTTCTTAATCGATGTCCAGTTTCCACTGGCATGCTTATTCTACCTCTTTAACATTTCCTCCTTCACATCCATCCCCTCTGCTCCACCCCAATGTTACAGGCTTGGATCAGGACCTCATCAATTTTCAGTAGAATTAATGCCATCATCTCCTAACTAGACTTTCTCCCTCCAGTTTTATTCATTCCTTCTTATCTACCAAGTATCCCACTGCTGAAATAATGTTTATGCAACACAAATCAGATCATTGTACACTTCTTTCCGTTGTTCTCTAGAAAGTCAGGTGCAAATTTCTAGGCATGCCATGGCCACTCAAGTGATCACTATCCTACTATCTCATTCAACAGCATCACAAAAAACAGCCTGCGTTGGACTTCATTCAACATACAGTAAGTTTCTGAATAAAGAAGATGAGAAGGAAAAGTGAAAGTTAAATTAGGCATCTGATGGATTATCAAGAAGTTGTTATGAACAGCTTTATCACCTTACTGAGCTGCAAAGAATTCATTACTTTCTTATAATGATGCATTTAAAAAATGCAATCTTTATGAAGCAGACAGCACCCACTGTAACAGTCTGGTGTATGAAAGTCAAAGCTAAGGTATTAACCCAGTTCACAGTTTAAGGAGAATATCACTTGTGGGTGCACATATGCATTTGTTTATGCATCTTTCTCCCCTACTAGACTGAGAATTGTTTGCTTGGGGGAGGGGTCTTATTTATTCCTACATTCCTATTGCCAGCATAGTATGATAGGCATTCTAATAATGCTGCTTGGTGAATAGGAATTTTTGCCACATTTTTCTCATGTTGTATCACATAAAAGCCATCCAAGTAAGTCCAAACATGGTAGCTATTCAGTAAAGGTTTTGATGAAGAGATCAGAAGGATCTTGTTTACAATTAGAGTCAACCCAGTTCTGATGACCATTTGACAGCCCAAAATTTCAGAGACAACTGTGCTAAGATGCTTCATAAATGGATCATGTCAGTACTAATATAAACAATTGGTGCTCTTAAATGAGGAGAAATTGTTTGAATTACAGTGATTGCCTCATTCCTGTGAATTCCCTCAGCAGCAACACAATCTGTTCACCCGAAAGAGGCTTTTGAAAAGCATCCCACATTGCAAGGCAATGCTTGATATGATGAATATAAATTCACTCTGAAACATCTGTTAAGGTACAGCTTCTACAAGGCAGAAATGATTTCTTTAAGGGTAGTGAATTACATGGAAGTACTTCTCTGTTATCCACATATTGTCTGACATTTGAAAACCTCCTGGTTTCCTCAAACAGTATGCAGCAACAATAAAGGAAAGGGGAGAGGTAGACCAGGGTTAGCATTTACTGAGTGCCAGATATTGGTGTGCAGAGCTGTTATTTCATTAGTGCTTAAATGCATTATGCCTTTTAATCCTCGTGATAACTAATTGTAATTTCTTGAATGTGCTCTTCTCTTTCTTGCCTCTGTCATTTGACATACCTTTTGTGTCCTCTTCTCCTTCTAGTAAAATGTTGCTGGTCCTTTAATACACAGATCAGGTGTGCTTATTTCACATTGCATGCCTGTATCAAAACATCTCATGTATCCCATAAATATATACACCTACTATGTACCCACAAACATTAAAAAATAAAATAATAATATAAATTTTAAAAAGACACAGATTGGGTGCCATCTATTCCAACAACCCATCTCCAGTTCCCTCCAAACACCTTGTCTGTGCTCCCTCTGCATCCTGTCTATACCTCTTGTATTGCAATGCACACTGTATCAAATGTCTGTTTCTCTTTGTAGAATAGGAAATTATTGAAAATAGGGTCAATATACCTCTGGCAACTAAAACAGGAACTCTTCCTGAGTTTGGGCCTGGAAATGTGTATCAAGTGAATACCTGTATCTGCTCTGGGTGTTAGCCAGAAATTACTTGTTCCCTTTCACAGTATTTGCATGCCATGATGTTTAATTTTATGTGTCAACTTGATTGGGTCATAGGATACCCAGATATTTAGAAAAATATTATTTTCACTATGTTTGTGAGGGTGTTTCTGGATGATATTAACATTTTAATTGGTAGACTGAGTGAAGCAGATTGCCCTCCTTAGTGTGGGTAGGCATCATCCAATCAGTTGAAGGCCTGAATAGAATAACAGGCTGAATAAGTGGGAACTTCTCCTGCCTGACTACCTTAGAGCTAGGACATCATTTTTCCCATGCCTTTAGACTCGAACTGAACCATCAGTACTTCCTGGGTCTTGAGCCTGCTGGCTGTCAGACTAGGACATGCCACCAATTCTCCTGGATCTCTAGCTTGCTGACTGCAGATCTTGAAACTTTTCAGCCTCTACAATCATATGAGCCAATTTCTTATGACAAATCTGTCTGTCAATTAACCTATCATCAAACTATCTACCTATCAATCATCTATCTATCAGTCTATACATCCATCCTATTTGTTCTGTTTCTCAGGAGAACCCTGATTAATACACGTGCCTTTTATTGGAGTGCAGTATGTAAGTTTGCCCTCAACAGTTTACCAAAATAATAGATTTTAAATAAGGATCATTGGCTTAAGGATTCTGCCTCAAATATTGGGTGGATAATGCAATTTAAAAAGCTTTATATAGAGAATGTCAAACAATTGGCTACCATGGAAACATACTCTTTATATGACTCAAGCATTTGGACTCATATAGTATTTTACTCCAACAAACAGGAAAACAGAAGCTTTCATCCCATTCTCCAGTAAACCTGAAGAGCTTTAAAACTACTATATTTTAAACTGCTACCTTCCCGATCTGTCAAGGAAGCATTATCTGATAGATTTATGAACTGCCGTGTAACCCAGAATTCTTAATTTGTGTAGTAAATTGTACTTTTCATCTCACAGCACCACACAGTACACAATTCCCAGTTTCACTGCATCAGTTCCCATGAGAAGTCAGATAACACAGTCACTACATGCATGTTAATACGGTTTCCACAGTTGATTCTTCTTTCCTCCTTCATTCACCTGCAAGGACTTATGGAGGGCTCCAATTCCTTGACTTTTAAACCTTCACTGTTTTATATCCATCAGCTTGATACAGGCTGGCATCTCTTGGGAGAAAACAGAATATTCATCATCAAGATCTCCCTTCTCTTGAAATGATTTTCATCTTGACATTCAATGTAATCTGTTTCCTTCATTTTCCTAACATCTCTCAAAATACCTCTGCTTTGTTACCTGAACTGGATCTCGTTATCTTCCCCTCACCTATTAACCATCAACACTTGCAAGTCAAATTTAATTCTTAGACTTTTTCTCTCAATAAAATTAGATAACATATGTATATTAATCAGGATTTGGCCATAAAAACAGAAACCACTCTAGGTATTTTGAGCAAGAAGAAATTTGTCATAGGGAATTAGAAACTTACACAACTTCTGGGAGGGTTGGAGGAGAGAAAATCAGGGAAATTCATCAAAAAGCACAGGAGTCGCAGGAATTGCCACCAATGGCCTCAGAAGCATGCAGTGCTGAAATAGGCAAATTTCAGGGGTCCATTGCAGCCCCTGTCACCTGCCTCCAACCACCACTGGAAAATAATAGCCTTTTAAATTGTGCCCTCGTCAACAGAATGAAACTGGAACCCTGATGACAAGGCACTTGGGAGATGTATTATAGTTTCTATTCTTTCAGTACCCGTAGTACAGGGGAGACCTTAAAAGAGCTGGGATGCTACTCAGTGTCCACAGAGGGACTGTGGTAGAGTATGTGAACATGGTCAATAAAACTCTAATGTGCCAAGATTGCAGAGCCAGCACTGGTTATGACAAGATCCAAACAAAAGCATTTGGCAGTAGCAATGAGGCATGAACGAGTGAGTGGAAAGAGTAGGACGGGGAAGGAGGGAAAGCCCATCTCAGGATGCATTATTGAAGTCACTGCTGTACTGAATGGGTGCTCCATTCCACCAGAGAAGCAGAAAAAATGGCCACCTTCGAGATGGGAGGTTGAAGTATTTCTACATTGGTTCCTTTCCCCTATTGTGGGGGTATTCCTAGGGGTTCTTCCCTCATATTTCTGATCTGTGCTCATACAAGGGCCTAGCAAATTTCTGAGATGTCAGAAGAGACCCTGAAGCAGCATGCAGAAAGGTGTGTGCTTGAGGTGGGGCCTTGTAAGTGCAAGCTGAGTCTAGATTTGCAAGGAACTGTCCATCTCAGCAGCAGCTGAAATCAGAGGTAGGCCAAGCAGGTGTGATGCAGGTATTAGGGGCATTTTCCTCAAGAATCAGCCAAGAGCTTCCCTTCACCTGAACTTCACCACTGGTTTCTTCTTGAGATAATGGCCATCTTCACTTCCTCACCTACCATTTTTTTCTCAACCCAAAATGATCAAATTTCAAACTCAAGCCGAGTTGCTGTTTGATTATGATATTGATGATAGCTAAATCAGATGGTCACTTCTCTGTTCTTATGTTTGAGAGTCCTTGATATACAGGTGGCATTTACACCATGGGACTGGATAAGACTACCTAGGGATTTCTGGATTATAAAATATGTGGTGCAAGAGTGAGCCATATTGCGTAAGTGAACAGAGGCAGGGGACACCCTAGGCAGTGATTAAGAGATCCTCTAAATGTCCATCTGAATCCCAATATCTGTTCTTCCAACCTACAAAAATACGACATTTGGAAGCCATTCCTTTGTGTCTTGAGAATTTTCTGTTTTCCAGAACCTGCAATTTGCTAGGAAATATCTTGGGTTTTCATTAACAAATGTCAGAGCAGAAGTAATTAGCAGCCGATAGACCACAACATAGTTAGACAAATGGGCCATGGATTCTATGTAGGTAAAATGCACCACCAGAGGTGATTAAGGATGCCACTCATTACAAGTTTGTCCTACTTCTCAATCCACTGTAGGTCCTGTCTGAATACTATTCCCATATCCCACAACTCTGTGAGTCATGCTTCTTTATTTCTCTCGCATTCATTTTCATTGTCCCTCTATGGCTTTTCCTTTCCACAGGGAAAGACAGAGCAACTCTAACCTTGACTGTAGGTCAGGGTTAGAATGTTGTTTGAAAACTCTTTTATCACCCAGCCAGTCCATGACATGAGTTAGGACTCATTCAAGTTCCTTATTTAAATAGGAGCTAAAAATAATATTAATTAGGAGGAGGAGGGCATATATTAGTATATACAATATACTATGATTGAAATGTAATAAGTGAATATTAATTGATAACATATTGACATTTTAGTGTAAGATTAATTAAACACAGGAGCTCCAAATGTGGGTGGATGCTTTTCCAGGTGTTGCAGAGCTTTGCTGTAAACCTTCCCTGATCTTGGCTGCCCCTTTTGTATCCACAAGGAAGATGAAATCAGGAAAGAAACGAGTCATTTCCATGAAACAATCTGAAATGCAGAGAAGAGTTGTGTTTGAAAATGTGTCAGAAGAGACAAAATGGTATGACTTTTCCTCTGTTCTCTACCTGGACACTTCGGCTCCTCCCTAAAGACCCTCATCTCTGTGAACCTGACACTCCTGTGCAGTTATGTGCACCATCCTTTACAGTGGAGCTTCTCATTCTTAGCACTCCTCACGTTCTCGGCCAGATCATTATTGTCATGGGCTATCCTGTACATCGTAGGATGTTTAGCAGCGTCCCTGGCCTCTATGCAGTAGATGCCAGAAGCACCTTCCAGTTGTAACAGCTGAAAGTATCCCCAGATATTGTCAAATGTCCCCTAGGAAGGGGCCGAATAGCCCCCAGATGAAGACCACTGCAGACTCAAGAATTCAGTGAGCCCAAGAGAACCCTAGACGATTCCACTGTATTGTACAGAGTGGAAAAAGGGCTGCTTGGTTAAATGTTGGTTGTAAGCATTGAATTTAGACCATTGTCAGATGTGGTTAGAGCCCAAATTAACAACTAAAACAGAACTATGGGTCTTATATTTCTCAGCATAGGGGGCACAATCGAGCAGGCTCTTTTCCTTTATTTAAGTAGGGCCTTTGGGCAAATGCACTTCTGAATAGCCAATCACTAAACACATTTCTCTAGGTACCTGAGAGGAAAAAATCAGCACTGGTATGAGTTCTGTGCTGTGTTCACACATCTCCTTAAGCTTTCATTTTACTCTCAGCAATGACAAGCCAATTCCAGTCCATTTGTGACCTGCTAATGGGGTGCATTTTCTTATTTATCTGCTTTCACATTGTTCAGGGCCTCTTTGGGAACACTCCCTGATTGCTCTCCAATCATTTCCTACCCCTTTTGAGAACATTAGGTATGAATTCAAGCTTGTCAAATCTTATATGATATATTCCATTCAGGAGCTAATACTTCATCAACCTTACCTGGCACTGGAAAATTCAATTTCTCAAGATACCAGCTGTTATCCTGGAGACCTTGCATATATGTTTGCAACAGCTAATAGAAACTCAGGTTTTTTTTTTCTGGCTGGTAAAGTTCTATGAATTGTATGCAAAGTATACCTTAATAAATCTTTAAAAATAAATGAAATGAATAAATTTATGGTATAATATAACTGCTTCTTTGTTATCACCCTAAATAACAACAAATAAAATAACAATACAATATATATGCAGATTATAGGACTTTTTAAAGGCATTTTTGTGTGAAGGCTGTTGTTTAGCTTCAAAAAGAACATTAAACTGTGGAGTCGTCTTTGATAAGGTTAGAGGCATATTATAATGAATATCCAGTCAACATCAATTTTTTGTTTTAAGGGTTACAAATGTTGAAAAGGCCATCCATGGAGACACATTGTTCCAAATGGAATTAAAACTTCCATAGCTCAGTTTACAAGGTGAAGATAATCTCTCAGAGACATCAGGATGCTCCAGACATTTTTGTGTTAAACTCCAGTTGTGAAAACATTCAACTTCATCATTTGATCTGGAGACAGGAAAACCATGATCATGTGCAATCTCGTAGCAGGTTAATAACCACAGTAATTTCAAAGAAATCATGACCATAAAAGATGATTTCAGAATATTTGCAACAACTATAATCTGATGCAAAAGTCTCTGTGAGGCCAGGCGTTGTAGCTCACCTGTGTAATCCCAGCACTTTGGGAAGCCAAGAGGGGAGTATTGCTTGAGCCCGGGAATTCAAGACCAGCCTGGGCAACATAGCAAGACCTTGTCTCTACTAAAAAATAAAATAAAATAAATGCTGGGTATGGTGGCATGCACCTGTACTCCCAGCTACTGGGGAGGCTGAGGAAGGAAGATCACTTGAGCTTGGGAGTTCAAGCCTGCAGTGAGTTATGATCACACCATTGCGCTCCAGCCTGAGTGACAAAGCAAGACTCTATTTTGAATTAAAAAAAAAACAAACTCTGTGATATTTATGGATGACAGAGGTACAGGTACTACTAATACTATTCCAGTTTCCTGCATTCCTAATGAAGAGAGATGTTCAATTTCAGTTGGAGTTTAATAAAAACTAGATTTTTAAAATTTAAATTTACAGGACTCCTGAATTCTATCCATAGACTCCCAGGTCAAGAACCACAGATCTAATGAACTGACATACTCCATTGCAATATGAAGGGAAAAAGCAAGGCAGAATTTTAAAACATTTGGAAGACAATGTAATTCAGATTTCCACCCAGCATCTGTTCCTTACAACTTTGAGATCATCTGTTTCCCCATCATTCATTCAGTCTTGGTCTCAGAGACTGGCCCCCTGCTTTTCTCTGAATATGGTCCTGCCTCGGGGCCTTTGTGCTTACTGATCTTCCTGCCTGAAAGAAAAAAAAAAAAAAACAAAGTTTCGTTTAACTTTCTGTGTAGCTGTCTTTGTCACTGCCTTGAGATTTTGACCTGCTATTTAGAATTGCAATTTAGAATTTAGAATTGCTATTCGGAATTGCAATCTGTGCTGTGAGAGTTAATTGCAGCACTTATAGAATTGGCCTAAGTTATTCTGTTGAAATAAGAAATGCACCTGTATCTATATGGCACTGATCCCTGGCCAAGGCATGAAACCCATTGGTTAATAGTGTTGCTGTGTAACCATGGGTGTGAGGAGTTTGGGGAGGTTTGTACCAGCTTGTCAGCATTGTTTATTGATAACCATGAGATTGGTGATCTGCACCTGGTCAGGGTGAGCCCCCCAGCCCCCACCCCCGAGAGGTCTCTGCTGCCAAGGCTGGTTACACAGCAGGAGTATGTATATGTAGCCAGCAAAATAAATATATATTTTTAAAAATCTCCAGTCAGTAATCCCAGTACTTTGGCAGGCCGAGGCGGGTGGATCACAAGGTCAGGAGTTCGAGAGCAGCCTGGCCAACATAGTGAAACCCCGTCTCTACTAAAAATACAAAAATTAGCCAGACGTGGTGGCGCATGCCTGTAGTCCCAGCTACTTGGGAGGCTGAGGCAGGAGAATCACTTGAACCCGAGAGGTAGAGGTTGCAGTGAGCCGAGACTGCACCACTGCACTCCAGCTTGGGTGACGGAGCGAGACATCGCCTCAAAAAAGAAAAAAAATATTCAGTTAAAACTCCATTTTGGGTTTCCAGGTTCAAGGAGATACTGGCTGCTGATCAGAAAGCAAGAGTGCATCCTACCAGGGCCCTTATGGAGGGAAGACAGTCCTACTCTTGATCTCTCCAATCCCTTGTTACCATATAGCCCTTGGCTGTGATGTATAGCCTTACATTAATGCTCTTTCTCAATTGTATCCTTTTCCTGTAATAAACTCCAGATATTTAAGCATTGTCATTTAGGGTCCTGTGAGTATTTTTTAGCAATCAAGTGCTGTTTAACTGCCACCATCATTAGTGCACAATCCCTACCCCCAACTCTTCCTCCTCCTTGATGCTGAGTTACTTGTCTCCATGGCACCTATCACCATCTGACATATTATATTTTTTACTTACTTATTTTGTTCATCATATTACCTATGTATTTGTTACTTTGCTTATTATTTTTATTATCATCTCACTGGGAGACTCCATGACAGCAGGGTTTCTGGCTTAATTTTTTTTTTTTTTTTTTACTGCAGTATCTTCATTGCCTGTACTATAGCAAATATTTGATGAATAAATGAATGAGTTAAATAAAAATGCAGTGTCGAAAAATCGCTTTGAGTTCAAGGCTGTTTTGGCCCAGCTCCGAGGCTGAAAATCAATACACAGAAGCTTAGAAAGATGGACAATGATAGAGCGTGTGTTCACCTGCTGATTATACTCAAGTCAGTTATGATAAGGAACAGAGATGTTAACTGATGGTCAGCTGCAATAGGAATTGATGCACCTAATCTACATTGACTCAAGACCAAAAAGTGATGCCCATGAAGGGCTGCAAGTGGCTAAGAGCTTCTCTTCCTGACAGCTATTTCAGCCTCTGAAGGTAATCGGAGTCACCTAGGTATGGTATCTCTTTCAGGTTCTCTAATACTTTCAGAAGCGTTTTTTTTTTCAGGGACTTTGCCTGAGGGCTGGGAGAACAGAATGACTGGGAATTGGCAAGCACCACAGGGGTTTTCAGTCAGGGACACTAGCAGTGAGTTTGGGGGATCTCAAAATTTGATGGTAAGCTGCTTCGATGGACCACTGATACAGAGATTTGGCTTATCACTGAAAACATTACTCTGTCGAAGCCTCCATTTGGACTGATGGTCTGGAAAATACAGTTTAACTTTGAGTGCTACCCTGTTGAATAATAACCAAGTCCTTCTTTGCTCTAGAGTAATGATTTCCTAAGATTTATCTGTATCAGAGTAATCTGAGGAGTTTTTTTTTTAATATAGAGTCTGCCCTTCCTCTCCACTCCCCACCCTGATTGAGATTCTAAATCATCAAGTCTGTGGCCTGGGAAATCAGTATTTTTCCAATTTCTGTGTGTGATTTTACAGTTTGAGAGCAACTGCTTTGAATTGTATTAAAAAGATTAGTGAATTCAAAAGTGATTAGTGAGTCCAATGATCAAATTACATTCATTTTTTGAAATGGGAAAATCCCATTTCCAATGTGAAAGTGTGTCCGGAATTGGTGGGTTCTTGGTCTCACGGACTTCGAGAATGAAGCCGTGGACCCTCACGGTGAATGTTACAGCTTTTAAGGTGGCACGTCTGGAGTCTGTCCCTTCTGATGTTCAGATGTGTTCGGAGTTTCTTCCTTCTGGTGGGTTCGTGGTCTCGCTGGCTCAGGAGTGAAGCTGCAGACCTTCGCGGTGAGTGTTACAGCTCTTAAGGCAGCGTGTCTGGAGTTGTTCGTTCCTGCCGGTGGGCTCATGGTCTCGCTGGGCTCAGGAGTGAAGCTGCAGATCTTCGCGGTGAGTGTTACAGCTCATAAAAGCAGCGTGGACCCAAAGAGTGAGCAGTAGCAAGATTTATTGCAAAGAGCGAAACAACAAAGCTTCCACAGTGTGCAAGGGGACCCGAGCGGGTTGCCAATGCTGGTTGGGGCAGCCTGCTTTTATTCTCTTATCTGGCCCCACCCACATCCTGCTGATTGGTAGAGCTGAGTGGCCTGTTTTGTCAGGGCGCTGATTGGTGCGTTTACAATCCCTGAGCTAGATACAAAGGTTCTCCACGTCCCCATCAGATTAGTTAGATACAGTTTCGACACAAGTTCTCCAAGGCCCCACCAGAGCAGCTAGATACAGAGTGTCAATTGGTGCATTCACAAACCTTGAGCTAAACACAGGGTGCTGATTGGTGTGTTTACAAACCTTGAGCTAGATACAGAGTGCCGATTGGTGTATTTACAATCCTTGAGCTAGACATAAAGGTTCTCCACGTCCTCACCAGAGCAGCTAGATACAGACTGTCGATTGGTGCACTCACAAACCTTGAGCTAAACACAGGGTGCTGATTGGTGTATTTACAATCCCTGAGCTAGATATAAAGACTCTCCACGTCCCCACCAGACTCAGGAGCCCAGCTGGCTTCACCTAGTGGATCCCGTACGAGGGCTGCAGGTGGAGCTGCCTGCCAGTCCCGCGCCGTGTGCTCGCATTCCTCAGCCTTTGGGTGGTCGATGGGACTGGGCGCTGTGGAGCAGGGGGTGGTGCTCGTTGGTGAGGCTCGGGCTGCATGGGAGCCCATGGAGTGGGTGGGAGGCTCAGGCATGGCTGGCTGCAGGTCCCGAGCCCTGCCCCGAGGGAAGGCAGCTAAGGCTCGGTGAGAAATCGAGTGCAGCGCCTGTGGGCTGTCACTGCTGGGGGACCCAGTACACCCTCCGCAGCCACTGGCCCGGGTGCTAAGCCCCTCATTGCCCGGGGCCAGCAGGGCTGGCCGGCTGCTCCGAGTGCGGGGCCTGCCAAGCCCACCCCCACCCAGAACTCCAGCTGGCCCGCAAGCGCCGCATGCAGCCCCGGTTCCCGCTCGCGCCTCTCCCTCCACACCTCCCTGCAAGCTGAGGGAGTGGGCTCCAGCCTTGGCCAGCCCAGAAAGGGGCTCCCACAGTGCAGCGGCGGGCCGAAGGGCTCCTCAAGTGCCGCCAAAGTGGGAGCCCAGGCAGAGGAGGCGCCGAGAGCGAGCAAGGGCTGTGAGGACTGCCAGCACGCTGTCACCTCTCAAAAGCAGTGAAATCCTTTCAGAGGCAACTGTTTGCTCCAGGTTTCCCGAGTTTCCTAACATCTTGTTTCTGTCTTCCAATCAGTGTTCTATTGTTTAAACTCCCAGAGGGAGAGTAGAGAAGATGAAAAGCAAAATACACAATGCTATAGGTCTTGAACTCCTGGACTCAAGCGAACCTCCTGCCTCAGCCTCCAAAAGTGCTGGGATTACAGGCGTGAGCCATGGCACCTGGCCACACAATGCTACAGGTTTGCTGTTGAGTTGGTTGGGAAGAAGCTGCTGGCTGGTTGTTTTTCATAAGCTGTTGGGAAGGAAGGGAAGAGGACAGGTGGTAAATAATTTTCCCAAAAGTAAAATAGCCAGTAATTGGAAGAGTTGGGTATAGAAGCAAGATCTTTCCACTAACATGCCACACCCCACCCCAATACCAACTTCTTTCTACAATTCTGTACTGTCACAATAAGAAACTGAAATAGTAGTCAGTCACACACAATTTACCTAGAGTGGCCAAATGAAGCCTCATCAAATTAAACAGCTTGGAGTTTGTGACCAGCCTGGCCAACATGGTGAAACCCCATCTCTACTAAAAATTCAAAAATTAGCTGGGTCTGGTGGCATGCTCCTGTAATCCCAGCTACTTGGGAGGCTGAGGCAGGAGAATCGCTTGAACCTGGGAGGCAGAGGCTGCAGTGAGCCGAGATCACGCCATTGCACTCCAGCCTGGGGACAGCACGAGACTCCGTCTCAATAAATAAATAAATAAACAAGTTTGTCCTTAGCTTGTGTTTAAGCCATAAAAGTGAGGCACACCTTTGTGTGAGGGACATCATCAAAACATCTCCCTTAGCTCTCCCCACAAGCTGGCATTCTTCTGAAGCAGTTAACAAAAGCCAGCCTCATTGTACATAGTCTAACTGTCCCCAGAAGGCAGTCATGACTGGAGTCAGTGGTATTGGCTCTTAAAAGCTGGATGTGCAAATTTGTTTCCAAATTTTGCATTCGGTTATGTCATGTTGGTAGCTTGAAATTGGCCATGGTAGGCATTTCTACACCACAGAAACTGGCAAACACTACAAACCAAGTGCTTGTAATTTTTTACTGGGGATTTGGATGTTAAACATTTTACCAGCACATCACTACTCAACGACTAGTGTCCATGACAAAATGTCATTATGTTGCCTCTGGTGGTCAGGTAAATCATGTGATGAAGTGCTTTCTATATTGAAAGCAGCCATATATCATATATTGTTCTGTTATTCTCATTGGGGAAAACAAGCGTCCTAACTGATTTCTGAGTCATTCTTCTTGTGACTAACAAACTAATTCAGAGAAGCTTATTATTCCGTGACTCTCCACTTAAAGAGGGACCTTTGCCCTCTATGACAAGCCTAAGAAGATGAAAGTTACAGAAAAAGCTGTTTGTTTTAATGACTTCTTTTAGCACAGTACAGTTGGAAGTCTCACATCAAACCAAAGTTTTTCTCTCAAAGTAGCTGTCTCCAGTCCTGACCTAGAGTGGAAATCACATGAGACACAGAAATTCACAGCTCAAGGAGAATTATCTGCCAGCATCATTGAGCAACCAATTTAGCATCACTGCCACTGGTGAGGATCCATAGTAGAACAGCTGCCTTCAATCCACAGATTATTGAGCTAAAGACAGAGAATTGCTTATTCATTAATCAGAGTGAACAATGTCATCATTGACCAGGCAAGAGAAAGAGTATATTTAAAGCCTTGGAAACTGACAAATCGAGATTTCCACTGGTCAAAGTCTTTCCAAATCCCTGGTGTAGTGTCTTCCCTGTAGCTGGTACTGGCACACGTTTGGTTCTTCCTCTTGTCTGCTACTAAATCCCCAGAGTACAGAGTACATTTTCACTAAACCCAACTGACATAGGCAGCGATTGGATCAGAAGAGCTTATTAATGAACTGAAGGGCACAACAAGGACTGCTTACATCACTAACTGTTGGTAGCTAGGGGCTGTGCAGGAAACTTTTTTTTAAATTTTTTTTTTATCACCAGCAGTTAGGTCCAGAATATAACTGATAACAGCCACATTTGAATTACATTCCTACAAACACCACAGTTAATGTCAGTTCTGGAAAATGCAGGGAGGAAAACCACCAAGGTGATGCTCTAGTTAATAAAAATATTCCAAGGAAACCATTTTCATCTCAAATGATTACTCTTAGCTTTGTCTGAGAGAATACCTAGACTATCCTTGGGTGGCAAATGACTCCAGCGACCCTTGCTATTTGGGTGTCAGTCCTTTCCGTTAAGACTAGAAAAGTAGCCTGTAATCCCAGCACTTTGGGAGGCCGAGGCGGGCGAATGACGAGGTCAGGAGATCGAGACCATCCTGGCTAACACGGTGAAACCCCATCTCTACTAAAAATACAAAAAATTAGCCAGGTGTGGTGGCGGGCGCCTGTAGTCCCAGCTACTCAGGAGGCTGAGGCAGGAGAATGGCGTGAACCCAGGAGGCGGAGCTTGCAGTGAGCCGAGATTGCGCCACTGCACTCCAGCCTGGGTGACAGAGCGAGACTCCATCTCAAAAAAAAAAAGACTAGAAAAGTATATCTGTTACAGACTGTATAGCATCAGCCCTCCATATTCATGGGTTCTGCATCCAGAGATTTCAAAAATATTGAAGAAAAACAATTAAAACATAACAATTAAAAATACAGTACAATAACTATATAGTATTTATATTGTATTCAGTATTTTAAGTAATCTAGAGATGATTTAAAGTACATGGGAGGATGTGCCTAGGTTATATGAAAATCCTGTATCATTTTATGTCAGGGACTTGAGCATCTGTGGATTTTAGTATCCAACAGTGATCCTGGAACCAATTCCCCAAGGATACTGGAAGAGGACTGTACCTGTTGGCTCTGTTTCAGTTAGGTTCCTGCCAGCAATGGTCTTCCAACGAGTAAAGGCTGATTTGCATCTATGCTGCTCTCTCCATATTCTTTTCTCCTTATGACAAGCAGCATGAAGGACTGCTGGCCTGGGGAACACATCTTATCTGAATTCCTGGAAGAGACAAGCCAATAGACCCACTTATGACCAAGAACTGGACACTCACATGCTCTTAGTAATCATTAGATTCTAACGAATAGAATCTACTCAAGTTAGGTTAAGTAAAAGGATAAAGATCTCCTGGAAGAGGAAGCTGTATAGGTTCCAGGAAAAGCAGGAATGAAGAAGATAGTTTCAGGAAGTTTAACAATACACATACGTGCATACTTACTCTGGTGTCCTACCACTTATCTGACTCAGTTGTCCATTCTCTGAGTCTTTGTATTGCTTGATTCAAATTTTCCAAAGAAGAAACATCAGTGACCACTGATAAGCATACAGATTGACTACCCTGAGAGTGCTGTCTATCCCTGTCTCATTAGACAGTGGGCAAAGCAATGTAGGATGGTTTCATATTCTCAGGACTAACAACAGGGAACAAGGTAAGATTGAATAGGAAATCAGTCATGGAAGACATATCCACTAGCATCTTTACTCAGTACCATAACAAACCAAAGAATAGTGCCATAGTCTGCAGTTTACTTTTTAAATGAATGGTGCTCTGGATCTGCACATTATGAAATTTACCTCTAAATCAATCATGTAAGCTGGCTTAGGCTCAAAAGAAAAAATATATACATACATAAAGGTAAAACAAGCAGCCATTCTATCATTTCAGCCATCCAATGAATAGATTGACCATGAAAAAAATCAACTGAGCCAAAATGTTTGATCTGATGATCTAGAGCAGAAGGAGCAGAAGGATTTGACATTCGTGTGGCAATAAAAATTATTGTTATATTAATTGTGCTTACTTCTCATTGTGAGGTTAATGTTTTGCTCTTCATTGCTAATTATAGATCAGGGTCAGAAAACTTTTTCTGTAAAGGACCAGATAGTAAATAATTTAAGTTATTCAGGCCATCTGCTCTCTGTGACAACCTCTCAACTCTTCTGACATGCTGATGCAGCCATAGACAATATGTAAATTAATGGGTGTAGCCAATTGCCAATAAAGTTTTATTTACAAAAACAGGTGGCAAGATGGATTCCGTCTGCTAACCATTGTTTGTCAACCTCTGTTTTAGATCATTTCTTGTTCTTCTCTGTCAAACATCTAGGTTTTTTTACATACATACCATCAGAGGACACAACCCCCCACTCCTCCTTGTTGTGGTCATCAAGAAATGTCTGGTTATTACCGGGAGGCGGAGGTTGCAATGAGCCGAGATCGCGCCACTGCACTCCAACCTGGGCGACAGAGCGTGACTCCGTCTCAAAAAAAAAAAGAAAAAAGAAAAAAAAGAAAAGAAAAGAAACGTCAGGTTATTAGATCCAACTATATTGTTGCAAATGACAGGATCTCAGTTTTTTATGGCTGAATAGTACTCCATTGTGCGTATGTACCACATTTTCTTTATTCATTCATCTGTTGATGGACACTTAAGTTGCTTCCAAATATTGGCTATTATGAATGGTGCTGCAATATACATGGGAGTGCAGATATCTCTTCTATATCCTGATTTCTTTTCTTTTGGGTTATATACCTCAGAATGAGATTGTTGGATCATATAGTAGCTCTAATTTTAGTTTTTTGGGAAACCTCCAAACTGTTCTCCATAGTGGTTACACTAATTTACATTCCTACCAGCAGTGTATGAGGGTTCCCTTTTCTCCACATCCTTGCCAGAAATTGTTATTGTCTGTCTTTTGGATAAAAGCCATTTCTATCTTCCTTTTAATCGTTGATGCTTGTCATTGTTCTTGACAACTTTTCCACTCATAGCGAAGACAATTCACCCTGCATCCTAGCGTCTCTGTCCCTTGAAGTCTTCACTTCCAATAATCTTCTCATCTACATCACTTAATCCACCCACTTTCTCTTAGAGTCTGCCATCTCCAATAACCAAACTACCTGTAAAATCTTGATTTCGAGCCTCTCACTAACCATCAAGCCCTCTCTCTCTCTCTAATTCACTCACTCTAGTACCCCAGACACCAATAGTTCTTTGACTCACTGAGACCACTAGAACCTCCAGTCCATTGACCCTATCACTTTTTCACCATACACCATCCCTGCCCTCGCAAGTCCTCCTATCCCTCCTTGCGCAGTTTAGACAGCAGTCATACTCTTGGATACTCCCCTTAACTCCATTGTTCCTCTTTCCCGGTTCTTTACCCAAGCTACAGCTGTACCTGAGCACTAAATATGGCTGGAGGAAAACAAGCATGACCACGGTGCTCAAGTGGGCACTCAACATACCTAACAAGCCTACCATGTTTATCTAGTAACGTTAACTTTCCCACTCTTGGAGACAATTACTTTACATCTTTCTTATTCTCCAACCTCCAAAGTCACCTCCCTATAATCACTTTTTCTGTTTTGTTGGCGAATAGAAATTATCCAAGCTTGTATTTCCCTGGGCTCAGGAACATTTGTGCTGCAGAGTTGAAGGTTATGGTTCCCCAGAGGCAGGTGCCTTCTGTGATGAGTGCCCACTTTCTTGGCTTGCATCTCTGAAACTCACTGAGGGAATTATGCTAGATTTTCCCAGGATTAGAAGACAGAGAGCACTTGGAGACCTAGGGTAGAGTTTGCTAACATGGAGAGACTTTAATTCTCCAAGACTAAAGGGGATCTGGGGTTTGGGAATGGGTCCCAGAAGCTGGTGCTCATGTCCTCTTCCCACATAACAGCTTGTGTTGGAGAGGTGGCACAGCATTAAGAGGGAGTGGCTACAGGGTCTCTGTAGGAAGGCTGGGTCTCAGGCACTAGGGCTCCCAGCCCCAGCCTGAGCATTATGTTACATGGTTGCCTCGGAGCCTCCTGCCTCCAAAGAACCACATGGGCCTAGACTACAAACATCATTAGCGGCCACCTGGACCTAAGACCAAAGGGCCCTTCTTGTATGTTCTGGGCAACACAAACCCGTGATATCTCTGCTTAACCCTTCAGTGGAGCCCATATTGTGACTAATGTTGAATTTCCAGCCAGGCTGATGGTGGTTAAGAATCAATTAAATTCTCTTTAGAGAACTAAAAAGGACATTCTTTAAACCTTATGTTGAAAAATAAAATGCAGACCCGCTACATTTGATTCTGTACAATGCAACTCAGAGGAATAAATTTCTACCACTGGCTTTCTGAAGCACATCCTTAAGCGAAATGCACAAAATGTGAATTGAATGAAAATCAAGGTGATACTATACTATCCCCAGTTTTCATGGTCATAGCTCAACATTTACAATGTAAATACTTAGGCTTCCAAGTATGATACAACAGAGGTGTCTTCTTGAATGAATGACACATCAACACTTAGAATATCACATTAAAATTCCCACACAGACCTGTAGAACCATCTGATTTTTACTGTACTAAAAAAACCCCAAGCTTTTCAAAAGGGCATTGAAAGTTAGAAAATCTCATATCTTCAGGAATGAGCAAAGAGGCCTTAGGTGGGAAAGGAAGTGAGCAGAAATCAATTTTACTTGCTTCGGTCTCACAATGGATTTTGCAAAGTAAAGGGTAGAAAATCAATCTTGTCAAATCAGTGAGAATTTATACACTTGAAGGAGTCAAAAGGTCTTGGAGGGTATATTAGGTAGTAACACATTCTTCTTTATCACATCATAGAGGTGATAGCATGAAGATTGAACCCTTTTCTGTACTGAGAGGACCCTGCCAAGGATTTTGGCCTTGTTTCTCATTCAGAAGAGCCCAAGGCAGAACCAATCCTGAGACTGACTTCCTTAGTTCCCCAGTCCAAACACCCTGAAGGGAAGGATGGATCAAGACATAGGAAGCCCTAGCTGTTCCTGTTCTTTACTCACAAAAACAAACAAACAAACAAAACCTCCAGGTTACATCTAACAGAAAGCCCCCCTGCCCTGCCTCTGGAAGTGCACGCCTTTGGAATTTGCAGGCACCTCAGCCATATGATAAGATTGGTCTGTGGTCATGAAGTAAGTCTATTTCACAATGAGTAGGAGCTGGTCACTCCCAGTGACACCACCGTGGAATGAGACAAGAAACCAGAGTGTGGGAGGTGGGCCTTGAACAGAAGGGAGGCTCGTTTTCTCTCTGGGCTTCACTCTCCAGGATGTGGAGGAAACATCACAGATAAGTGAAGTCAGGAGAGGTAAGGCACCAATGTCCTCTATCCCAGGGATGTTGGCCAAAAGCTAGGCCAGGAGGTGAACCTGTAGCAAACTCAGCTTCCCTCTTCGTTTCCACAAACTTTAATGAAGCCTCTTGTAAAACATCTGCTTACTTGGAACTTTCTTGCTTAGATTTATAGAAGAGTCATGAAGGCCAGCAGAAGAGAGAACAGCACTCCCCCACCACACCACACCCGCTAGGTGAGCACGCCAGTGGCCCTGTACTTAGTGAAAAGGCCCCAAAGGGAAGCGTCAAGGCTGAGAAGTCCCACTTCCTGGCCCCACCTGGACTTTTCATTCATCACACTGCCAAACTTGATGATGTAGGCTTGATGTGATTAAAGGAAACTGACAGAAGCGTATGACCTTGGGGAAGTTGCTTGACCTCTCTAAGCCTCAGTTTCCGTAGCTGTAAAATGGATATAATAACAGCACCTATATAATAGAATTATTATAAGTATTAAATGAGTTGATGTTTGTGAAATTCTTAGGGCCATGCCTGGCATGGAGTAAACACTGTATGCATGTTGGATGGAATAAAAATAATCATTATGCAGGGCAGGTGGGGGGGCGGGGGAGGGGGGGCACAAAAAAAAAAGAAATAATCATGGCCGGGCACAGTGGCTCACGCCTGTAATCCCAGCAGTTTGGGAGGCCGAGGCGCACGAATCATCTGAGGTCAGAAGTTCGAGACCAGCCTGGCCAACATGGTGAAACCCCGTCTCTACTAAAAGTACAAAAATTAGCCAGGCGTGGTGGCCTGCGCCTGTAGTCCCAGCTACTTGGGAGGCTGAGGCAGGAGAATTGCTCGAACCCGGGAGGCAGAGGTTGCAGTGAGCTGAGCTGGCGCCAATGCACTCCAGCCTGGGTGACAGAGTGAGATGCTGTGTCAAAAAAAAAAAGAATCATAATTATGATATTATGTATTGTACTTCAGATAAATCAACACAGAACTGATGGCTATTAGGTATTAACAGGTTTGGTGGGCAGAATTCTAAGATGCCCCCAAGATTCTAAGCCTCTGGTGTACATACTTCTTTTGCCAGTTATTCAATCAAACACTATCCTGGGTGGTGCTTTGAAGTGATTTTGAAGATACAATTAAGGTCCCAAATTACAGGGTGGGCCTGTCCTAATCAGGTGAGCCCTTTAGAAGCAGAGCTCTTGCCGCCAGCCAGCTGGTCACAAGGTAGGAAGTCAGGGAGATGCACTCCACCTGGCCTGGAAGAAAGTGCACATCGACATCAAGAATATCCTGTGGAAAGGGTCACATGTCAAAAAACTGTCGCTGGTCTTCAGACGATGAGAGCAATCTCGGCTGACAACTAGCAGGAAAAGAGAGACCTCAGCCTACAATTGCAAGGAACTGAATTCTGCCAACAACCAATGAGCTCAGAAGACCTCTGAGCCCCAGATGAAAACCATTGCCCTAGCCAACACCTTGATTGCAGCCATGTGAGACCCCCAAAGCCGAGAATGCAGCCACCCCATCCCTGAAATTCTGACCTACAGAAATTACGAGACAATCAATTGGTGTTATTTTAAGCCACTTAAGTTTGTGATCATTTGTTACACGCAATAGAAAACCATTACAGAGGAAAGAAAAGAAATACACAATTAGGAAATAAGCAGCCAATTTTGTCCAAAGCCCAGGAAGCTTCTCCTCCACCCTCCCACATTACAGGGAAAGACTTTGTCACTAAGTCATTCCAAAATAATACCAGTTCAGAAAAAAGTTCATTTGCCATGTTAGCTTTGGTCTTATGGGAAGGGGTCGTCATTCTGTGCTCACCAGCATCACTGGCAGAACAAGGCTGACCCATTTGCCTCAGGAGACAGCAAGTTTGGGACCTCCCAGGCTGGTTCATGTGATAAGGGAAAGGGCTCTGTGATGTCCAGGCCTAAACCTGGCACAGCCTCCCGGTATCACACTGGGACCTCTGACCTACAGACTGGGCTCCACCTCCTTTCCCAGACCTACCAGGAAATTAAGCAGGGTGTTTTTAGGACCCAGTGACCAGTACTCTGGGATTCATTGAAGAAAAGAGAAGGTGGAGTGTGTACTGATTAACAGCCCTGGCTTGGGCATTAAACTCCGGCTTCACCACCTACTGACTTTGTTAAGTTCCTTAACCCCTCTGCACCCCCATCCATAAAATCGGGATAAGAACTGTGAGGGTTTGAGGGAAGGTTTATAAATCACTAATGCATCATGCCTAGCTTTCAGCAAGCCATCTAGAATGGGAGCTATTATTCAGTTGGTTTTGATGCTGGCTTGGTCTGAGGCTGAAGCCCTAATGCTGGGCTTTTATCATATTATGAAGGCTGAAACCTCATGCTCCAGAGTAGACAGCTGAGCCCATCTTAGACCCTCATTTCTGAGCCCCTAATGTCTGCTTAATGGCTGGCCACTGCGACCTGGTACACGGAGTATCAGCCCATGTCAATTAGCCCCATTATAAACCCTGAAGAAATAAGCCATCCTTTCCTGGTCCCTTCCTCTTGCCTTCCTCTTTCATTGTAACATGAATTGTGCTAGCAATGGGCACCAAGTAGCCAGCATGTGTACTGAATAAAAGCAAGGAATATGTAGTACAATGACAATGAGATTGGTTGACAATAAATATGTGTCGTTTGCAATCTAAAAACAGACAAAATGATCATTTAAAAAAGATGGGTTCATGAGTTTATGTCCATCATTCATAAAGGTAAGGTCTATTCAATGCCACTTAACCAGCTTTGATGATAGAATTTATGAGGTTGTACCAGGTTGGAATGATAAAGCACTCAAAGGTATATGCCACTTATAAATATAACCACATCTAGACTCATAACAGATTATTTAAATATAATATTCTTTTTGAGCATGGCTAAGTGAGGTCATTTGAAATTTTCCTAAATTGCTATGAGTGAAGTGGTAACGGTATTTTTCCCATCTGTAGGGATGACCATCTATTATATGGACTTGCAAATTGATTAACTGCCTGGACTATCTAAGAAGAAAAAAATGCTGTTCTAATAATTGTTACAGTTCTGGGTTAAACTCGGTGGATTTGACTGAAGGAAGATTAACATAAGCAAGGGTCTGATACATTTTATATGAGAAACCATGCTATTTTCTAAACTGGTGCTTTCAGAAAGAAAACCATAGCAAAACGTCTACAGCTCCTCACCCCTTAGCGGATGACTCTGACCAGAGCGTAACATCCAAGAAATCAAGTATCTTTACCTGTCACATTCCTTACCACCCTGGTGCCTAGAATAGTGCCTGATAAAGACATGGGAATTCATCACATATTTTCTAAGTAAATGAACTAAATGAATTACCTAGTGGCAGGATGTTGATGTTAATTAACGGCGTAAATCCTAAGCAGTACATGTAAATATGATCAGATCAATTTTTTTAAAAGTAGGAGGTAAAGTTCTGTTAAAAAGAAGTAGGAGAGGTAACGTTCTGTAAAGTCACATTTGGATTATTGTGTACATAGGAAAAGAAGGAAACCCGGTGTCAGTGGAATCTATCACTACAAAGTTTTCATTCTTGAATGGAAATTTCCAGAGCTTATGTTGTAAACCATTTTATGATGGGTCATTTATGAGGAGCAAACCTTTCGCTTAAGTGACTGTGACAACAGTGCCATCTGCTGGGAAACTAGCTGTGCATTTTAGACTAATATTCTGGAGTCTTTCATATAGCAAATTAAAAATTACAGAAAAATTATATTGGAAATAGATTTAGAGATCATCTAGACCATATGTAATCTTACAGGTAAGGATTTGACTTAAGGAGTTACAATTTTCTTTCGATTGATGCAATGGAGCCCCAAATTCATCTCTCAGAGAGATAACTGAAACTACAGCCATCATTACTAAATTATACCAGTGTTCCTGTAAATCTGAAACTGAAAGGCAGTTAAAAATCCATTCCTCGAGCCTCCAAAGAGCACAGTCCAATAGAAATCTGTTCAATGGGGCAATGGAACTTTCTTCTGCAATAATCTGTACCTGCACTGTTCAATACAGTAGCCACTAGCCATTTGTGCATATTTTATACCTGAAATGTGGCTAATGACACTGAGAAACTGGATTTTTAATTTTACCTAATTTTAATTAATTTACACTTCTAAATAGGCACATGGCTACAGCAGGGTTTCTCAACCTGGGCACTACAGTATTAACAGTTTGGACTGGAAAGTTCTTTGCGGTGGGGCTGTCCTGTACATTGTAAGAGGCTTTGCAGCATTCCAGACCTCTACCCACTACATGCCTGTAGCACCCCTCCTCAGTTGTCACAAACAAAATGTCTCCAGTTATTGTTAAACATCACTGGGTAACAAAATTAACCCCAGTGGAGAACCACTGAACTAGTTGCTACTGTATTAAGCAGCAAGGTTCTAGAATATGCTTAATATGTATAGTGTTTTGGTTGAAAAAAAGAACTGGCGCCCACACTATGCTAGGACAGTAGTGGTTTTGTTGTAACAACAGGGAAGCTTAAAACAAATTAGACAAGCCAAGAAATATGTTTCTTTATTTTCATTCCCATATAGCAGAGATGGAACCAGGACAGTGATGCTGGAAAAGCCTGCCTCGATCAAGTCATCACATAAGTTAATGTCAGAAAACCTGTATTTGAATTTGACTCCTCTATCCTTACTCTGGAAAATTGGACATCTTGACCCAGTGGCTGTGAGGGCTAAATTAGATGATGCAGAAAGTGCTTGGCATGCAGTAGATATGCAAAACAATAACTTATGACACTCTCCATGCAGGGAAAAAAGTCTTCATGCCTTCTAACTAATAATACAAACGTATGCAGTGTCTTTCAACCCTGGCTTGAGTTTAACAAATACAAATTGAATAGAAAAAATTAGTCAAACTCCATAAACAAGTTTATAACAAATACAAATCTAATCGAAAAAACTAGTCAAACTCTATAAATCCAACTTGATTTTAAAATTCTAGTGGCTACAACACTCAATAATGTTTTCACATCGTTTGTGAATCCATTCCCTAGATGCATTTAAAGATGTAGGAGAAACTGTTTCAGATCCTCTGGGAGGACGAGTTTGGTTATCTTATGATGCTGCTGGATTCCAAAACACTTCCGAATTCTAAGGCGGCATAACTGCATCAAAGAAGGGGGCCCTGGAGAAAGATCATAAGACAAGTCATACAATGGTGCTATTGATCTAAGACTCCTTTTTTTTAAAAAAAAAAAGCATCCAAGATAGAACATTGTTATAAGGAAATAATATTGAACTATTTAAGACCATTTTCTGGGGTTTTTTTGTAGAAGGCATTTTTAGGCTATGTTCTCTCTTTTCCGGTAGCTAATTGAAATAAGCTTGTTAGGTTTTTAATTTAGAACAGAGTGAAAGAAATTTAAAGCTTAGCCTCACTAATGGAGGCTTAAATAAGCTAACTTGGGAATTACACAGCTATACAAAAATTCCAATAATACAAATAAAATTTATGTTTAATGGTGTTCTTTTATCTTTAAAAATAAGGGCATATTTCTAGATGCAAACATTTTTATTTTATAACTTGAGCAAATTAAGGTACTCAAAAATAATGAGCTCACAGTGAATCCTAAGAGTATGTGAAGTCGTGTTTGTTTTTACATCCTGTATTCAGAGCTATTCCAATGCTTCAATTCATAAGTGAAAAGTGAACTAGCTAGCACAAACCTTGCTTAGGGAACACCCAACAGTTTACATTTTAGGACAGTGGTTCACAACTGGGAGGAGGCTCAGGGAAGGAAAGGAGGAGGAGATCATTTTGCTCCTCAGGGGACATTTGGCAGTGTCTGGAGACATTTTTGGTTGCCAAAACTTGAGGAAGGGTGCTACTGGCATCTAATGGGAGAGGCCAAGGATGCTTCTAAAAATCCCAGAGTACACAGGACAGCCCCCAACTGATTCAAAATGTCAATAGCGTCAAGGTTGAGAAACTCTGTTATAGGGCAAAAGGATGGGGAATGATTTTCCCTGCCCCCCTACCCCTGTTCCTGCATCAAATTGTAATGGGAATCTTCTTTTGGTTATTTTTTAAAAAGCAAAACTATATACCCTCAAGAACTCCATAAAGCCGTAGCCCTCAATCCAGGTAGCACTTCAGACTCACCTGGGGTGGGGGTACATTCAACTACATGGACGCTGAGTCCCCCCAACCAGGGATGTTGCTTCAGTTATTGTTGGGTGAAGCCCAAGCATCTGGATTTTCTAAAGGCATGTGCCCGAGGTCATCTGAGTGTGCGGTCAGGGTTGTGAATACATCCAAAAGGATACTGTGGTCTCTATTTTCCTATAGCAATACCACCAACTACAGGATCAACCGAGTTAACTTATCTCTCAAGGTGATGCAGAACAAGGAGAGATGGAACTCGACACATATACAATCAAAAAAATACTTGCAGTATTTTAAACCAGGCCCTAACAGAAGGGCCCTGTTGGAGTAAGGCACCTATGAGATGATGCCCAGTATACTCAAAGCATTTAAAAATGAACGGCTTCCCAGTGTTCTCAAGGCACATATTAACGAGCAGCAAAAAGCACACTGTGGGGAAACTGAACCTAATCTAACCTCACTAAGGAATGTTGAAACATGTGACTGATCATCTGTGCTAGAAACGCTGTCAGAGGCAACCGTAGGAGGTACTGATAAAGCATTACAAATAACAAGATCTCAGAGCAGGCCTGATAGAGAATTAAGAAAAGTGGGATGTCACAGGAAACTCAGTGTATTAATAACTACTGATGCCAACTGAATGCTGCTGTTTACTACAAGTAAGACAATGTAAAACAACTGTAGCTTCAAGTCCATAGACACAGAGCTGAAAACCCACTACAGATTTGCAGTCACTTGCTGGCACCTGCAAATATTCAAGGGGTTTGCTTTGCTCGGTAATAAAACCAGCTAATTGTGTATTTATGAATTGGCATATTCCTTTGGGCCTTGATTTCTTTTTTCCCCCAGCAACAACCATTGATGTTTTGTTTTTTGTTTTTTGAGACTGAGTCTCACTCTGTCGCCCAGGCTGGAGTGCAGTGGTGTGATCTCAGCTCACTGCAAGCTCCACTTCCCAGGTTCACACCATTCTCCTGCCTCAGCCTCCCGAGTACCTGGGACTACAGGTGCCTGCCACCACGCCCGGCTAATTTTTTTTGTATTTTTAGAAGAGACGGGGTTTCACCGTGTTAGCCAGGATGGTCTCTATCTCCTGAACTCATGATCCACCCACCTTGGCCTCCCAAAGTGTGGAGATTACAGGCGTGAGCCACCGTGCCCGGCCAGCAACAACCATTGATGTTTTAAAGCCAAAGTGCACTGGGTGAGGGGGGATGGGGGCTGCGGTCATGTTGGGCTGACAGTCATTTCTAGGTTTTAATTGAGCAAACACTGCTTTAGATGCTTATCAAGGGTGAGGTGGCAATATTCTTAAAATCTTTTCCCTTTTCTCAGAAAACGGGAAAATCTTACCTTTCCTAACACCCACGCAAAGCCCAATTCAGAACATGGTTGGGTTTTACCAACATTCTCCTGTTGCCATACCATTGAAAGAGGACAGTAATTGAATAAATTCCCTTCCCCAGGAAACGGAGAAACAGGTGGACTGAAGCAAATGAATGTAGGGGCACCCAGAGACAGAAACTGCTGTGAGCAATCCACAGGTCTAGTTTTCTGCACTTTCCTGACCCCATTTCTTGTGGGCTCCGAGCCCTCTGAGAGGTGACTACACCAAAACCCCAAAATTGACTCATGGAGGCAAAACAAGTAGTGATTCTCTCCAGCAGCAAATGACACCTCATAAACTAGTGGGACCATAGGCCACACTGTCACCGTGCAAAACGTAAATTCAAAATTAAAGTAATTACTGTCTCTAGGAATGGCTTTGGGAAATAAAGCAGAAGGGAAAAGCCAGGGGAGGCAATTTGAGAATGCTATGAGGTTGTTTGATGGAGGAGGGGACATATACATCCTACATTAACGTATGCCCTACGTTATGACTGAGGGGGACCTGAGGCACTTTTGCCTTTATGAATCCCTTTCTCAGTGAAAACAATTAAAAATTCTATTTCACAACTGTGTTGGTATAAAGATGATTACAATCCATGTTGTTCTATTCATTTTTTATTCTGATTGTTTAAAAATTAAGATATTTTTATGGGCCTCGTAGACATAGAACTTTTTCAAAACAAGTAATTATTAAAATGCAGATAGAACTGCTCCATGATTATCCCACTGCTTAACTGTAAGGGGCCTCTACTGGACTGTTCCTTGTCCAGGCCTGGAGTCAATCTTTTCTGCCTGACCAGCACTGCTCAGGAGCATAGGCCTTGTTTGGCATGCCCCCAGGCAGGGACTTGACTGCAAGTACCCTGGGGCAGTGAGAGTAGGAGGAAGAAGGATTCCTTAGCCCACTTTACAGTTCTGCCCAAAGCCAACCTTACTGCTCATCATGTGGGGAGAAAATAACTAGATTGTATAACATCAGAATCCTTCTGGTAGGAAGGCCTGCTTCAAAGTCCCAGAATCCCTAAGACTTCAGAGTCCATACTCCGGTAAGAAAAGAAGTACTGAGCTGGTTTCTCAACTGCCTCTGAGCCCATGAAGATTGCAAGAGGTGGCTCCCCAACTTGAGGTGTCTTTGTTCCCCAGCCCAGCCCAGGCCTCAAAGCCCTACTTCCATACACACTGCTCAACCACAATATTTCATTGTTCGAGTTGGGAGTCTCAGTTCTTACTTATAGAGAAGTGTGGACTTATCATTGGTTAATTTATAATAGTAAATATCTTTGGATTGGTGTGAACCCTAAACTCTTAAACAGCTGCATTTTAAGCCCAGAAACGAAGTGTCCAGTAGTCTGGCCCATCTGTGGTTCAACAAGATATCCTGCGGCCTCTTACAACCCCAAAGAGGACTCTGCTGCCTCATTCTAAAGCATGTTTTAAATAAATGTAATACTAAAATTTTAAAACAGTATCTTAATTTTTAAAAAACTGGCCTACCCCATAATGAATATTAGATCATCCCAAAAACCTGTATCCAATATGCTAAATAGCAGGACAGTTATTTACTGTACTGTGACCAGTACTGTATCTCATTGAATATTGAATTATCTCAACTTCCCAGATTTGGTGATGTCAGAGAATGATCTTTTTATAGGAATGGGAGCCAGAAATTGCCAAATACCTGCCTTCTACTAGAGCCCCAAGGGATGTCAACAGATTAGGGCTTAGGTTTTGGCAAAGAAGCACCTTCTCTCTCCAAGAAGAGCTGGGCCAAGGGGCTCTCTGGAGGCACCAGCTCCACAGGACGTTTGCCTTCAGCATTCTTGGCCTGGGTGTCCGCTCCAAAATCCATGAGCAGGCAGGCCAGCTCTTCACTGGCTGTCCTGGCCACTGCATGAAGTGGGGAATCCTGACCTTTCCCTTGGTTCACGTCCGCTCCTAAACAGTCACGAGAACAAAAAAGAGTCAGCAAGGAGCAGAATCCAACCATCGGGGCTTTTCAAAGCCCCGAGCCCCAAAATTTCCTAACAAGAGGGGATCCATATTGAGCACAGCAATCCTGGAAAAATGGGAGATGATGTGATTCCATTTAATAATGTGGGGAAAATCCCACCTGATAATGTTATTGAATGTACAGCATGAGGAATATAGCATAGAAAGTTAAAAATTTGCCTTTCAGCACTGTACATAGATAGGCATGATGCATATAAGAAAAATCCTAGTGACATAAAAGCTCCACATTATTATTAATGGAACCTAAGTATTAGCCAGTACAGCCTGACGGAGAGACTAGATGGTGAAATCCAGCCTACACCAAGCAGCCAAACTCACCTGGTGTGCAGCTGCCACAGGGTGTAAAACTGGACACTTGGGACTGGTGATTTGGACTTTGAAAAGCAACCAACCAACTCATGGGGGTATCCCCTGGATTGGACTGGCCAATCCCAAGATCACAGGGAAGGTGGCAAAGTTCTCCCTTTCAGGAGTAAGGTGGATTTCTAGGACTGTCCCCACCCAATTCCACTCTTACACTCTTAACAAATCCCCACCCCAGCCCAGAGCCTAGCTTTCACTGTGACATGTGGGAACATGTGGCTTTGCCTGAGCTGCCATCCCTCTGGTAAAATGAAAATCTATGTCCACTCAACAAATGTTAACTGATCTGGTCTTGTATTGTTCCTGACTTTGTGAGGGATATCAAACATGGCCCTTTCCAGGCTAGAGGCTTAAAATCTGCCCAGAGTGGCAGAGGTGGGGTGGGCAGTGGGGGAGAGACAGAGATTGCATCTCTTAATTCATAGCAATGCCTGCCAGATGAGTAGGAGGCAATAAGGACTGCAACAACATTCATTGGGAAACAGATTACTGAAGCCTTAAAGAATAAATAGGACTCAGATAATTAAAGAGGTGATGAAATGGTGTTCCAGGTGTTGAGAAGGGGGCTGGACAACAGCAGGGAGGTGAAAAGAAATAAGGGTACATAGGCCTTTTCAAGGAAAATATAATATTTGCAATGGGGCAAGTTCAATATCTAATCAAAGAGAACTGGTTAAGGTCCCAAATAGGAAGATTCAACACTAATCCAACAGCTTTGCAAGTTATGCAGGGCTTAATAATGTGACTGGCCAAATGGAGGGAGACAGAGGAAAGGGAGGAGAAACTAATAATCATTGAGGACCACCCTGAGAAGAGGCATCATCATCATCATCATCCTCCTCCTCCTCCTCCTCCTCCTCATCCTTGTTACAAATGAGAGAACTACAGTTCAAACAGTGTGAAATAATTCCCCAAGGGAACACAGTCAATATGAACCCTGACCTTGTCCAACTCCATTGCCCACACTAATTTCTCTCCTACAGCAGTAAGATGTTTAAAATACATTTAATTTACTTTTCGTTTTCTTTTCTTGTTTTGGTTTGCTTTTTGCTTTACCTGACTCCAGAAGCTTCTTGACACAGGCTCTCTGTTGGTTTTCACAAGCCAAATAGAGTGGAGTGCCCAGGTGGCTGATCTTATGGTCAATGTTGCCCCCATAAGCTATAAGAGAGTTGACACACTCCACGTGGCCTGCAGCCCAAAGCAGGAAGAAAAACAGTTACAATACAAGTTCCCTTAGCTAGAAAGACATTGCCATCCCCATTTTGCATTAAATTTGGCAGCAGCTTATCCAGGGGACCAAAAAGCTATTTCCTTCAATTAGAATCAGGAGTGATTTTATTTTATTTCATTTTATTTTATTTTAGAAACGGAGTCTCGCTCTGTCCCCCAGGCTGGAGTGCAGTGGCGCAATCTCGGCTTACTGCAAGCTCCGCCTCCTGGGTTCACGCCATTCTCCTGCCTCAGCCTCCGAGTAGCTGGTACTACAGGCGCCCGCCACCACACCCTGCTAACTTTTTTGTATTTTTAGTAGAGATGGGGTTTCACCGTGTTAGCCAGGATGGTCTCAATCTCCTGACCTCGTGGTCCGCCCGCCTCAGCCTCCCAAAATGCTGGGATTACAGGCGTGAGACCAGGCCCGGCCAAATCAGGAGTGATTTTAACCACTGCTATCAGTTAATGGTTTGACCATAGGATGCAATCTGCAACTACGGGTGAAACTCCATTTGAGTTTACTAGCCACGGTAACCAACCAGCAACTATCCACCTTTTTCAATTGTCTGTGGCTTTGTAGTTTGTCTAAGTACAGAAATTGAAGTGAGAGCTTGGGAGAGATATGGAGGAACAGGACCTGAAGGTGGAACTGAAGAATAAAGGGCACAGTGTGGGCCACGGGACAGGGAAGGAAACTTACAACCTCTCCAAAGGCAGGCCCGGGAGGAACAGGCCACAGCGGGTATAGGCAATGCTTAGAAGAAACTGCCAAATCCAACATGAGCAGGGCCCAATCTGAAAAACTAGGTGAAAGCTGAATCACACTTCCTTGGTCCAGGATGTCATATTTTTGACATTGCTCCTCTACGTTTCTCTTGCTGTATTTTAGTTCTATGTATGCAGCGAATATGATGAGTTAAGATGTTCTCAATAAATAATATTAATGCTTTGGGAGATCATTATGAGTGGGTTGGTCCAGTCAAATGGGAAGCCATTCTATGAAAGCCACTGGAGAAACAGAAAGCCCTCTGGCAAGGTATGGTCATTACGATGATGCTAAATATTGGAGAAAATAAAAACTTGTGATTTTATGAGCTAAGACTATCAGAAAAATTATGGCTTTAATGAAAAGAATTATCCCAAACTGTATGCAACATCAAATACTTTCAAAAATTGAAAGCTTATTTCATTTGGCAAACTTAAGTGTCACTGAGACAATGTTCTTTAAGGCCCTGAAATAGAAGAATATAATTTGTTTTATGAAATAACTTGATTTCTATAAGGTCACGGGTATAACAACGGATTCCACAAATATTGATGGATAGTCTACTATGTGCCAAGCCCTGTTTCAGTAATACAGCAGTGAAAAACATTCAAAATGCTCTAAAAGGGAGGCACTCAAACTTACTGTGTACCAGAAAGCAGCTGGAGGGCTTATTAAACAAAATACAGAGGGCTGAGCCCCATCCCCAGTTACTGATTCAATGGGGCTGGAGTGAGGCCGAAGAATCTGCATTTGCAGGCCAGGTCATGCTGATGCTTCCAGTCCTGGGACTCCATTTTGAGAACTACTGCTCTAAAATATATCTCCTTTTCTTTCTTTCTTTCAGCAGTAAGATGTCCCTTGAAGGAGTGGGTAGAAAAAAAAATTCTCAACAGATTTACCTCTCCTAGCAGCTTCATGGATGGGGGATGCCAGATCACTCTCAGGTTGAACGCTGGCTCCGTGCTGCAGAAGCAAATTCACACAATCCCAGCTGCCGCTGACACAAGCATTAAACAGTGGAGTGTGCCAGTCTGCTGTCACACCATTCACCTGGTAAAAGAAGCTCCAGAATGAAGACAGGAAGGGGGATGTTTTGGGTTCAAATGTGGGGTCCACCACTCTGAAGATGTTATTTAACATCTCTGAGCCTTAAATTCCTCAGCTATAAAATGGAGAAATAACTACGAAATTCCACAGGTTTTTGTGAAAAATGGAATTAGGGAGTGGCTATAAAGCATCGAAAATGTTACTCAATGTTCTATCTCCTCCATGCCCTCCCCAGGAACATGAACTTTGAAACTAGTTAGGATAATTTCAATCGCTTACAAACTAATCCCTATTTTAAACTTCTTTCCTAGACCCATCCCACACCAATTCAATTTCTTAACGGGTGCAAGAAGATTACTCTTGCTGCTGTGAGGAAATTGTTGAAATTATTAGCTGTGTAATTTAGTATATTCTTAAAGTATAATTTAGAAAACTTTAAAAAACTTGACTTTCATACAAATATAGAATTAACACATACCCAAGATTTTATTCAACTCACTCATTAATGAGGGAACCAGTAAGATGGTAAGGCTGGCTCAAAAAAACATTTGGCCAGGCGCAGTGGCTCACGCCTATAATCCCAGCACTTTGGGAGGCCGAGGCAGGCGGATTGCCTGAGCTCAGGAGTTCGAGACCAGCCTGGGCAACATGGTGAAACCCGGTCTCTACTAAGATACAAAAAATTAGCCCAGCATGGTAGCATGCGCCTGTAGTCCCAGCTACTCGGGAGGCTGAGGCAGGAGAATTACTTGAACCCGGGAGGCAGAGGTTGCAGTGAACCGAGATCACGCCACTGCACTCCAGCCTGGGCGACAGAGTGAGACTCTGTCTCAAAAAAAGAAAGAAAAAAGAAAAACGTATATAGTCAATGGACTGCTGAAATATATTTGCTAATAGATACAAAACTCCGCCGGGCACGGTGGCTCACACCTGTAATCCCAGCACTTTGGGAGACCAAGGTGGGCGGGTCACCTGAGGTCGGAAGTTCGAGACCAACCTGGGCAACATGATAACATGATGAAACCCCATCTCTACTAAAAATACAAAAATGAGCCAAGTGTGGTGGTGCGTGCCTATAATCCCAGCTACTCAGGAGGCTGAGGCAGGAGTATCACTCGAACCCAGGAGGCGGAGGTTGCAGGGAGCTGAGTTCGTGCCACTGTACTCCAGCCTGGGCGACAGAGCGAGACTCCATCTCAAAAATTAAAAAAATAAAAACATAAAAACTGGTTAATGTCCTATAGGGCCATAAAAGTATAATCTTTGAGGCTATCTTTTCTAATGTTGGAAATCAGACAGAAATTTCGAAGTTAATGTCTAACTTCACAGTGTTTGGGCTATAATTAAATAGTGAATAGAAAAGCCAAGTGCAGACACATTCTTGTATATCATTAAATGATTATCTGGTGAATCTTTTAAGCAATGATATTGTGAAGACAACGAATTCCTTCTCAAACTCTACTTCCAAGCAGGGCCAGGACCAGAGTGAGACATAAAAGTTGCCCAGGGTAAAAAATTTAAGGACATATTCATTTTTGGAGTCACACAAATAGTGCAGGACCCTGAGAGCGAGCACTTCTTTCAAGTTTGTACCCTAGGTGTCTCTTGCTTCACCTTGACACGTTCCCTGTTTCCAAGTTTTGAATGTTTTCTTAACCCAAATATAAATCTGGCAGTGCACTCACCTCTGGCTCTTTACTGATCTCAGGACAAAGCCCATTCTTTTTTTGGCATGGACAAGGTTGCTTATGTTCTGAACCCTCTCACCTACTCTACTGTCCTGCCGTAAGGAATGACTTCAAGATATAAAAATTGCTCACTATCATTTCTGGGACTTTGCATTTGCTGTTGCCAGAAGATAGCAAGCCCATAATTTTCCCCAACCCACCATTCAGTTGCCTAACACAAAACAGGTCCATTTTTGCTGCTCTTGCAATCCCTGCTACCATGTGAACAAGTCCAGGTTGCCAGCTAAAGGATGAATGACCACATAGATTTTCTGTCTCCTCAGACATCCTAGCCATCCCAGGCAAATGTGTGCTTTCCACAATATTTCATTACCTTCCGGCCATAACAATGAAGACAGAAGTCTAATAACTATTTATTAGTAGTGTATGATAAAGAAAATGATATAGACTGTAAGCGTGACTAAAAATTTAGTATTTCATCCATCCATCACTAAAGCAAACAAGCCTGATGAACATAATTTTCTTGAAAAACAACTGTCTTCATATTTCAAATCAGTCTAATCAAAAGTGCTGGAAGTTATTCAGAAGGGATATACATAGTCATTTTTCATTCTTGGTTTCTAAGATGTTGTTTCAGCTGCCCTTACCTGAGCTCCATGCTTTAATAAAATCTTCACACAAGAGAGATGACCTCCAAGACAGGCTTCATGGAGTGGGGAAACATGATCTGCCGTGATGATGTTCACAGCCCACCCCTGAAGGAGGGGAAACAGTCAGAGTAAGGGGTGCAAAGCAACAGTGCCCTGGGGCTGCTTTTCAGCCACCATTCCAGTACTATGACAAAGCTGACCTGGCTCAAAGTCAGATGTTACACTAAGGTGTTTATATTGACTTTAAAAAAAAAAAAATGCCACACTACTGGTGGGAGTGTGGTATGGTATAACCACTCAGGAAAACAGTTTGACTGTATCTATTAGAGCTGACAATGCATATGCCTATGACTCAGCAATTTGACTCTTAGGTATATATACATCTAGATAAATATACAAGAATATTCACAACAGCATTGGTCATAATAGTCAAAAACTGCAAACAAACCAAATGTCCATCAACAATGGACTGAATTAATTAACTTTGGTATAATCTTTCAGCAGAAAGATTACACCCAACAAATCATAATGGCAAGCACTACAAGGGTGATGCTTGCAAAAATAATGTTGAGCAAAAGAAGCAAAATCCAAAAGCATACACACTGAATGATTACATCAATTTAAAGTTCAAAATTAGGCAAAACTACCCCATATTGTTTCAGAAGACATAATATATAGAGTAAAACCATAAAGAAAACAAGGAAATCGGGATAATGGTTACTCCTGTGGAAGAGGGACAGGATTGTGTTCTAGAAAGCACAATAAGGGGAGGGATGGGTGAGTCTTTGGAGGAGCCAGCATTGTGCTATTTTTCCATTTCCTGACCTGGGGAGGCAGTCACATGGCAATATTCTCATCATCATCACTTTTTATTCAACTGCACACGTGTTTAAGTTCTTTCATGCTTATGAAATTTCTCAATTTTTTTAAAGTCAGCGTGGCCCAAATTGCTAAGTTTTAACAAGCAATTATTAAGTTTTAACATATTCACAAGTGGCTCTACCTTGTGAGACAATTAAAAGGAAATTTTCAAACTGCGAGGGAAAAGAAATAGACTGCTGCATGTACCTTTTAGGAAGCCTAAATGTACTTTCTTATTTTAGGAAATTGAAATGTACCTATTAACTAATATAATTGCTCTTTAAACATAAGTATTTAGTAACACACAGGATTTAATAATATTTGTAATAAAAATATCAGTTTCACCCAATTTTTTTTCTCAAAAAAACCCTCCTTTTCCTGACATTTAATTGTTTTTCTTAGATTTCCTAGCTCTATCATAGTTTTGACAAGGGGGTCAACAAACAGTAGCCTACAGAGTCAAATCTAGCCTACACCTGCTTCTGTAGCTAGGAATGGTTTCTACATTTTTAATGGTTTAAAAGAAATCAAAGGAATATTTTGTGACACGTGAAAATTTTATGAAATTCAAATTTCAGCATCCATAAGCAAAGTTTTATCAGAACACAGCCATGCCCATTCATTTACATATTGTCTACAACTGCTTTTCTGCTAAACAGCAGAGTTAGGTACTTCCAACAGAGACTGCATGGTTCGCAAGGCCTAAGATTCTTTTTTTTTTTTTTTTTTTTTTTTGAGACGATGTCTTGCTCTGTCGCCGAGGCTGGAGTGCAGTGGCGCGATCTCGGGTCACTGCAAGCTCCACCTCCTGGGTTCACGCCACTCTCCTGCCTCAGCCTCCCAGCCTAAAATATTTACTATCTGGTCCTTTACTGAAAAAAATTTGCCAACTCTTGGCCGGGTGCAGTGGCTCACGCCTGTAATCCCAGCACTTTGGGAGGCCGAGGCAGGCGGATCACGAGGTCAGGAGATCGAGACCATCCTGGCTAACACGGTGAAACCCCATCTCTACTAAAAATACAAAAAATTAGCCGGGCGAGGTGGGGGACACCTGTAGTCCCAGCTACTCGGGAGGCTGAGGCAGGAGAATGGCGTGAACCCCAGGGGGCGGAGCCTGCAGTGAGCCGAGATGGCGCCACTGCACTCCAGCCTGGGCGACAGCAAGACTCCGTCTCAAAAAAAAAAAAAAAAAAAGAAAGAAAAAAATGTGCCAACTTTTGTCGTGATCAAAGAAAAGAATATGTCATTTCTTACTTTACTATTCATACCTAAGACTTAAATGTCCAATTGGCAGGAGAAAATATCTTATTTTCTCACAGTCATCACACTTATAGAAAGTAGCTTTGTCAATGCCACAAGAGGGGTATGATTGTCACATGAAGCAAAAATCATGCAAGTGTATCAGACACAAGTTGGGGGAAGGCAGGCCGAGGTACAGAACTTGGGCAAAAGGCAACCATAAAAACAACCAATAGGAAAATGTGCATACTCCTCCAGGCACAACTGCCATTGTAAAACCGGCATTTAGACCAGGCACGGTGGCTCATGCCTATAATCCCAGCACTTTGGGAGGCTAAGGCTGATGGATTATCTGAGGTCAGCAGTTTGAGACCAGCCTGACCAACATGGTGAAACCTCGTCTCTACTAAAAATATAAAATTAGCGGGGCGTGGTGGCACATGCCTGTAGTCCCAGCTACTCGGGAGGCTGAGGCAGAATTGCTTCAACCCAGGAGGCGGAGGTTGCAGTGAGCCGAGATCGCGCCACTGCACTCCAGATGGCAACAAGAGTGAAACTCCATCTCAAAAAAATAATAATAATAATAATAATAATGATAAAAATAAAACCAGCATTTAGGTGTTTATACATAAATCCACGTAAATGAAATACAACAACACAGCTATTCGTAACACAAAAAGTTTTCACCACATATTCACATTGCAGAGAGGTTCCTTCTGTAAAGTTAGAAACTCATTTGTAGTTCATCATCAAGCTACAGTTCTACCTTAAATTAACTGTGATTTGTCTAAATTATTAACAAGTCTGAGTCATATAAAATCATAAGGTAATTAACCCATTACTTCACAGTGTTCAGTCCACAGTCAGTTCTTAGTTTTTAAAAAAAGATTGAATGGCTTAACTTTAATATATCTATTTTCAGTCGTCAACTACGCTTAGTTGACAAAATGTACTTCTCTTGAGCCTTGACTTTGGATGTGGTCATGTGACTTGACCAGTGGGATGTTAGCAGATGTGACATGAACAGATTGGAAGTATTCTTGCATGGTGGGGCTTGTCCTGCTGTGCTCCAGCGTTTTGCCAAGAAAAAATAATTCCTCAGGTAGCCAGTGGTCCAAGCAGGATGAAAGAGATGTGCAGCAGGGCTACACCCAACCCACAGCTGGGAGCCAAGCCCAGCCAAGCCCAGCCTAGATGAACTGACACAAACACACATCAGCAAGAAATAATGGTTACTGTATCATGTCACTGAGTTTTGGGATGGTTTGTTATTGAGTTATGGGGTGGACTGACCTAGGTAGGTATTAGAATACTCATTTTATGAAAGCAGAAACCGGGGCTCTAAAAAGACATCTTACACAAATAATGTGATAGAACTTGGAGATATGGTTCTGGCTGATGTTTCATAAACACATAAATACTGAATGTAAATGAGTATCTGTCCAATTTAAGAAGTGATATATAAAAGCTGCAGTGATCATTTTTCATGCTATCAAAATAGGGTAAATTTCTAATTTTATCTGAGAAGTAGCCTAACTTCTTTTAGCTAGAATTAGTGTTATAATCTATTTATAATAGACTGCTGCTACCAAAAATGGCTTAAGATAGTGGCTTAGGATAGTATGAAATTTTTCTTTAGAAATTATTTTCTTATAGGAGGACTTCTTACTCTAGATAGGTCTATGAAATTGGATTTTTTAAAGCACATTTATTCTCACTCAGCTCTATCTGAAATTTAGCATTTCCTTCAGTTCAGAATGTAGACAACAAACCACAGTAGTAATAGTATTATGTAGGGTTATCTCCAATAGAAATTACAGATATTTTCTATTGTATTACAATTGCTGTAGACATCTAAAATATCTCAAAATCTATACTCATCCTATTTAGACGTTATGGTAGTTACTAGAATCACCACTAGGTCTTCTATTTAATGAATTAATTTAAAAGTCCCTATGTTATTATGTCACACATTTGTTTTAATATTTTGATAGGTTTCTTCTGTATTGTATTTTCAAAAAGCTACCTGGCTGATGAGGTTCCTCAGAGACAGCTGATGTCCGTGGATTGCAGCTTCATGCATAGGAGACCAATCAGACACAGCATCTGTATGGAAAGAGGGGAATGGGTTATATCCTGCTAATGCACTTAGACCCAGAGGCTTATCCTTGCCCATCAATAAGAGCCTAACAGGCCCTGGATGGAGGGAGACATTGGATTCACTCAACCAAAATTCCCATCAGGAATTCAGCATTTCTCTTCTTTATTAATATTTTTTGTGCACAGTTTGTTTGAAATGTCTGGATAGCTTGGGAAAGAACTACAGCCAGTCCTCAAACTAAGGACAAAAGAGGTGGATTGGGATGACAGATTACTCTATTTCTATTTACACACTGGTTTCAAAGGCAAATGGCCCATTTAGTTAAGCGAGAGCTTCACTAATTACCAACATTAGTGTGTTAAGCTGTAGCTGTCAGTCTAGTTTCCTGCATGAAATACAGACTTTGGCATCTCACCAAACAGTGTTCTGTATTAATAGTAGTAATCATGTAATTACATACACCATTAGGTTTGGAATCAAATCTAAACAGAACCATATCTATTTATAGATTATCTCCTGTCCTAATATTAAGCACAAATCAGTGTTCAGTCTCACCTTGAAACAGGGACATTATTTACCCTCAAAGGCAGCATGCCAAGGTGGTTAAAGAAAGCTCTTAATTCAGACCCGCTTCACCTTTTCTGACCTGTGGGTCCCGGGAAAGGCCCAGTGCCGCAGTTTCCTTCTCTGTAAAGTTACAAGTTGAGCAGCCCTAATATATAACATACAGGTTGAGCATCCTTAACCCAAAACTCCCAAATCCAAAATGCTCCAAAATCCAAAGCTTCTTGAGTGCTAACATGATGCCACAAGTGGAAAATTCCACATCTGACATGTGATGGGTTGCAGTCAAAACGTTGTTTCATGCACAAACTTATTTAAAATATTATATAAAATTATCTCAGGTTATGTGTGTAAGGTGTATATAAAACATAAATGCATTTCGTGTTTAGACTTGAGTACCATCCACAAGATAAGTCATTATGTATATGCAAATATTCCAACATCTGAAAAAACTGGAAACACTTCTGGTCCCAAGGATTTCAGAGACGGGATGCTCAACCTGTACTTACCATGGCTCAACACATACTAGCTACTATTATTATCCTGCCCTAACACTAAACAGAGAGTCTTAATTATACCTCATCATCATTGCTATTTAAAATAGCAAATTTACACCAGGCGTGGTGGCTCACACCTGCAATCCCAGCACTTTGAGAGGCCGAGGTGGGCAGATCACCTGAGGTCAGGAGTTCGAGACCAGCCTTGCAACATGGTGAAACACCATCTCTAGTAAAAATGTAAAAATTAGCTGGGTGTGGTGGCTCACGCCTATAATCCCAGCTAGTCGGGAGGCTGAGGCGGGAGAATCGGTTGAACCCGGGAGGCGGAGGTTGCAGTGAGCCGAGATCATGCCACTGCACTCCAGCCTGGGTGACACAGTGAGACTCTGTCTCAAAAAAATAAAATAAAATAGCAAATTTATTCTACAACCACATAGAAGGAAAACAAATTCTTAGGAAAGAAGCCTGAAAACCCAATCCCAACCCATTAAATGCTTTCCTCTCTCTTAATTGAATATAACTGAATGAGGCATAGATCTGATTTTTTTCTCATCTCAAGCTTCATCTGATTTCCAGTAGAAATGTGAGGGAGGCGTGCCTGAACCTGCTTCAGCTCCAGCTCCACCTGCTTCGCCAAACACACTACATACAAACAAGGTAGAAAGGTCTGGTGCCAGTTATGCCTTGCACGGAAGCTAATAGCTCCTAAAAACTGAGAAGACCTGGAGAAGGAGGATACTTAACTATCTATACCTTGCAAACTGAAAGGCTATGAAGTATCCTTTGTATTTAACACATGTTGGCTTAACACTTTGTACTTAACACATGAGGCCCGTCTGTCTGCCACCTGAAGCCATCAGTGCCCTGGAAAATCTGTATTAGTAAGCAAATTACCATTCTTCCAGATGGATTCATTAAGCATTTAGTACATAAAAGGAAGACAAATGAGCCCATCTACATACCGCCCATCCAATGCTTTCCTTCTGGGGTCACTAAAGGTGCTTGAGACAAGGTACATCTTAAGTGAAATGGCTTTTCGTACCGTCAAAACCTCACGCTTAATAGATACTCAATGTCCTCACGGCATTCTCTGAGGCTCCTAATTATTTCTGGAATAATACTGCTGATTCTAGGGCTTGGAAGCTAAAATTCGGACTGCAGACATGGAAAGATTGATCTCCAAATTAGAATTAAAAGGACAACTAATTCCACCCTGTTGGTGCTGATAATGCCAAATACCATTCACACAAAATCTTGAATGAGAACAAAGAGCCACAAATTGAGAAAGGTTTTGAAAATCAGTTTTCAATAGATTTGCAAATGTATCTTGATGGATCACCATATGTATGATGATTAATCCACTTTTTTTTCCAAGTGCTCAGCTGCTAAGAAATACAGCTGCCACATTCCCCAACCTCTCTTAGAGCTCCCTAAGATTATTATTGTCGACAGGCTAAACAGTCCAGGCAGGTAGATTGCATCCTAATTTGTAACTGTCCAGATTTCATAAAAATGACGCATTTATCAAGTGTAGCCACAAATGGTCTTACTTTCTGCTCATTCATCATGGGACCATTACTCTTTCTATTTGGGGCAAATAAAGAAGTACGTACTTCTCCAAGAGAATAACAAGGCTATCTGAATTTGCACCTCTGCAGAATGTAGTGTTTACAGAGCAGAGACAGCTTGTGTCTTTGAGAAGTACAGAGTGTTGTCCTGGTACACGTAGTGAGGGGCTGACAATGTGAATATCTCTAGCTAGCTAGCTAGCAAGCAGCTGTATTGAGATATAATTCACATACCATACAATACACCCATTTAATGTGTACAATTCAGCAGTTTTCAGTATATTCAGAGCTATGCAACCAACACCACAATCAATTTTAGAACATTTTCATCACCCCAAAAAGAAACTCTGTGCCCATTAGCAGTCACTCCACAGTTCTACTTCCCTCAGCCCCTGGCAGCCATGGATCTACTTTCTGTCTCTATGGATTTGCCTATTCTGGACATTTCATATAAATGAAACCATACAGTATGTGGTACTTTGCAACTGGCTTCTTTTATTTAGCATGTTTCAAAGTTTCATCCATGTTGTAGCGTGCATCAGTACTTCATTCCTTTTTTTTTTTTTTTTGGCCAAATAATTCCATTGTATGGATAAGCCACATTTTATGTATTCATTCATCAGCTGATAAAAATTTGTGTCATTTCTACTTCTTGCCTATTATGAATAATGCTGCTATAAACATTCATATACAAGTTTTTGAGCAGATATATGTTTTCAATTCTCCTGAATATGCACCTAAAAGAATTGCTGTATGATATGGTAACACAATGTTTATTTTGAGACTGTTTTCCAAAGTGGCTGCCCTACTGTATGTTCCCATCAGCAGGATATGAGGCTTCCCCTTCTAACATAAAGTCATTTCAGTTCAGGGTTTGTTAAGCCTGTCACAGTATGCCTATGCTCCTGCCCAGAAGAAAAACGTGAGTCCCTGTAAAACTAAAATCCATCTCAAATTTATACAAGGACTTTGACCTCAGCAGGTATCAGAACAAATGAGTGATTATGTGAAAATTTACAGTAGTGACAATTAATAATTTAACATTTTTCTTTGTGTGTAATGTTCTGTTGGTTTTTTGAGACGGAGTCTCATTCTGTCACCCAGGCTGGAGTACAGTGGGGCAATCTTGGCTCACTGCAACCTCCACCTCCTGGGTTCAAGTGGTTCTCCTGCCTCAGCCTCTCAAGTAACTGGGACTACAGGTGCACACCATCACACTCAGTTAATTTTTGTAACTTTAGTAGAGACAGGATTTCACCATGTTGGCCAGGCTGGTCTCCAACTCCTGACCTCAAGTGATCCATGCGCCTCAGCCTCCCAAAGTGCTGGGATTATAGGCATGAGCCACTGCGCCTGGCCTAGTTTAACATTTTTCTAACATTCAGAGAGCATAGATTGTGTGTATGTGTGTGTGTATTAGCAAGAACTTATCTTTCTTTTAAATTGTACCCTCATCAAACCTGGAGCACATTAGGGAGGCTGCCATTTCATTTTTATTGTAATTTGTGGAACATTTTTTTCATTTCCATTATTTCAAAAGAGATTTAAGATGCACTAATTGCTACATGCTGAAAATAGCTATTACTGATGTTCTGAGAACCCCAGTGAATGCTGGGCGGTAGCATAAATCTACTCATCCTGAGAAACGTTTTGCAAAGTCAAGGAGACAAAAAAGAAGTCGGGTTGCTCTGAGGGGACAGGAGTATTTGCCTTCAGTCTTCAGGACACAATAAGGGTGGATTCAGTGGCATGAACCAACCTGCCAGAACCTGGAAAGTATCTGGGTGCTGTATTCACAATTATTGTGGACCTTGGTTTGATCCCAGGACAAACAGAAAGAGGAGAAAAAGAAACAAGAGGCTTACAGTCAGAAACAAACAGAAAGGCCCACTGAGGCAACTCTTGGGCAAGTCAGGCCTGTCCACTGCAGTTCTTTCTCCAGTTCCATCATCCAGCCTCTCCTCTCCTCTTTCTTCTCTCTCTTCTCTCTCTTCTCTTTCCTGTCTCCCTCTCTCTTCTCTCTCTCTCTCTCTCTCTCAATATAAAGCTGCCTTCTCCAAAGGGCCCTCACATTATCACCCATTCTGTCTCAACAGGCAGGTTTTCCCCCAGAAAACTCACCCCTCCTGAGGTGCCCCAATATCTAAAAATTCACCATAAGACAATAAAATTGTTTTCTTTCAATACCTGTTCTAGCTTGTCTTCTGTTTAAATGTGAATACTCTCTACAGGGTGGGCTCAATTTTGCAAGGATAGAAATATCTCTACAGTTGTCAGTCTTCAGGCAAAACCCCAAAAGATAGACACTAACACTGGGAACAGTGATTACCTGCTTGGTGGAATTATGGGTGGTTAGTTTATCCTTCAATGTATTTTCCTAAGTTTCTATGAGTAGGTATAAATTAGCCTCCTAGGGATACCATAACGAAACACCACAAACTGGGTGGCTTAAAACAACAGAAATTTGTTGTCGCCGAGTCCTAGAGGCTAGCAGTTGGCTAGAAGTCTGAAATCAAGGTGTGGACAGGGCCATACTCTATCCAAAGGCTCTAGGGAAAAATCCTTCCTTGCCTCTTCTAGCTTCTGGCAGTGGCCATCAGTCCTTGGTGTTCCTTGGTTTCTAGATGTGTCACTCCTATCTCTGCCTCTGTTGTCACATAGCATTCTCCATGTGTCTCCTTCTCCTTTTCTTATAGGGACTCTGGTCATGTTGGATTAAGGTCCATCCTACCCTACTTACGACCTCACCTGAACTAATCTTAACTAATAAGGTCACATTCTGAGGCACGGGGGTTAAGAACTTAACCATATATATTTTCAGGGTACACAATTTAACTCGTAACAAGCTACTTTCAGGAAAAAATTAAGACATTCTTTCCCTGCTCCTTGGACAGGAGAGTCTAACATGAAACAAATCTCTATAAAGAGTTGGTTGCCCATTTTTATAGCCTTTCCTCCCTCCCTACCCCCAGGGAAGTGGGCAGAAAAACGCCTGCAGGTGGAGGTGGGAGCAGCAAGATGATCCACACCTGGGCCCTATTTTCCCCTCTAACTTGGCCTTGTGCAAAGGGACAAGCTTCACCTGAGCTGAGTTTCTTGGCACAGCTATTTGAAAACAGCATTCTGAGTGTTCCCCATTCCACACTTCACCAAGGTTAAGACCTCAGAAGCATAAACAAAAGCAACCAACTACAATTGAGGTTTTACCCAAGGGGCAGGACTGATGCAAAGCAGACGGAGAATGACTCCACTTGAGTAGGGAGAGGTGGAAAGTCTAGGAGGGCTTCATGGGGGCAATGGCTCAGCTGGGTGTAGAAGGTGAGTAGCAATTTGCCAGTCAGATTCACAACAGGAGGTAAGAAACCAGAAGTATCCAGGCACCTACCCTTGTGACTTCTACTTCTTTGAAAACTTCTCTTCCCTTAGCACCTGTGTAATTACAACATCCAGAATCTCTTTCTGCTTCTCTGTCCAACTTACTGGTCCTACTTCATCAACTGGAGGCCTGTCCCAGGGTTCCATCCTTGGTTGACTCTCAGCTCTTAGCCATTGGACAATTTCTCCCTTCCCTAGGTTTCAACCACAGCCCCTCTGTAGGACATTCTGAGGTATCTGGCTTCTAACCTGTGATCGTTCCTAAGTCTCAGTCCCATGTCATCATACTGTGCACTGGGCATCATTGTTAGCACTATCATGTCCAAAACAGAACTCTGTATCCTCCCCTCCTCATCCTGCATCCAAGGCAACTTCCTTTCCAACTTCCCTCTTATCTAGCTTATCTGACATTACTTTGGGCTTGAGAACCTTATAATTTTGCCTGCCTTCTGTTAGTTCCAACATTTAATCAAGCAACATACGCTGATTTATCTTTCCTTTGAAATCATCGCCCTTTCTCTGTCATTTCCAAAGTTCGATCCAAATGTAAGTTTCATGGTTGGATTAGTGCAGTAGTTTTCAAAGTATGGTCCCTGACCAGTACCATCCATTTCACCTGGGAGTTTGTTATGAATGCAGATTCCTAGGCCCCCACCCCAGGCCTACGACTTCATCAAAAGCTGCATCATCTGCATTTTTTTTTTTTGAGACAGAGTCTCGCTCTGTTGCCCAGGCTGGAGTACAGTGGCATGATCTCAGCTCACTGCAACCTCCGCCCTCCCAAGTTCAAGCAATTCTCCTGCCTCGGCCTCCTAAGTAGCTGGGACTACAGGCATGTGCCAACACACCCAGCTAATTTTTTTTTTTTTTTTTGAGACAGAGTTTCACTCTTGTTGCCCAGGTTGGAGTGCAGTGGTGTGATCTCGGCTCACCACAACCTCTGCCTCCCGGGTTCAAGCGACTTTCCTGCCTCAGCCTCCCGGGTAGCTGGGATTACAGGCATGCACCACCATGCCCGGCTAATTTTGTATTTTTAGTAAAGACTGGGTTTCTCCATGTTGGTCAGGCTGGTCTGGAACTCCCAACCTCAGGTGATCCGCCTGCCTCGGCCTCCCAAAGTGCTGGGATTACAGGTGTGAGGCACTGCACCCAGTCAAATGTTTGTATTTTTAGTAGAGATGGGGTTTCACCATGTTGGATAGGCTGGTCTGGAACTCCTGACCTCAAGTGATCCGCCCACCTCAGCCTCCCAAAGTGCTGGGATTACAGGCGTGAGCCACCGTGCCCAGCCAGAAGCTGCATTATCTGTATTTCAATAAGCTCTCCAGGTGATGTAGAGGCACATGAGAATTTGAGAACCACTGGATGAATGCAACCATCTCCCACGATTCCAACACAATCTATCCCAGCTGTGGCTACCATGTTAATTGACCTACAGCCTTATTACCAGGTCTCTGTTCTAGAACCACCAATGGCTCTCAATTTCCTGCCTCATGAAGCCTGACCTCCTCCACTTAGCTCTTCAAGCTTTATCTGCCACTCCATCTCTTCAAACTTGTTCTCACTAGACTCCCTAAGACATTCACATTTTGCACTCTAGCTGTAAAAACTTGTTGACTTTACAAGCACCATGCCTTTGCGTATAACACCTGCCCACTCCCACTCACCCACCCTGACCCCACCAGGGTTGTATTAGGAACTTTAGAAATCCTGAACAGTTGGCTCACGCCTGTAATCCCAGCACTTTGGGAGGCCAAGGTGGGTGGATCACGAGGTCAGGAGATTGAGACCATCCTGGCTAACATGGTGAAACCCCGTCTCTACTAAAAATACAAAAAATTAGCCGGGCGTGGTGGCGGGCGCCTGTAGTCCCAGCTACTCAGGAGGCTGAGGCAGGAGAATGGCGTGAACCCGGGAGGCGGAGCTTGCAGTGAGCCAAGATTGTGCCACTGCACTCCAGCCTGGGCGACAGAGCGAGACTCCATCTCAAAAAAAAAAAAAAAAAAGAAAAAGAAACCCTAACAGTGAAAAGTGGCTGGTGCCTCTCTCCCATGTGGAAACAAAAATAAATACAATACTTAGCTATAAAATAACCGTGCAGAAGTCAACCAAATTACCGATTCTTTCCCATAATGATTGGTTTGCTGTTTTAAAAATATATTTATCGGCCGGGCACAGTGGCTCACACCTGTAATCCTAGCACTTTGGGAGGCCGAGGCGGGCAGACTTCCCTGAGCTCAGGAGTTGGAGACCAGCCTGGGGCAACATGGTGAAACCCCGTCTCTACTAAAATACAAAAAAAAAACACCCCAAAAAATTAGCCAGGCGTGTGCCTGTAGTCCCACCTAGTCCCTGCCTCTCCCTCCTGAGGCAGAATTGCTTGAACCCAGGAGGCCGAGGTTGCAGTGAGCCGAGATGGTGCCACTGCACTCCAGCCTGGTAACAGAGCGAGACTCCATCTAAAAAAAAAATATATATATATATATAATTATATATATAATTCCTTGTAAAAAGTGGCCGGGCGTGGTGGCTCACGCCTGTAATCCCAGCACTTTGGGAGGCCAAGGCGGGCGGATCACGAGGTCAGGAGATTGAGACCATCCTGGCTAACATGGTGAAACCCCGTCTCTACTAAAAATACAAAAATCAGCTGGGTGTGGTGGCGGACGCCTGTAATCCCAGCTACTCAGGAGGCTGAGGCAGGAAAGTCGCTTGAACACGGGAAGGTGGAGTTTGCAGTGAGCTGAGATTGCTCCACTGCATTCCAGCCTGGGTGACAGAGTGAAACTCCACTTCAAAAAAAACAAAAAAAAAAAAAAAAAAAGAAATTCTTTGTGAAAAGTGATTTTTGATGCCACTCTTGCTTTCCTAGTTCTCCAAACTCATGCTCAATACATCTGCTGATTAATCCAGTTCTGCCTTTGTGGATCTAAATCCCACTCACCATTGAGTACTCTGCTCATTTTATAAGTGAAATTGGATAAATGAATGAATGAATGAGCAGGCTAGTCTACTCAGTCAAAGGGAAGACGTTTTGTGTTTTATTTCTTCCATTTTTACCTTTTTGGTACCTGTATAGTAGATTAATAAACCCTGACTGACGGCCGGGCGTGGTGGCTCACACCTGTAATCCCAGCACTTTGGGAGGCCCAGGCGGGCAGATCACCTGAGGTCAGGAGTTCTAGACCAGCCTGGCCAACGTGGTGAAACCCCGTCTCTACTAAAAATACAAAAATTAGCCGGGTGTGGTGGCGGGCGCTTATAATCCCAGCTACTCGGGAGGCTGAGGCAGGAGAATCTCTTGAACCCGGGAGGCAGAGGTTGCAGTGAGCGGAGATCTCGCCATTGCACTCCAGCCCAGGCGACAGAATGAGACTCCGTCTCAAAAAAACAAAACAAAACAAAACACCCTGACTTCAGGGTCCCTGTTTATTGCCCCTTTGATCAACAGGTGCTGTGGACAGTATACCAGGTATATATTTTTTTCTTTTTTCTTTGATACGGAGTCTCACTCTGTCGCCAGGCTGGAGTGCTGTGGCGAGATCTAGGTGCACTGCAACCTCCGCCTCCCGGGTTCAAGTGATTCTCCTGCCTCAGCCTCCCGAGTAGCTGGGATTACAGGCACGTGCCATCACACCCAGCTAATTTTTGTATTTTAGGTAGCGACGGAATTTCATCATGTTGGCCAGGATGGTATCCTGACATCGTGATCTGCCCGCCTCGGCCTCCGAAAGTACTGGGATTACAGGCGTAAACCACCGTGCCCCGCCTATATATACAGGCCTGAACCCGGGAGGCGGAGGTTGCAGTGAGTCGAGATCGCGCCACTGCACTCCAGCCTGGGCCACAGAGCAAGACTCCGTCTCAAAAAGAAAAAAAAATTAATAAATAATAAATACAGCAATTCAGCAGGGCTGCTGCAACACCAGCTTTCCCAGCTCTGGGTGCTGGGGCTTGTCTCCGTCACAAGCCCCCAAGGATCTCAACAGGGTGAACAACAGTTGCAGAAAGTGAGCTGTTGCCTTCACCCTCACCCTGCTGCTCCCTTTGCTCTCCGAAAGTTACGAACTTTGAGTTTCCTTCCCGATAAACTCCAAGGTTTCCTCACTGATTGGTCTCAGTTTGGGAAAGGACGTGACATCAGCAAGTTTGCAGACTTGGGGCTGGAGAGTTAACCAGTATATTACTAACCAATATACTATTATTTATAAGAACCTGTGTGCAAATGCCTAAACCCATTTTTCAGAATCCTTTCAGCCAACAGGCACCTGCTGAATGCTCACCGAAGTGTGTATTTGTGGGATTCTGTACATTAGCACAGACACCACTTGACAGATGAGAACAATACCTGTAAGATGATTCTCCAATGTTTTAAGTAAAACAAAGTCTCTTTTGTCTCTTTTGAAAGTGACTCAATCAGTGCTCAATGTTTGAACATCTTTATAAACCCTGCCCCACCTAAATGCCAAACACCTAAGACTTACAAATTAAAAAGTTTTAGCATTAAAAATTTTCCTATTTATAAGTAACTTTCAAACCTCCAATTTAATAAATAATGCATTTGACCCACAAAGAATGATTCCTGGGAGCTGAAATTTTCACTGGAGAATAATTTGTGACAATTGAATTTGTCTTGTCTGTAGGATTCTGCAGAAAGAAGTATACACATTTTTGAACAGCTGTGTAAAGAATATATACCAGTGAGCTGTGGACATCTGCCCAGTAACAGCCCCATGGACACCTCACACAGAGCCACTGAAACTGCCCAACCCTCCTCTCCTAAGCACATTAGCCAACCTCCCCAGGGCTGATTCCACTGCCCCTATGACTCACCGCCCATCAATGGGTTTGAAAGAAGCCTGATGCCAGGAAAGTCCCTTGGCCCCGCGGGCTTGCTCCCATCCATGCCCCCTTGTTTGCCATCCATGATGCTCTCTCCTAAGCGAGCAAGCTCTGCGCTCCACTTCAGTTGCTCAGCAAAGTCCAAACTCCATGCTCCCCCTGCTCCTGAAAAATTCCAGTTCTGTGGCTGGCTGAGCTGCACACGTTCTGGTCAAATGGTCTGCAGCAAAGCACAGAGCAGGCAGGGTAATCTGAGTGCTACCTGTGATCAGAGAGAGGCATGCGCTCGTGTACACACACACACACACACACACACACACACGTTTTACCTAACTGGCTGGAGGCCCGCCAGAGGCCACAAGAACCCTCCAGCCCTAAGTCTGCGAAGTTGCTGATGTCACGTCCTTTCCCAAACTGAGACCAATCAGTGAGGAAGCCTTGGAGTTTATCAGGAAGGAAACTCAGTTTGTAACTTTTGAGAGTGAAGGGAGCAGGGTGGGGGTGAAGGAAACAGCTCACTTTCTGCAACTGTTGTTCACCCTGCTGAGATCCGTTTGTTACATGGTAGCTTGTTATGGAGACAAGCCCGAGCACCCAGAGCTGAGAAAGCTGGTTTTGCAGCAGCCCTGCTGAATTGCTTGCACAGTAACATGCACAGCACGCCCTGGCCATCTGTACATGTGCTTTCAATTGTGCTGGGAGTTTCTTATGGGAAATGTGTCTATATGTTACAAAAAATGTACCTTTGGAAAGAACCATTTGTTCCTTTCAGCTGCAAGAATTTCACTAAATGTCCTACCTCACCCCTCCTCCACTCATTTTAACTTCTAAATAAATAATGAACGGTTGCAATTGGAAAAATGGATTGCTAGGTGGCCTGAGATGTGGAAGAGACCTGCTATCTTTTCATTGTGAATTACTAAAATTTATTTTGTTAACGTTTTGCTGTTTTTGCTTATACAAAACATTAGGGGCCGGGCGCGGTGGCTCATGCCTGTAATCCCGGCACTTTGGGAGGCCAAGGCGGGCGGATCACGAGGTCAGGAGTTTGAGACCAGCCTGACTAACATAGTGAAACCCCGTCTCTACTAAAAATACAAAAAAATTAGCTGGGCCTGGTGGCAGGCGCCTGTAATCCCAGCTACTCGGGATGCTGAGGCAGGAGAATCGCTTGAACCCAGGAGGCAGAGGTTGCAGTGAGCCGAGATCATGCCACTGCACTCTAGCCCAGGCGACAGTGCGAGACTCCACCTCAAAAAAAAAAAAATTTGGATGTACTGTGTCCATGTCTTTTCAGATAAACCCAGTTGCCTCACACCCCTGGGTGCTACTTCAGGCTGACAGGCACCTCTAGACTCCCACCATTCCTCTCTTCCAGGTAGAAGAGGATTTTTCATCCCCATGGGGGAAGGCTCTGAGTTAAGTCTCAAGCATAGACTGGCTGTGAAGTGATTGCAGATTTGTCTTAATGCCAAAGATGAGGCCTAGATGTTTTAGATTTACGGAGTCTCAGTTAAAACATTTGGTGGCTGTTATTAACAGTTTGAGGGGTGTAATTCACGTTTTTAAAGGCATTTATATGCATACACATGTATGCACATTTATCAATTTACATTTTCCACATAAATGTACCTATATTATTCTTTTTTTTTTGAGACAGGGTCTCACTTTGTCACCTGGACTCGAGTGCCATGGTGTCATATCGGCTCACTGCAACTTTCACCTCCTGAGCTCAAGCAATTCTCCTGCCTCAGCCTCCTGAGTACCTGGGATTACAGGAGCGCACCACTGTGCCCAGCTAATTTTAGTATTTTTAGTAGAAACAGGGTTTCACCATGTTGGCCAGGCTGGCCTCAAACTCCTGATCTCACGTGATCCCCCTTCCTTGGCCTCCCAAAGTGCTAGGATTACAGGCGTGAGCCACCGCACCCGGCCCCTATATTATTCTATTATTCTATGCTTTTTACACTTATTTTGTCTGTGAGAGCTTTCCATATCAGCTTTTATAGGTATGCTCCTGTCTTTATTCACTGTTGCATAGCATTCCATATTGTGCCAGAAGTATTTAATTATGCTCCTAATGATGCAAGCAGAATGTCATTATTTCTGTTAGTACTATGAAAGGACTAAAGTTCATATTTTTGTACATGTGGCTTTGTGCACATAGGCAAATATTTCTAGAGGAGAGATTCCTAAGAGTGGAAATGCTAAGTCAAAGGCATACTTATGCACATGTAATAAATTGTATAAAACTGAAGACACACACAGGAATGAGTACAAGTAAAACCGGGGAATTGAATAAGATCAGTAGATTGTATGAATGTTGATTTCCCAGTTACAATATTGTACTATAGTTTTGCAAAAAGTCACCATTGAGGGAAACTGGGCAAAGTGCACTGGAGATCTCTATGTGATTTCTTACAACTGCATGTGAATCTGTAATGATCTCAATACAAATTGCACTTTTTGAAAAGAGGCTGCTCATTTAAAATTTGGATAAACACTACTAAACTTCCCTCTATCTCTATTTGCAGAATTAACTGAGAAGGCCATAAGCATACAAATTCTTTACCACTCCATCAGGAAAGATCTGAAGAATGATACATTTGTTTGGCAGAGAGTGAGGAATTGATTCCCAACACAGACTGGATGAGGAGTTGAACAGAAGGGCACAATGGGGAAACTGGATACTATTTCCTTTCCTTCCCAGTAAAATCTTTGTACTACAGCTTCTTTATTTACTTTTAATTAAATTCCAAGTAGATAAGCCTTTTCCATATTCAAAATTAAGTTCCAAAATGACAATAAAGAAGATTTCCAGGTTGTTTCCCTAGTACCTGGGAGGGAATTAATTCATCAGCCTTTAATCTTCTCATTTTATTTATGATGTTGATCAACACCAGTGAATAGGAGGATTGGAGATGAATTTTTAAACTGTTTAACAACAGTTCTTTACAAGGGGAGTTCATGCATTTGTGGATTTGTATGAGGATAAAGTTGAATCACATGTGTATGAGCTTTGATTATGGAGAAATTGGTTGGCTTACCAACAGCCATAAGAGAAAAGCAATCTTACCAACTTCTAGTCAGCCTTGGTGTGTGTCAGTGTGTGTGTCTGGATGTTCAGTGAAATTGGCACAGGTTAGGTTAGAAAACAGAATGATCGTTGCCTGCAGCAGATGATAAGGCCACAGTCATTCCTCACCAGGAGCAGTGTTCACACTAGCCAGGGCCTCTGCCCCACCCCTCACTTAGATGTCCAAGGCACACCTCAGGTATGGTTTAGGAGACTCTTTCCTCCCCAATGTAGCCGGCTCAAGTCCAGCTGCTAAGAGGCTGAAAACTTAAGAAGCGAGAGGTATGGTGAAAGGAAATCAACTTTATCTAAATGCTGCTGAGAGATGAAGCCAGCTGGAATTCCTGGGTGGAGTGGGGACTTGGAGAACTTTTGTGTCTAGCTAAAGAATTGTAAAAGGACCAATCAGCACTCCATAAAAACCCACCAATAGCGCTCTGTGTCTAGCTAAAGGATTGTAAACGCACCAATCAGCACTCTGTAAAAACGCACCAATCAGTGCTCTGTGTCTAGCTAAAGGATTGTAAGCGCACCAATCAGTACTCTGTAAAAATGCACCAATCAGCACTCTGTGTCTAGCTAAAGGATTGTAAATGCACCAATCAGCACTTAAAAACACGCCAATCAGCGCTCTGTGTCCAAAGGATTGTAAATGCACCAATTAGCACTCTGTAAAAACGCACCAATCGGTGCTCTGTGTCTAGCTAAAGGATTGTAAATGCACCAATCAGCACTCTGTAAAATGGACCAATCAGCGCTCTGTAAAATGGACCAATCTGCAGGATGTGGGCGGGGACAAATAAGGGAATAAAAGCTGGCCACCCCCCCAGCCAGCAGCAGCAACCTGCTCGGGTCTCCTTCCATGCTGTGGAAGCTTTGTTCTTTCACTCTCCAGAATAAATCTTGCTGCTGCTCACTCTTTGGGTCTGTGCCACCTTTAAGAGCTGTAACACTCACCACAAAGGTCCATGGTTTCATTCTTGAAGTCAGCAAGACCAAGAACCCACTGGAAGGAACCAACTCCGGACACATTACCAGTTGGAGAATGGCCTGCCTTTGAAAGACCGTTCCAACTTTTTGGGCTGAGTGAAGGGGTTTATGGAGGAAAAAGGTGTGGGAAAATGTGGGAATATCAAGGGAGGGAAGAGCTCTGTGTGTCTCTTTCCCATGGCTATCTTTACTAATCGCCAGCCCGGAAGTCCAGTTTGTGTCATCCTCACTTCTGCCCGGTAGTGGTGGGCTAACTGTTCATAACTCCCCCAAGCAGGAGGATTCTGCTGCTGGGTCTCTGTGCCTTTTTTTTTTTTTTTGCTTAAAAATTGACCCCTGGAATTTCTAAGCAAGCATGTAATTAGATAAGTGAGCACTGTTCACAAAAGTGCCTGGTGGAAAAGAGAGAAACAAAGAGTTTCAAAGTATGTTTCAACGCTGAAAGCAAGAAAGAAAAAAAAAAGTTTTAAAATGCATTTTGAGGCTGGGATGCTCAGTTACACTGAGACCTTGGGGGAGCCTTCAAAGTCACTTCCAATCAGTCAAAGTTGGTCCAGGAGCTGAAGCTTCTTCTTATTTCAGCTGGCAATTTTTCTAGCACAAAACCTTTAACACCTAAAAGGTATACATCTGCTCTGACAACGTGGAATACTCTGCTTCTACTGCTTTAGAGAGAAGTCAGTCAGTCCTACTCCGCCAAGCAGTACGATAAGACTCAAATAAGAATGTGTTTTTTCAAAAATCTGGCATTATGCAGTATTCTTGAGGAAACAATCAGGCGGATCAAAATTGAGAGATAATCACATAACAATGGGACTGGACTCTTCAAAAATGCCAATGGCATGAAAGTCAAAAGCGGGGACGGGAAGCTTTCTAGATTAAAAGAGAATAAAGAGACTTGGTAACTACGTTCGATGCATGATCCTCAAAGAGATCCTGAATGGTGGAACATGACAGAAAATATATCATTAATGCCACAAGTGTGAGAACTTAAATCTGGATATACAGGATAGTTGTGCATCAGTGTCAAACCTCCTGTGTGTGATTACTACACCACAGTTCCACAGGAGAATCTCTGTGTTCTTAGGAGATGCACACTGAACTGCTCTGTGCTGAACCATATGGGAGCAAGAGGCCAAAAGGGAAATGTATGCCTTTATGCATATTTTGCACCAAGTATAAAAAGTTAATGTAAGCTGCGCAGTCAAAACACAAGTATGTATAAAGCCTGCGTTGCCCAATCTGTTTGCATGGCATTGTCACTCCTCAAAAACCCAGCAGCCACATATCCCAGAACCAGAGGCTGATTGGAAACACTATTCTCATTGCACAATAATGCAGGGACATAAACAACAAGAGCCTGTCTTGCAGGCTATTTTGGCTATCATGGGCTTTTTGCCTTAACATTGACTTTTCAAAACAGTGCACTAAAATATGCACATCAATGACTTTTTTTGCCCTCTTAAATTTTTTGCCTCACTCACCTAATCCTGATTCTAGCCCTGGTGAAGGATCATGATGCCCACAACTTACAAATCGTTCATTTTTTTAATATATGGATATGTGTTAATCATATATGAGTTTACATATATGGGTGTGTGTGCACATGTGCATTTATATATGTATATATGTGTATACATTTGTATATGCATATGTATGTGTATACATGCCTGTATATGTATATGTGTGTATATATGCATGTACATGTATATACATACATGTACTTGTATATATGTGTGTGTGCATACACACATACATAGAGAAGCAAATGTAGCAAAATGCTAACAATTGGTGAATTGAGGTGATGGGCATACAGATATTAATTGTTTTATTGAAAATTTTTTGTAAGCTGGAAACTTCAAGATATAACAACGGTGGGAGAAGAAAAATTAATAAATGGAAATTAAGACCTGGTGTACATTTGTTTACAAGCAAATTTGTTAAAATAAGAAGCTACTATTTCAAGTATGATCTGTGTATTTGTCCTGGTACAGGCTCTGCTAAGGGAAGGAGATGATGTATTCCATATACAAATGGAATATATCCATGCAAGTGCCGCCCCTGGCAGTGATAATGCAATGGGTAAAAACGTGAAGTCCTGCAGTGTGGAGAGCATCCTCCCCCACAAGTTGTGGTTATTCAGCGATTCATCCCTCACCATGGCAGCTTCAGGTGATGTCTCTGAAGTGTCAGCTATTCTCTTTGCGTTCAATTCATAAAATCTTCTCAGCAATGAGCATTGTTACTGAAAAAAGATTCATGTACAAACCTCATGTTTATTTGACAAAGCAATATGAGAAATAAAAGACAGGAGAATTACTTTGGGAGAAACAGTTCCTTAATCAAATGTGAACCAAAATTAGAGACGTTGGATTACATACCTAAACATTTAAATAATTTAAGGAATTTAGAAGGTGTTGAGACTTAAATCTTCAAGTGACATAGCAAGCTTATTTTTTATTTTTTATTTTTATTTTTTGAGACGTAGTCTTGTTCTGTTGCCCAGGCTGGAGTGCAGTGGTGCGATCTTGGCTCACTGCAAGCTCCGCCTCCCGAGTTCACGCCATTCTCCTGCCTCAGCCTCCCGAGTAGCTGGGACTACAGGCGCCCGCCAACACGCCTGGCTAATTTTTTGTATTTTTTAGTAGAGACGGGGTTTCACCGTGTTAGCCAGGATGGTCTCGATCTCCTGACCTCGTGATCCGCCCGCCGTGGCCTCCCAAAGTGCTGGGATTACAGGCGTGAGCCACTGCGCCCAGCCTATTTTTTTTAAATAAAAGGTAAAGGTAGATGATGGACTGATACAGTCATATAAATAATAGCTAGCTAAATAGATGGTAAATACATATATGTCTACATAGACATAGTCAGATGGTTTATGGATAGGCAATATTGGGTATTTGGTTATGAAAATATTCATTCCTTAAAATGATTCATTGTGTATATATTTTAAATTATTTTAAACTATTATTTTAAATAGTTTTTATATGTAAACCACACTTCTGGAAATCTAAGAAATACTTCAAACATTTTTGAAGATTTATTTTAAAATGAGGTTGACATCAATGTTATCTATAATAGCAAGAAACTAGAAATAATTTAAGTATCTAACAATATGGAAATACTTAAGGAATATGATATATTTTAAAAGGTTGTCCCAAAGGGTTTGAAACAGAAAATCATTACAATATGGTTTATGGGAAAAGCTGGAATCATAGATACTTTTATAATAGGATATCTATGTTAAATCAGGCAAAGGAATAAAAAATATGATGCACTGAAAATACTGAAAAATCTTAACAGTAAAAGTTAACTAATAAATATTATATACATATGTGAGTAGTTAGTTATTCCAAAATTCAGTCACCCTGCCAGGGACCTTGCCTAATCAGCTTATCTAAAATAGTAAGCCTCTTTCATCACTCTTTAATCTGCTTTATTTTTCTTTTTATCACTTCCTGATATGATATTATATTTGTATTGTTTATTCCCTGTTGTCCTCACTAACACATGAGTTTTTTGGAAGCAAACAGCATGTCTGTCTTTCACAATGTTCTACAGTGTCTGGCACATAGTAGATGCCAAGTAAAAAATGTATTAAAGGAATTAATTGAGAAGCTATCTTAGGGCACTTCAAATATGACTGAAATTGTAAAAATATACTGTTTTGGGAAAAAAACATCCCATATAGTGTAAAAAGTGAAATAATCTGTATTAGTATCTAAGAACCCCAAACCGCAGGCAAAATGGAAACTGAAGGGTTAATTTGATCAGGTCTGTCCGCCCTGCTTGCTTTTGGTGGCTTGCTTTTTGTTATTTCTTTTCTTTTTTCATGAAGCTGAAGGCTACAGTAGTTGAATGCCACCCTGCTGAACTCTGAAACTTAACCTTCACTGGCTACTTTATAAATAACATTCATAGTTCACCACAGTAATGATTGCTTCAGTTGTTTTTCAGGAACTTGGGCCAGCTCCTGTCCAGTTCAAACCAGTTAAGGCCACTGGCTCTTCAACTAGGCCTCCACAAGTGCCTGAGAAATGGCCTTCTGAATGTCAGAAGACCAAAAATGCCACCCTCAGATCATGCTAATGCCACTATTTTGGGTTTATATGTCCTATGTAATGTCATGAACCCTGGCTATGCTTGCACAGAATAAACCTGTTACTTTTATCCCCACTGTCAATTACTTTTCCCCATGCCTTAGACCACCCCACTTCCCTAACCCGTAAATATAGCTAAGGCTTATCTTTGGGAAGGTGGATTTGAGCACTGTTCTCCTGCTTTCTTGCTTGGCAGCCTTGTGAATAAATCTTTTCTCTTTTGCAAAACCCGTATCACAGTGATTGGTTTACTGCATGCAAGCAGAACAAACCTGGATCTAAAGTTGGTAACAAAATAATGTCATAAAAACCAGATGATTAGTCTGATGGTCTAAATATAGCTTAATGGATTAGGCCTTAAAAGGAACTTAAAGATTACCTCTTGTCTAATACATTCATTCATAAATTGTAAGACATCGGCACCACTCTAGGATTCAGGGACCTGGACAATCAGATGGATTCTGGTGAATGGTTGTTCAGGATTTGAGTGCCACCTCCTCCCCCAACACAAATACAGTCCTACCAGTGTTGGGAGGTCCATATAAATGATTTGTGGCATCCATGGTCTGCAGTTGCAGTGGGCAATGGAACACTTCCCTGGGGTCACAGACTGGTTGAATGTCCTAGAGCCTCCCGGGGCTTAACACAGTACTCAGACATTCAGCAAGATCCCAGATGACAAAAAAAAAAAAAAAAAAAAATGCACTCGCGAGAACACTTTGAAGGAAAGCCTCCAATTCCTAAACGTTCTATGATAGGAAGAGACTGTCCGTTCTTTCCTCTTTGATCGTTCCATGGCTAATGATGGCTCAAATGGCTCCTCATCCTGTTTCAAATCCATCCTTTCTTTCAATCAATTTTCCATCTTTAACATTCTTATGACTATTTATTTGTATGTTATTTGATAAGTTTACTATTCATTCCCTTTGCTAATATTTCTATTCATGAACCTATATTATTCTTATTGGTTTGTAAATGAACTCTTTATATGTTGAAATGTAGATATCAGCTGAGATCATTCTGCCCTTCAATATTTGGGGCGCATTGAATTGTACCTCCTTTCATGGCCATTGGACTTACGCTGTACCTTCCTCAAGATTTGTGAAAATTGACTTTCCTAAGGTTTGCAAACACTCTTCAGTTTTTCTCGTCACATCTCTCATAGAAGGAGAATTTGATCCCACCTGAAACAGGTAAGTTTACATATTGTTTTGCCACCACGTCATGCAATACATATATTATAGCATGTAGAGCCAGATAAATAATCTAGGTTCTTTCCTTAATATCTTCTAAAAAATGCACAAGGTATCATATACATTTTAGACTTTACTGAAGGTTTGGGTAATATTTACATCCTTGTTCACCAAAATTCTCCACTGGGAAAAGGAGAAAGCTAAGGGTGGGATCTGACAGTCTCCTTTGCCCTAGAATATTGACTTTTGATCTGCTATAAATGTCACATACAGTTTTCCTCTATTTTGGTTTGCCATTTCATTTTATATATGGCATTTTTTGCAACATAATTTTTGGTGTATTCCAGTTTATCGGTATTTTCCTTTAACCTTTCTGCCTTTGATATATTTCAAAAATGCTTTCCCTTTCATGTATATTCATGTAATTTTCTTATAGTATTTTTATAGCAGTATTTAATTTTTTAAACTTTTTTTTAAAAACAAGATTTGTTTTGGAAATACGATGTAAGATCAAAATGTAACCTTTTCCCCCCAGATAATTAACTAATTAAGATTATTAGATATTCCAAAATTGTAAAAATCAGAAAATGATTTAGAGTACTGTTAATAGAAATGTAATGTGAGCCACACATGTAATGTAAAATGTTATTACAGTCACACTAAAAAAGTAAAAAGAAAGCCAGTGAAATTAATTTTAATAATATATTCTATTTAACCTAATATATTGAAAAGATTATTTCATTGTGTGATCAGCAAAAAAGTTTTTTCGTTTAATTTTATTTGGTATGTAATAACTGTATATATTTATGGGGTACAGAGTGATATTTTAATACCTAGAAGTAATCAAATCAGGGTGATTAGCATATCCATCACCTCAATCATTTATCATTTCTGCTATGAACATTCAAAATCTTCTCTTCTAGGTTTTCGAAAATACATAATAAATTATTGTTAACCACATTTACCCTACAGTGCTATGAAACACTAGAAATTATTTCTTCTATCCAATTATAATTTTGTATCCATTAACCAACATTGCCCTATTGTCCCCTCCTCACTACCCTTCCCAGCCTCTAATAAGCATAATTCTACTCTCTGTTTCTGTGAGCTCAATTTTTTTAGCTTCCACATGTAAGCAAGAACATATGGTGTTTATCTTTCTGTGCGTGACTTACTTAACATAATGTCCTCTAGGCTCATCCATGTTGCTGCAAATGACAGAATTTCCTTCTTTTTTAAGGCTGAATAGTATTTCATTTTGTATATATACCACATTTTCTTTATCCATTGATCTGTTGACAGACATTTAAGTTGATTTCATATCTTGCTTTTCTGAATAGAGCTACAATAAACATGGAGGTGCAACTACCTCTTCCATACATTGATTTCCTTTCTTTCTGATAAATATCCAGTAATGGGATTGCTGAATCATACTTGACAACAACAAAACAAATAATCTGATTTTAAAATGGGCAAAGGATCTGAATAGACATTTCTCCAAAAAAAAGACATACAAATGGCCAACAGGTATATGAAAGAATGCTCGACATCACTAATCATCAGGAAAATGCAAATCAAAACCACAATGAGGTATCATCTTACCCCAGTTAGAATGGCTATCCAAAAAATAGAAAATAACAAATGCTGGTGCAGATGTGGAGAAAAGGGAATTCTTATACACTATTGGTGGGAATGTAAATTACCACAACCACTATGGAAAACAGTATGGAAGTTTTCAAAAAATTAAAAATACAACATCAAAAGCTATTAATATTTCAAAACAAAAAAATAAAAAATAAAACAAAAAAAGAAGAGGCAGGTGGACCAGTTGAGGTCAGGAGTTTGAGACCAGCCTGGCCAACATGGTAAAACCCCATCTCTACTAAAAATACCGAAAATTAGCCGGGCATAGTGGCAGATGCCTGCAATCCCAGCTACTCCAGAGGCTGAGGCAGGAGAATCGCTTGAACCTGGGAGGCAGAGGTTGCAGTGAGCCGAGATCGTGCCATTGCACTCAAGCCTGGGTGACAAAAGCAAAACTTCGTCTCAAAAAAGAAAAGAAAAGAAAAAAGTTCATGTATTTCATATTCTTTTTTTTACTCAGTCATTAAAATGTAATATGTATTTTACACGTGCAACACATCTTAATTCAGCCTAGCCACAATTCCTGTGCTCATTAGCCATATGTGGCTAGTAGCTACCGTATTGAATAGCACAGGCTTAGAGGTTGCAATGAGCCAAGGTCATACCATTGCACTCGAGCCTGGATGACAAAAGTGAAACTCCGTCTAAAAAAGAAAACAAAACAAAGTTCATAATGTTTCATATTCTTTTTTTACTCAATCACTAAAATGTAATATGTATTTTACACTTACAACACATCTTAATTCAGCCTATCCACAATTCCTGTGCTCATTAGCCATATGTAGCTAGCAGCTACTGTATTGAATAGCACAGGCTTAGAGAAGGGTTTCTCACTCTTGGCACTATTGACATTTTGTACCTGATAATTCTTTTTTTTGTTTGTTTTTCTTTCTTTCTTTCTTTCTTTTTTTTTTTTTTGTTTTGAGACGGAGTCTCGCTCTGTCACCCAGGCTGGAGTGCAGTGGCGTGATCTTGGCTTACTGCAATCTCCGCCTCCCGGGTTCAAGTGATTCTCCTGCCTCAGCCTCCCAAGTAGCTGGGACTATAGGCACCTGCCACCACGCCTGGCTAACTTTTGTATTTTTAGTAGAGACAGGGTTTCACCATAGTGGCCAGGCGGTTCTCGAACTCCTGACAGTGCGATCTGCCTGCCTCGGCCTCCCAAAATGCTGGGATTACAGGCGTGAGCCACCATGCCCGGCCAGATCTGATAATTCTTTGTTGCTGGCTCCTGTGCACTGTAGGGTGATTAGCTGCATCCCTGATCTCCACCGTCTAGATGATAGTAGCAATTCTCCCCCAGTTGTTGCAACTAAACATGTCTGCAGACATTGACAAATGTCTCAGTGGGAGTGGGGCAAAATTGTCTCCAGTTGAGAGCCAAAGGTCTAGAAAAATTGGGGGAAAAAAAAACATGTGTGAAATGAGTCTTAGGATGATCTGAGAGGGAATTTTCATTTTAGAACTGAATACTGAACCATGACAGTAATACTTACAATAATTAAAAGTCTATCCAGTTCCCATGTTCTAAATTCACAAAAAAGAGAAAGAATAGAGGAAGAGGAGGGGTGACAGAAGGAGAGAGAAATGAGAAGAAGGAGAAGACAGAAAAGGAGAAGCCTCTTTTTATATACCTTTGTGCTTATTTTGGGCCCCTATCCACAGAAAAAAATATTGACCCAGCATTGAGCCCACTTTGGTGGCTGGCATCAGTATGTAATTATTTCAAAAACCCTGAGCATCTTGACTTTGAAAATAAGCCAGTGCTTGGGTTGCAACATGCCTCAGACAATGCCTGTGGGTTCAGGTTGTTGGGGACACCCAGTGTTCTCAATCCTAGAACTGCTTACTTCAAATAACAGCATTTAATATCAGAAGCAATAAGCAATAGATGCCAACCTCTGGGTGCACTGATCTCTTCCAAAGTCTCTCTTATCAACCAGGACCGCAGTAACTGGAAGCCTCAGTTAACTACAATGTTTCTGAAGTCCTTAACTTTATATATGTATATATATATAAAGTCTATATAAATATATATAACTTTATATATAAAGAACTTTGAAAACATATATATATAAGCTTTATACATATATTAAGGACTTTGAAAACATATATGAACTATATATATTAAGGACTTTGAAAACATTAAATATATGAGTGCATGTGTGTGTGTGTATATATATACGTATATATATATACGTATATGTATGTATATATATATACGTATATATATACAAAAAATCAAAATTATACCAGATTTATTCAAGGAAAGAAAGAAAAAAAGTGGGGAAGGGCTGAAGGAAGGAACTAAATCAAGAACATATCTTGGAATACCTAACATTTGTTATAATCTTATCCACCTGAATTTATATGTGTCTATACAATATTCAGAATGTTGACTTTTAGGTACAAGAAGATCCCGAATCATCAAAAAACAGCCTATTGTTTTCACTCTACTTCACAGTTCTTTTAAGTTTCTTAACAACAAGAGCTAAAAGCTAAATGGTTTCTACTTGCCCCTTGGTTAATGAGAACATTAAACTAACCAGGAGTTTCCACTCCTCAAGTGTTCTAGCTCATGGGGGATTTACTTCGACTGAGCTCATTTAAAGATACTAGGAGTCTAAGCTGTTGAGCTTCTACATTAGGTACTCTAGGTACAGCAGACAACAATCTGTGTCATTCCAAGTATCTTCCCAGGAACACTTAGGACTATTGGTATAGGAGGAATCGTTCGAGTGGCTCTGGCAGATGTAGCTTGTGGATGGCTTGATGACATGCTCGACCGAGACACTTCCGGACACACAGGCGGCAGAGCTGGGAAAGAGCAGGTGGGCCTGAGAGAGAAATAAAAATGGTGTTAACTTCATAGTGGTGGGAGGTGGGGTGGAAGGGGGAAATCAGAGAACTGGAAGAGGCGGAAATTTTCTAAAAGCAGAAGAGAAGCTGGATCTGTATAGGAACTATAGAATGAGGTAGCGGACACTAAATACAGACAGCAGATCCTGATTTGCCCCTCTGGAAGGGATGCATTTCTTTAAGTTAATCTTCCAATGGTACTTGGATTACCAATGTTGAAGAATGAAGCTAACCAGAGGCAAGTTAGGAATGAGGTGTGGGGTCTAAAGGGAATGCATCTCATTCATGTATTGAATGTGCCAATGAAAGTGATACACGGGGCCAGGCACGGTGGCTCACGCCTGTAATCCCAGCACTTTGGGAGGCCAAGGTGGGCGGATCACGAGGTCAGGAGATGGAGACCATCCTGGCTAACACGGTGAAACCCCGTGTCCACTAAAAATACAAAAAATTAGCCGGGTGTGGTGGCGGGTGCCTATAGTCCCAGCTACTCGGGAGGCTGAGGCAGGAGAATGGCGTGAACCCGGGAGGCGGAGCTTGCAGTGAGCCGAGATCGGGCCACTGCACTCCAGCCTGGGCGACAGAGCGAGACTCCGCCTCAAAAAAAAAAAAAAAAAAAGAAAGAAAGAAAGAAAGTAATACACTGGCCAAGGAGAAAATGCAAATGGAAGGACTGAACACGCAGGACTCCAAGACACAGCCACAGAACAGAGGGACAATACGGAAAGGGTGTCAGCGGGAAGTTCCACCTGCGTGGTGACAGAGGCAGTGTTAGGAGATGTGCCAGGGGCCAGATATTCAGCCCTCAAAGTACTCCTGGACCTACCGGCTCTAGCTGCCCATGAGGTGGTGCTGGCTGGGTCTCAACTTAAATCTGAAGAGGCCCTTTATTCTTGCAAGGATTCCAGCTCAATAGAGATCTGCAAGAAGGACTCAAGTCAGACCCTATTGTTCCCTGAAACTGAGTCTCATGGACTCTCAAGGAGTCTCACAGAATCATCATGCCCATGGCTTTGAATGGCTCTGAATCCTTAAGGAAAATCAGCTGATGAGAGTCCAGAATATGGTTGAATAGGATGAATGAGCTTTTGGCTGCAATACTAGTTGCACAGTCATTATTTCCTAACCTGACTGTTATCAGTAAAGATCTCTTCAAGAAAACCTAATTACTGGTCTACACAAAGTTTTCCTTTTCAAAAAAATCCACTGTAACAGCATCTCACACCCCATGAAAAATGATGGACTGCATATGCGAATAGCCAGGTTAACATTTGGCTTCACATTGCCAAGGAGCATCCATGAGATAGAAAGCTACCTGGAGGACCAAACAATCGATCTTAGTTAAAATCTTGGGAAGCAAGAATAGAAAACTTCTTTACCTGTTGTCCTACTTAACCTCCTCTGCAAAATGGTAATGTAGACAAATTGTCCAGTGCCCAGAGACACTGACAGGAGAGTGAACTCTGATGTAGTTGGTATTTAATCTTTCTTTTTTTTTTTTTTTTTTTTTGACAGAATCTCACTCGGTCGCCCAGGCTGAAATGCAGTGGTTCAATCTCAGCTCACTCCAACCTCTGCCTCCCGGGTTTAGGCAGTTCTCTGCCTCAGCCTCCCGGGTAGGTGGGATTACAGGCGGGTGCCACCAAACCCAGCTAATTTTTGTATTTTTAGTAGAGACGGGGTTTCACCATCTTAGCCAGGCTGGTCTTGAACTCCTGACCTCATGGTCTACCCGCCTGGGCCTCCCAAAGTGCTGGGATTACAGGTGTGAGCCACCGCGCCCAGCCAGTATTAATCTTTCTAGAGCAAGTGGCTATATTTATGAAGACAAAGGACAGAGGAGCTAGGCCCTGTCCAGGATATCCAGGTCTACAAATCCTAGTCCTAGAAACATTTTTGATGGAAGAAAATAGGAAATGTGAAAACTTCTATAAACTATAGTCTCTGCTAACAGTTGGAAAGTAGCTGGTATTTCCAAGCTCGGATCTGCTGAGGAAGATCATAATTCTTCTGGTGAAGATTCAAATAAAAGAACAATGATTAATGATCTAGACTATTGAAAATAATCCTGGCCAGGCGCGGTGGCTCACGCCTGAAATCCCTGCACTTTGGGAGGCTGAGGCGGGTGGATCACCTGAGGTCAGGAGTTCGAGACCAGCCTAGCCAACATGATGAAACCCCATCTCTACTAAAAATACAAAAAATTAGCTGGGCGTGGTGGCACGCGCCTGTAATCGCAGCTACTCAGGAGGCTGAAGCAGGAGAATTGCTTGAACCCGGGAGGCGGAGGTTGCAGTGAGCCGAGATCACGCCACTGCACTCCAGCCTGGGCAACAAGAGCAAAACTCCGTCTAAAATAATAATAATAATAATAACAATAATAATAATCTAGACCAGTGGTACGCAAAGTGTGGTCCTCAGACCAGCACCATCAACATCACGTGGGAGCCTGCTAGACATGCAGAGTCACAGGTCCCATCCTAGACCTCCTGAATGAGAATCTGTATTTTAAGGAAATCCTCAAGTGAACTGATATGCATGTTAAATCTTAAGAAGCACTGATTTAGAAAGACTATTCATAAAATGGTTAAAACCAAGCATTCTACTTGGAAGGTATATATGATGTAGTGGTTTCACAAAATGGAACTGGTGAGTGAAATAAGACCCTCCTCACTGAATGTTTCAAAAGATTCAGGGTTGGGGCCTTATGACATTAAGAGTGCACATTCTGATGGCCAGGTGCAGTGGCTCACACCTGTAATCCCAGCACTTTGGAAGGCTGAGGCGGGCGGATCACAATGTCAAGAGATCGAGACCATCCTGGCTAACATGGTGAAACCCCGTCTCTACTAAAAATACAAAAATTAGCTGGGTGTGGTGGTGCACGCCTGTAGTCCCAGCTACTCAGGAGGCTGAGGCAGAAAAATCGCTTGAACCCGGGAGGCAGAGGTTGCAGTGAGCCGAGATCGCACCACTGCACTCCAGCCTGGAGACAGAGTGAGACTCCATCTCAAAAAAAAAAAAAAAAAAAAAAGTGCACACTCTGGGGTCAGATGGCTCAGAATCCTACCTAATTCTATTATGTAGCTAGCTGTGTGACCTTGTCAATGCTTTTCTTTTCCCATTTGTACCTGGCATAGCAACCAGCTACTACCATATAAAGTTCCCACTGCTCTAAAGTTTTAAAAATTCAGTGAGCTTGATCTATGTTTCAAATTTAGCCCAGTGCCTGGCATACGTAGAGCTGAATAATTATAATTATCTTTAATATTCTTCAGGCACACAAATAATCAATATAGGCTCCGAAAATATTTTCTTACTGTATAGACATAAGAGGTTCTCTTCTGAATTGGTTCTCTTCTGAATTTCAGATGCTCGCCTTACCTCTTCTGGCATCAGTAGTTGCTCTTAATGCTCATGGTGGAAACGGGAATGAAGCAATGAAGAATGCAGACCCACCTACTCCCTGATCTGGAGAACAGGCAAACAACCTCACCATTTAGTCGGATTTCTGAAATACTCTGTGTCCTCCCCTACAGACTCTGACTCAAGTCTTTTGAATTTGCCATCAGATTGTCTCCCAATATTACAAAGCAGAGTTTTGGTTTGCTCAATCATACGCTTATGCCAGGACAGAAATGGAAATTCAAGATTTTCGGGGTATAAACAAGGTTTTCTGGTTTTCTTTTTTTTGAGACGGAGTCTCGCTCTGTCACCCAGGCTGGAATGCAGTGGTGTGATCTCTGCTCATCGCAACCTCCGCCTCCCAGGTTCAAGCGATTCTCCTGCCTCAGCCTCCCAAGTAGCTGGAACTACAGGCGCCAGCCACCACATCTGGCTAATTTCTGTATTTTTAGTAGAGACAGGATTTCACCATGCTGGCCAGGCTGGTCTCAAACTCCTGACCTTGTGATCCACCCGCCTCAGCCTCCCAAAGTGCTGGGATTACAGGCGTGAGCCACCACGCCCAGCCGGTTTTCTGGTTATTTTCTTGTTATATAAAATACAAAGCAACACTCTGGTTATAGGTAAATGCCCTTTGGTTGTTAGTGAATATACACAGCATATAAAATCCCAGAAGACAGGTCAGTGACGGCAGGGCCTATCACCTCCCACAATGCCACCTTCAATTAAAAAGAGAAAAGAAAAAGGAAAAAATGCTACAGATGAGACAGGAAGGGGAGAGAATGTGCTTATGGAAGAGGAATGGATACCCAGCCCTTGGTTACCTTCACGGAGCAAGAGTGCCTGCTCCACGCTGCTTTTTGGAGCCGCCAGATCAAGCGCACTTTTGCCCTGAGCATTTCTACGCTTCAGGTTAGCTCCATAGTCGGTTAGCAGGTGGATGACCTCCACATTGGACTGCCTCGCTGCAGCATGGAGTGGGGTGTCCAGCCACTGGCCATGGTCGACACTGGCTCCTTAACAAAACAGATGGCCACAATTCAACACTAAATGTAATGTAAAGCACAATGAGCTTCAAATATAGTCATTGCATATAAAGACATTTTAAGTACCATGACATACTTGACAAATGTTTGAAAATATGCAACTCAAGCCTAGAACCTCAGCAATGCCTACTAAGACTACTTGAAATTCTTTGGTGAGAAAAGTGAATTTAGATAGTTTTAGTCATTTTAAATACTTGCTTTCCCGTATAAACTGTGTGGCATACAAAATAAAGTATTTGAGGCTCCTGTTACATAGTTATTATGTTTTGGGACAAAAGATAAAGCTAAGTTTATTTAGTATTTATATTATTTGGGGCTCAAAAAATGATTTCTGAACTTACTATAGAGAATAGTAAATGATGGGAAATAAAAAAGACAAAAACTTCCTCAAGATAAAAATTCACAACTAAAGGTTTTTACTAAATCTCCACCTTTATGTCAGGGGCTAAGTTTGTTGAATCTTTAACCAAAGAATAGTTTCAAGATATTTCATTTTTCCGGCCGGGCACAGTGGCTCACACCTGTAATCCCAGCACTTTGGGAGACTGAGGAAGGTGGATCACCTGAGGTCAGGAGTTCGAGACCAGCCTGGCCAACATGGTAAAATCCTGTCTCTACTAAAAATACAATAAATTAGCCGGGTGTAGTGGTGTGCGTCTGTAATCCCAGCTACTCCGGCGGCTAGGGCAGGAGAATCGCTTAAACCCTGGAGGTGGAGGTTGCAGTGAGCTGAGGTCACGCCATTGCACTCCAACCTGGGCAATAAGAGCGAAACTTCATCTCAAAAAAAAAAAAGATATTTCATTTTTCCACGGACTCTTGGTTTCTGTATATGCCTTTTAGAATTGCTTTTAAAATGACTAGATACTGTAGCAGGATAGATATAAACTAGCCTGTAGCAAATGTCTGTTTTTACCGTCCAGCATCTTCCTGGCAAGCATACCTAGATTTCCCAAAGGTAAACCACCCTCTTGTTAGTTTCAGTTCTCGTGTTTCCAGTGAAGCCTAATAAATGCAGAGTAGGCTGAAATCTAGGCCTAAACTAATCAATATATTGTATTCCCTTGGCCCCCATGAGGGGTTCAAAGATGGGCATGTGACTTAAAAAGAGCCAATGCTCTTTCTTGCTGCGTATGGATAAGGAGGGCTGTAAGCCCAGGTATTGCTGGCAGCTATCTTGTGACAACCAGGGAGAACAATACCAGGTAAATGGAGTTAACATCAAAGGAAGCAGGACTGAGAAATACAGACACTCATTTCTCTAGAGAAGTTTTGTTTTTAGCATTCAAACATAAAATGCTAACCGAATATTTTTCAACCATGACAAGAACTTCATCTTTGAAGCTGTAGAAAATCAACAAAGTTAACAGGTTTCTTCATGAAAATAATTTTGGAAATTACCTAATTCTAGAAGTTTCTTCACACAGTCTACCCTCTGGTAGGTGCAGGCCACATATAGGGGAGTTCCGAGCTGAGGCACCTCATGGTCAATGTTAACATTATTTGCCAGCAGGATCTCCATGCACTCTCTGTGACCTGGTGGAACACAAGATACCCTCACTCAAGTAAGGGACATATTAAATATTAACAGAATTATAGGATTGCTTATCTGAAATGGGCTTTAGAAATAACCTAGGTTGGCCGGGTGTGGTGGCTCACGCCTGTAATCTCAGCTTTTTGGGAGGCTGAGACCGGCGGATTCCCTGAGGTCAGGAGTTCGAGACCAGCCTGGCCAACATGGTGAAACCCCATCTCTACTAAAAATACAAAAATTAGCTGGGCATGGTGGCACACACCCATAATCCCAGCTACTCGGGAAGCTGAGGCAGGAGAATCACTTGAACCGGGGAGGAGGAGGTTACAGTGAGCCGAGATAGCGCCACTGCACTCCAGCCTGGCCGACAAAGCGAGACTCTGTCTCAAAATAAATAAATAAATAAATTAATTAAATAACCTAGATCTCTTTTTGTAGCATAAAAACATTTTTGTGTTTGTTTTTGGAAATCTTAGGTAGAAACCACCAAAATAATACCAATAAAAAGAGGAGCATGCCCATGCTTCCCCACTCCAGCTCCTCTTTACAGCCCAAGTTAACTTTAACTGAACTAAGGGCTCCAAGTAGCACAGTTGAAATCACTCTCCAGAATGATGCCACCATTTTACAAATGGAAGTGACAAGACCCAGAGGGACAAACGACTAGGCCTATTATTACTCTGAAAAGCTAGTGCTCAAACCCAAGAGAACCCTGTCGCCTCTCCATTACAAATCTCTCATTCTCTTCTTTATCCATGCATGTGAGATTGGATATATGGCCTGCAACAGTACTTTGGTTAGTCTGAAAAATACCTATGAGAAAGAATAAAGAAGTCTTAAGTATAGAATATATTTAAATACACTTTCATATTCAGTGGCTAACAACAACTATGTAAGCAAGCATTCTCTTTTGAGAGTTTGCCCAATAAATAGATAGACATGATAAATTTGCAACCTGTGAATGCTTTGTTCAGGAGAGAGTGCTTCTGAGGTATTGATGGGAGCTTGCAAAGAGTTAGTTCTCTTTGAAGATTTAAATATCTCCCTAAAAAATCATGTCATTACTAATTAATTTAGCCAACCTATTTTTTGTAGATAACATAAAAGTAAGCTTCATTTTAGACCTACCTGATTTATCACAAATTCTAAATTAAGTATAAATATGCATTAAAATGTACAAATCAGGACTGTCAATTCAAACTATTTGTTCACATAATTAAATATTATACCTGAATTACAGCATCAATATGTCAAGGTATTGACTCAAACTATGACTCAGCTTGTTCATAGAGGTTTAGAGCTATAAGAATCCAGAAATAATATCTAGTAAGTCCCTAAAACTACTTGGAAAATACAGGGTATTTAATACATATTTTTGAATAATTCTTGTCTTTTTTTTGAAGAACAAGAAACAGCCTAGTTTGAGTTAAATTTAAATATTCTCAGAAAGTTTTAAAAATGAATACAGAAAAGTTAAATAGCTAGCACTAATACAAGTGTATAAAATAATGAATTTGCTAATCATGCTTACATTCTGTGGATATTTATCCTTAACATGCTTTTACAGTACAGAAAAATATACAGAGACACACAAATTATGTGTTTATTATGAGCATATATATGTTTTATAGGCACATAGATACCAAAAGCTCCAAATATAATCAGTCAAGCACTGCAGACATACTTAATTAATTCAAACCATTCTCAGTACTTATCAATTTTTAAACATTTGTATGGAAATACAAATAATATTAATTTTTACTTCAAAAATTTACTTCAAATCAATATTAAATTTTTAATAAAGACTTTTTGTAATACCAGCACTTTGGAAGGCTGAGGTGGGTGGATCACCTGAGGTCAGGAGTCTGAGACCAGCCTGGCCAACATGATGAAACCCTGTCTTTACTAAAAAATACAAAAATCAGCTGGGCACTGTGACAGGTGCCTGTAATCTCAGCTACGTGGGAGGCTGAGGCAGGAGAATTGCTTGAACCCAGGAGGTGGAGGTTGCAGTGAGCCGAGATTGTGCCATTGCACTCCAGCCTGTGAGACAGAGCAAGACTCTGTCTCAAAAAATAAAAAAAAAATTTAAAAAAATTAAAAAAAAAAGACTTATATGGCTGAGCACGGTGGCTCATGCCTGTAATACCAGCACTTTGGGAGGCCGAGTCAGGTGGATCACCTGAGGTCGAGTTCGAGACCAGAGTGGCCAACATGGTGAAACCCCATCTCTACTAAAAATACAAAAATTAGCCAATTGTGGTGGCGGGCACCTGTAATCCCAGCTACTTGGGAGGCTGAGGCAGGAGAATCGCTTGAACCCAGGAGCCAGAGGTTGCAATGAGCAGAAATCATGCCACTGCACTGCAGCCTGGGCAACAGCACGAGACTCTGTCGAAAAAAAAAAAAAAAAGAAAGAAAGACATTTATATCATTTCCAAAGTAGTTCATTACTCTACAACTTAAAGGACTTACATGATGTTTGGGAAATGACTAACATCAGCTATTAATTAATAAATATGTATTAAATACATTTAGAACATAAAATACATAGATAAATTTAGATTTGGGTCTTTTGCATCATTTAAAGTAATCCACTGGAAAAAATTGGCAAGTGACATGTTTAATAACCTGGAACAAATCTTTCACTTTTGCTTTTTGAAATAAAATATTTCATCTCCAGTTACACCAGCAAAGATCACTATTCTAGAGTGTTTTAACTTCACCATTGTATTTCTGATCTCAGTATAAGAGAACAACTCCCTCACTTGCTATCATCAAAATGTTGCTCTTTGGGTGTGACCTTTGACAAATGGCCTTCTCCTTTCAGTGGCATCTTCTCGGTTCAGGTCTAGTCTGTACATACAGTCTTTAAATTCCTTAAATTTACTATTTTCCTTCACTTGGAAATTAACTGACAACACAGGAGTCTAGAGTCAGCTTCAAGATTACCAATGCTATACTTTGGAAAGTTGCAGCCTTTTCTTTTCAATAACTATGACCTTGAAGTCATCAGCCCATCTAGATTGTGTAACTTATTATGAACGGTTATATTTACTATTCCATTAGAGATAGTATCAGCCTTGGCTTTCAGATACTTTCATAGTTTATTTTAGGTTAGTGGTTGGTATTTTATGGGCTTTAGAGGATAAGCTATTCTTGCCTACTAAGGACAGAGACATAAGCATAGTACAATTCAGGGAAGTCAGAACTACTGCCTTGGCTGTACCAGCTGCCACCAAAACACCAGCAAAGAGGATCTGGAAAGGCCTGCCAATAGACCATCCCCAGGAAATGGGAAATTGGAGTCAGGAAAGCATTCCGAAGTTATAAGTAGGGCTCTTTTGTGCCACACTGGTATTTCCTGAAGATTTAGGCAAATTGAAGTTACTGCTGTGGGATTTCTAGGCCACACATATTCTAATGGTGAGGAAGATCAGGGTCACCCTTGAATGACTAACACTAGACCATTGATTCATACAGATTGGAGTGAGCCCATCAATGTTTCACATGCATTGTGGTGGCTCATTTACCTCTCTTCACTGCCTCATGGATGGGCGAGGCCAGGTGCACCTCCAACTGGGCCTTGGCTCCGAACTCCAGCAGCACATTGACACATGCAGCACTGCCGCTGCAGCAAGCATTGAAGAGGGGTGTGGCTCCGTGAACTGTCACTCCATTGACCTAATGATGGGCAAAGAGAGACCCAAAGGATTTGTTATTTCATTCTCACCATCTCCAAGTATGTCTTCCTATGTATTTGCCTAGAGGAATTCCCCACGCTGGTGAATAAGTGAGGGAACTCCACATCTTTACAGTATTATGAAACCTCATGAAGTTATTGGGTGGATCGAGCGAGTTACTATATGTAAACACTTAAAACATTACATGTCACCCAGTAAGCACTCAATAAGCATTTGCAACAACAATTATTTCCATTTTCCATTTTCCATTAATATGACTCCCCTCTGAATCATGAACAAACATGGCAGGCTGTGGTCCCAAAATCCATGCTTACAAAATCCTTGGCAATTCTCCACAGATCTACTGTCTTTCTTGCCACAACTTCCTCTCTGGTCTACTATAATCCATGCAAATTACACATGCCAGCTGTTACTTCTAGAGATAGCATGACCAAGCCAAAGGGACATAGAAAATAGCCATCAACATTTTCTTAATCCAGTCTATCATTGTTGGACATTTGGGTTGGTTTCACAGGAAGGGGAACATCACACACCGGGGACTGTTGTGGGGTGGGGGGAGGGGGGAGGGATAGCATTAGGATGTAAATGACGAGTTAATGGGTGCAGCACACCAACATGGCACATGTATACATATGTAACAAACCTGCACGTTGTGCACATGTACTCTAAAACTTAAAGTATAATAAAAAATAAAAATAAAAATAAATAAATAAAATTAAAAGATTAAATTTAAAAAAAGGAAAGAAAATAGCCATCAACATGGTGTCTGCAACCATCTTTGGTACCTTGTAGGGATGTGGGAAGCACATGAGAACCAGCAGGGCTGGGAGACATCTTTGTGTATCAGCAATAGATTGGAAAGAACATCGGGAACCGCAGGAGTGGTAGGGAGCCTCTGATGCCATTGAAATATAGGACAGTCAAGTTTGTGATGTGAAACAATTTTGCTTCAACAACTAAGGATGCATGCTTGTGATAATCAGGATTCTAAATGTCCTTGCTTTGGACACAAAAAAAGACTTGTTTCCAGAGTTGCAATATAACCCGTGAAACAGGGTCTTGCTCTGCTATCCAGGCTGGAGTGCAGTGTCATGATCATAGCTCACTGCAGCCTCGAATTCCTAGGCTCAAATGATCCTCCTGCCTCAGCCTCCTGAGCAGCTGGGACTACAGGCGTGCACCACCATGACCCACAAATTTAGAAAAATTATTTGTAGACAGCGTCTAGCTATCTTGCCCAGGCTGGTCTCAAACTCCTGGGTTCAAATGACCCTCCTGCCTCAGCCTGCCAAAGGGCAGGGATTACAGGTGTGAGCCACCACACCCAGCCTAACCCCCATTAAATTGGAAAGTTAAAGATAATATGCTAAGATGGCAGAGACAGACAAGGTCAGGGGAAAATGTGTGTAAATTTATATTGCTAGGGGTTTCTATATTTTTACTAAAAAATATTTGGTAGGACTAGTTTGATTTGTGTTTTACTAAGTTTCATCCTCACCCTCAGTCTAGGAAGTTGTCTTCTTATGCGATTTCCTATAAATTTCTCTTAGTTCACGTCAACAAACATTTATTGAGCATCTACTAGGTGCTAATGTTTTGGAAACAATGATAAGACAATTGCCTCTCCTTGAGTGGGCTGAACAATTGCCTCTCCTTGAGTAGGCTGAATTCCATTAGGGAAGACAAATACAAAAAGAATTTTTTTTAATTTTTTTATTTTTTAGATGGAGTCTTGCTCTGTTGCCAGGCTGGAGTGCAGTGGTGTGATCTCGGCTCACTGCAACCTCCGCCTCCTGGGTTCAAGAGATTCTGCTGCCTTAGGCTCCCAAGAAGCTGGGACTACAGGCGCGTGCCACCATGCCTAGCTAGTTTTTGTATTTTTAGTAGAGACGGGGTTTCACCATGTTGGCCAGGATGGTCTTGATCTCTTGATCTCATGATCTACCTGCCTCAGCCTCCCAAAGTGCTGGGATTACAGGCGTGAGCCACTGTGCCTGGCCAAAAAGAAATCATTTTGAAAATATAATAAATAATTTAGATGACTATGGGAGTAGGATAAAGGAGAGGATAGACTTGGGAAAAACTTAGAAAGTAAAATTAGCAGGAGTTTTTAATTAATTAGATAGGGAGATGAAAGAAATAAGATGACTCTCAGGTTTGCAGCTTGGGAAACCAAGAGGATGTTTCTTTCACCAGGCCTCTGAAACTAGGAACCCAAGATGAGGAGCAGGTCCCAGAGGGAAGAACATGATAAGCTCAGTTACAAATGCACTGAGTTTGAGGTATTCATGGGACTGCCAATTGTGGGGGACTTTCTACTGATGGACCAACTTTCTCTTATTTCGTTTCTCATTCTGATTTAAATGTTAAATGGTGTGCTACAGTATTTATTGGCTGTTTCTTTATAAAATTGACAAAGACAAGGAAACATGTCTTATTCTTCTCTTTGTGCCCAACAAAACCTCCTCTCTGACCTGATATTGTCAGCAGTCTGCCTGTGACTCCAGTCATCTAGCTTGAAAGGAAACGGCTCTCACACAGCCTTCCTTCATCATTACCCATGAGCTGACTGAGTGGTAACTTAGAGAAGCACTACCTAATGAAAATGCATGACCACTTGGCAGGGCACGGTGGCTCACGCCTGTAATCCCAGCACTTTGGGAGGCCAAGGCGGGCGGATCACCTGAGGTCAGGAGTCTGAAACCAGCATCGCTGGTTTCACTAAAAATACAAAAATTACTGCACTAAAAATACAAAAATTAGCTGGACGTGGTGGCGGGCACCTGTAATCCCAGTTACTCAGGAGGCTGAGGCAGGGGAATCGTTCGAATCTAGGAAGTGGAGTTTGCAGTGAGCTGAGATTGTGCCACTGCACTCCAGCTTGGGCAACAGTGTTAGTGAGACTCTGTCTAAAAATAAAAAGATGGAAAAAAAAAAAACAAAAAAAGAAAATGCACGACCACAATGGCATCAGGAAAATTAGTTTTCACAAGGAAGACTTTTATATTCAGTTCTACATGTAGAAACCCGATTTCCATATAAAATGTTTTAAATTGTCATTAAGCACTTAAAAACATTGCAGCTCATAAAGTAAATAATGCAAGGACTGAGTTAAACAACAAAATTAGAAACAAAGAACATCTGGCAACTAAACACAGAAGATTTTTAGAAGTTGTGATTTTATGATTCTATTCTGATATCTGTATTATATATTGCACCTCAGTCACCCTTTGAAAAAAGTTTGGAGATAAATTTAAAATAAGATAAAGTTCAATTCTGTAGGTTTCCCCCAATGTATTATTTATTAAAAGCTCGCTCATTTTGATAATTTTGCTCAATAAAAATAGTTGTTCATTTAAGGTGTTGAATTAAGAGTGTTTTCTATTGTTCTTTAAAATCTTGTTATTAAGCCTCATACAGTGTTAGTGGGATTATAAATTAGTACAACCATTATGGGGAACAGTTTGGAGGTTCATCAGAAAACTAAAAACAGAGATACCATATGATCCAACAATCTTACTGCTGGGTATATACCCAGAAGAAAGGAAAACAGTATATCCAAGAGATATCTGCACTCCCATGTCTGATGCAGCACTGTTCACAATTGCAAAGACCTGAAAGCAACCCAAGTGTCCACCAACAGATGAATGCATAAAGAAAACATGGTACAAGGCCGGGCGCGGTGGCTCACGCCTGTAATCCCAGCACTTTGGGAGGCCGAGGCAGGTGGATCACAAGGTCAGGAGATCAAGACCATCCTGGCTAACACAGTGAAACTCTGTCTCTACTAAAAATACAAAAATTAGCCGGGCGTGGCGGCGTGTGCCTGTAGTCCCAGCTGCTGGGGAGGCTGAGGCAGGAGAATGGCGTGAACCCCGGCAGAGCTTGCAGTGAGCGGAGATTGTGCCACTGCACTCCAGCCTGGGCGACAGAGTGAGACTCCGTCTCAAAAACAAAACAAAACAAAACAAAAAAAAAACATGGTACAATAAAGATTTCTTAAGGTCAGCAACACAGTTTTAAAAGGTTCCTGTGAGTTGCCATGTCTGAATATTTACACACAGGGGGGTAAGTTGAAGAGAGAGGAGTAGCCTAAATGATGGAATACGGACATGGATAGAACCAGCCCAGCCCTTACCCACAGTGGGTAAGCCATCTGGAAGGTAAACTATCATTAAACATTAACAGATGCATCTGGCCAGACAGACCCAAGTGGGCAGGGGCAGTACTCACGTGTGCACCATTTTCCAATAAGGCTTTGGCACAGGCCACGTGACCTCCAAGGCATGCCTCGTGGAGAGAAGACACCCGGTTAATTGTCACAAGGTTCACATTGACACCCTATAATTTAGAAAGAAGAGAGTTTATTTATTTTTTACAGACTGGGGTCTCACTGTGTTGCCCAGGCTGGTCTCAAACTCCTGGCCTCAAGTGATCTTCCTGCCTCAGCATCCTGAGTAGCTGGGATTTCAAGTGCAAGCCACCAAGCCCAGCAGAAGAGAGTGAAATACTGCATTAGTGATAGCAATGAAAGCAATGTTGTTTCACATGTTTCTGACATTTTCACAGTCTGTGGGTGTAATATTAGTACCATAGAGAGAGAAGTAGAAGTTACGATCAGGGGAGCCTAAAGACAGCATGACAGCCTCACATTCATTTATCCAAAAGAATGTTAATTCTGCATTCTGGAGCAGGTAATGTACTAGGACCTGGGTCTTCAAAACTTATGACATGGGTCTCTCTTCTCCCAGAGCCTACTGGGGAGGCAGAAATGAAAGACAAAAGAGCAAGAATATTGCTATACTGGAAGCATGTCCAAAATTAGTTTGGGAGCATAGGATATCCTTGAATCTGGCTTGGGGAGTAAGAAAAACCTTGCAAATGAGGTAGTATTTAGCTAAGACTTGAAGCATAAAATGTTTCAAGCTGTGAAGACCAAGAAAGAGTATGCCATTAGGAGAGAATAGAAACTGCAAATTCAGGAAGCAACAGGAAGTTATTTCCTGTTGCTTCCTGTTGCTTCCTGTGGCAGGGCCACAGTCGGATTTCTGGAACAGAAAGAACCCACAGAAAGTAGAAGCAGGAGATGGGAGGAGACAAAGGAGGACAGTAAGCTGGAGCTAGGTCATGAAAGGCCTTGATTTCCAAACAAGGAGGGCATGTCTTAGAGGAAATGGAGCACCTATGAAGTCTGCTAGGCTGCGGAGGGTCTGGAGCTAATAGATTAGCCTTTTTAGAAGCTTACTGGTAGCAGCATGGAGGGTTGATTGCAGGAGTAGGGATGTAAGACCAAAGCAAGGAGAGCCACAGAGATGTCACTATGAGTCTAGGAACAGGCTGGCATGGGCCTGCTGTGGCTGTGAATAACAGTAGGTATGAGGTATAGATGATGGAGTGCAGACAAGTTCAGGAGGTCGAGCTGGATCTGAAACAAAACAATAACTCCCAGGCTTAAGAGTAAGTAGACTGTGCTCCTAGGATTCATGTGCTGTGGAGTAGCAGCACTGCTTCAGCCATGACTCCACTGTGTGCAGAGGTCTCTGAAGTCCTAGAGTCCGGGGCCAGCGGACTTCTCCTAACCTTCATCTCCTCACCCAGGTATGAGTGCCTCCACCCTGTCCTAACACATTCTCCCTCCCCATACTACCATGTGTCCCCTTCCTTGTCCTGGACTCCATGTGACAGATGACAAGGTCAGCCTAGCTGCTGGACAACTCTGACTTCATAACCTGATTTTAACAACTTGGCTCTTACCATTTCCCTCCCTCTGATGATCACGTTCTATCTGCAAAAGTGTTGACAAAAACAGTCAAACTATAAAATATTTGAAGAGATTTATTCTGAGCCAAATATAAGTGACCAATGGCCTGTGACAAGCTCTCAGGAGATCCAGAGAACATGTGCCCAGGGTAGTCAGGGCACAGCCTAGTTTTATACATTTTAGGGAAACATGAGACATCAATCAAATACATGTAAAATGTACATTTGTTTGGCCTGGGAAGGTTGGACAACTCAAAGTGGGGGCCTGGGGCTCCAGATTATAGACAGATTGAAAATTTTTCTGATTGGCAATTGGTTGAAAGAGTTATTATCAATAGAAATGTCTGTCTGGGTTACAATAAGGGGTTGTGGAGACAAAAGTTTTATCATGTGGATGAAGCCTCCAGGTAGCAGGCTTCAGAGAGAATAGATTGTAAATGTTTCTTATCAGACTTAAGGTCTGTGTTGATGTTAAATTCTGGTCATCTTTTCCTGAGTTCCAAAAGGGAGGAGGGTATAATGAGGCATGTTCAACCCCCCTTTCCTGTCATGGCCTGAACCAGTTTTTCAGGTTAGTTTTGGAATGCCCTGGCTGAGAGGAGGGGTACATTCAGATGGTTGGAGAGGGGGTGCTTAGAATTTTATTTTTGATTTATAAAAGGAATTAGGTCCCTGGTCTGTCCTTCCCAGCCGAGTCCTGCTTTTGATCCTATGCCTTGTAACTGACCAACTGAAAGCTTCCAAAACCCAATGCCATGACCCTGAACCCCGAACTCCTACTTACACGGCCACCATCTCCTGCCAGATCTCTGGCTGCATCCTTGCTGTGGCCAGCAGCTGTGATTTCCCAGAATTGTCCCTTCATCATAAGGCCTCTTTTTGACTCCTGAATTCTGTCTATTTTCATGTCCTGAATATGACATCATTACTCTAGATCTGTGCTACATATTTCAAACTGGGCATCTAATAAGAGTTAGAAAAAGTCTTTTCATTTTTCTTTTCCTTTTGAGAAAATAAGAAAAAACAGACTAGTCCACAAGGTGGCAGAAGTGTGCTAGAAAAAACTGTTACGGTGCAAAATCTCAGAATCCCTGAAATTGTAGAAATGTGATGCTGGAAAGGCCTGAAAGATCATCTAGAGTGGATCACCTCAATTGTGCATGAGAAAATGGAGGAGTAGAATGTTCAAATACTTTTTAAGACTGGTTGTCAGTGACAGCCAGCAGTGTAACCAAGAGCTCCTGAATCTTGGTTTAATGTTTTACTCACATTTACTCACATTAGCTTAATGTTTTACTCATATCGGTTTAATGTTTTACTCACATCGATCATATTATCTAAATGTAAAATAAAGTTTATAAAAGTAGACAAATACATTTTTTAACAGTGTATAAGAGTAAAGAAGTAGGGGTGTAAAAGAAAAAGTTGAACTTTTGTATAAAGAATGCCCCCTTACACATTTAACCATATTATTGAAGCTAATATGCTTATTAAGTATAGTTAGTGCAATGTGGGATCCTGGAACAGAAATAGGACATGAGAGGAAAAACTGGTGAAATCACAATAGTGTGCAGTTTAGTCAGTGGTATTGTATCAATGTTAACTTCGTATTTTTGACTAATGTACCATAGCTATGTAAGATGTCAATATTAAAGGAAGTTGGGTGAAGGGTACAGTGTATATGGGAACTGTCTGTATCCTTTTCAACTCTTCTTTAAAATTATACAAAAATTTAAAAAGCCTATTAAAAATATACCAATGAAAGTATTGAGGTGGGAGACTGAGAGAGAAGAGGTGGGTGGGAGACTGAGAGAGAAGAGGTGGGTGCAAGACGTTTCATTGTGCACCTTTTTAATTTTATTTATTTATTTATTTTATTGAGACAGAGTTTCACTCTTTCACCCAGGCTGGAGTGAAGTGACGCGATCTCGGTTCACTGCAACCTCCACCCCGCCAGGTTCAAACGATTTTCCTGCCTCAGCCTCCCAAGTAGCTGGGATTATAGGCGCCCACCACCACGCCTGGCTAATTTTTGTACTTTTAGTACAGATGGGGTTTCACCATGTTGCCCAGGCTGGTCTCGAACTCCTGACCTCAGGTGATCCACCCACCTTGGCCTCCTAAAGTGCTAGGATTACAGGCGTGAGCCACCACATCCGGCCAGTCCACCTTTTTAAATAATTGTAATTTTTGAACTATGTGAATATATTACCTATTAAAAATAATCAAATCACATCCAATTTAAAGTACTTAAAAATAAATAAGCAAGTGATAAAATCAGGTACAAAGTTCATTTGATCATTGCTGGCAGTGCTGATTTCCATTTACCTCTACTTTTTAAGAAGTAACACAACTCATAAAGGAGAAATCAAAAAACAAATAAATGAAAAATACATACACATGCACACACAGACAGAGAGAGAGAGACAGAGAGAGAGAGAGAAAGAAAAAGAGAGAGAGAGAGCAGTGCACCCAGTGGTTTAAATTCAAAGTAGCAAGAAAGCCAGATGATTGCCTAGTTGTGGAAGAAAGACATGATGGCTTACCTCCTCTGTATAAATGTAGACCCTAAAACATACAAAGCAAATGGAGCCTGCACACTTTCATTCATTCATTTCACAAATACTTACCAGGCCCCTACTCATTTTTCAAGGTGCTGGGGATGTAGTCATAAATATAAATAAAGTAGCCTTCATAACTAAGACTTCAATAAATGTTCCCTGGGGAGTCAGATTTACCCATTGTCAACCTATTTTAATGCTTGTTCTTAAAATAGTGTATCATTGGGATAGGCAGCCTCTAAGATAGCACCCAGTAATCCTGGAATCCAGGTATTGCCTCCCTTGTATAATCCCTGCCCCTTGAGTGTGGGCTGGACTTGTTGACTCACACCTAATGAGTAGAATATGGCAGAAGTGACAGAATGTCACTTCGGAGATGAGGTTATAAAACAACTGTGACTTCCTTCTTAGGTACCTCTTGCACTCTCTCTGAGAGAAGCCAGCTGCCATCTCATGACACAGCCCTGTGGAGAGGCTCATGTGGCAAGGAATTGAGGTTTCCCAACAACCACGTGAGTGAGTTTGAAAGCAGATCCTGCCCGCCTTGAGCCATGAGATGACTGCAGCCCTGGCTGACACGTGGCAGCCTGTGAGAGACCCAGAGCCAGAATCACCTAGCTAAGCTGCTCCCTGGCCCACAGAAACCATGAAAATCCAAGTTTCTGTTGTTTTCAGCCATTATGCTTTGAGGTCATTTTTTAGGCAGCAATAGCTGACTAACTTAGCTTCAGGACTGCTGGTGCTAATGCATGCTGGAAGAGCATGAGGTGAGTTAGTGCAACAAACATTTGAGAGCATTCTCTATCATTCCTCATAGGGAAACTTCTTATGAGGTAAAGGAAGGCCCAGAGGAAAAGGAGGGAACTGGGCTGAAAATGAAGGAGCTCTCCAGGAAAGGAGAGGCAGGAGGAGGAGAGGCAGTGAGGTATGAGAGGACATACGTGCCTCGAATGGCAATGGTGGGACCTGGATAGGGTGAGCCACACCTCTGCTACAGCCAAAGCTAATAAAGAATGATGTGTAATTATAGCATAAGCATGAAGGATCAAGTCTTCAGTTCACTTACTTGTGCAATTAAAGTTTTAAGGGCCAGTAAGCGCCCCTGAGCTGCAGCTTCATGAAGTGGGGATCGATCAGCCCAGCAATCTGAAACACAAATCAAGCTCAAAGTCAAGGCCTGGAGACTTCTTCCTGTAACTTGTCCATGCTGCCCACCCACTGTGAGAGGAGGTTTGGGGGAAGAGGAGGGAAGAGGAGGGAAGCAGGTATCACGCATCAGGCTCTCTCGTCAGCCACTTTCAGGGAGACAAGCTACTGAATGTTAAAGTCCTTTACGGTTTGGTGGTGCGTGCCAAGAGAAGGAACAGTCAATCTCTCTGGCTTTTGGGAGGCAATTTTAATAAGCAATAGATTTAGTTCAAAAATATAGTGCTCAGTGCTTGAATCCGATAGCTCTATGTAAGGCAAAATGAAGGGCCAAGAAAGTCAATGAGCCTCCACATTTTTATCCTTCCCCTGCCTTCCACCTTCATCCACACCCCAAAGACTCAACAGCCTGTGTATTATGAAGGAGACTCTAAGGCAGGGGTGTCCAATCTTTTGGTTTCCCTGGGCCGCATTGGAAGGAGTATTGTCTTGGGCCACACATGAAATATACTAACACTAACAATATCTGATGAGCTAAAAAATAAAAATCACAAAAAAATCTCGTAAGTTTTACGAAAATTTATGAATTTGTGTTGGGCCACATTCACAGCCATCCTGGGCCACGAGTTGGACAAGCTTGCTCTGAGGGATCAGTGAAAATGTTTTTTTCCCCAAATTCTCTAGGTAATTTTATCTGCTTCATTTGATAATGAAGACATATCTATTATACTGCAGAATGTCATTTTTCAGACAATTTAATCTCCCAAAAGTTTTTCCCTAAAAGCTTTGTTGTGGGCAGCTTAGTGTGATGACTGAGCATGGGCCAGTGGAGCCAGACTGCTAGGGTTCAAGTCCTACCTTGATCACTTTCTCTGCCAAATTCAGCAAGTTACCAAAATTACTTGAACCCCAGTTTCCTTACTGGTAAGATGGAAATATAATAATCTGATATTTGTCAAGTGCATTGGTCTCTAAGTAGGCCAATCAAATACAACCGCGATGTTAAGTGCTCCGGACATTGTATGATTAATAAGTAGGCACAGTAGAGCAGTGCCATAAGGAACAGCCTTAGAGCCGCCTTCCAGACATATTTTTCTTATAATTGCTTATCTGCAAACAAGACTAACTAGTTTAAATGAGCATTTGAGAAGTAACCCCCCATTAAACCTGCCAAAGGGCAATCAATTGTTTTGGAAGAAAACCTACTCCAGTTTGCAAAATGTAGGACTTTTTCACATTATGGTTGTGCTTTTCATGCACTGAATAGAATGTAATATAATTTGGATTTAACACAAAGGCTCCTCAACCTCTTGTGGGTGATCCTGATGGTGTTAAAAACTCAGGTTTCCATACCTATAAACTTGGTGAAACGAAAATCCCAGCAAAAATGGAATTGTGTGAATTTGAAATAACTGAAGGCCTTAAGGAAAGAAAGAATTTTTCCAGTGGATGAGAATCAGGGTTAGAAACATTTCAATAAGCCCTCCTCCTACACTGAAACTCAATGTATGAACTTCTCTCACCCTTTGGGTTCTGAAAATGGGGGAAACTTGAATGCACTTTACGAGGTTGGATTGATATTGGAGCAATTAGCATGAAAATGTGATTTTCAATATATCTAGATATAAAAGTAAATTTAAATGTAAAACATAGATGTGCGTATATACGTATTTTTTTTTAGCATGGTGCACTGAGAAAACCTGAACCCGGACTCCTTAGAGAAATGTTGATCCCAGGTCTGGGCCAGGTAAAATACAAGATGGGCCTTAAACATCTTCCAAGAAAGTAAGAAAGTGCTGGCCAGGCTCACGCCTGTAATCCCAGCACTTTGGGAAGCTGAGGCGGGCAGATCACGAGGTTAGGAGTTCGAGACCAGCCTGGCCAGCATGGTGAAACCCTGTCTCTGATAAAAATACAAAAATTAGGGTGTGGTGGTGCACGCCTGTAGTGCCAGCTACTCAGGAGGCTGAGGCAGAAGAATCGCTTGAACCCGGGAGGCAGAGGTTGCAGTGAGCTAAGATTATGCCACTGTACTCTGGCCTGGGTGACAAAAAGACACAGATGCTGGCTTGATGGGGCTTCCATTGGCCAAATATGGGAAAACCTGATTTCAAAATAAACAATAAGAGATTATATCTTATCAAATAAAATGGTAATCTAGAAGTCCTCACTGATATAAATGAATATATAAAGACAGAGAAGAGAAAGTGCTTCCTTATAATAAAATCCCAACTTAGAAATTGAAGAAATAATAGAATCAGCTTCAACTCATCTCCCTGCAAAATAATGACTAACTAGAAAAGGAACAGGGATAATTTTATAGAACAGAATTGTAGACATCACTTTGCCCAAGTGATCAAAGTTAACATCAGCAAAGTTAACACCAGTGATGGAACAGATTGTCATCTGATGGAATGCGATGAGCAACATCATGTGCCATAAGAAGAAACATAATGAGAAGAACACACCACCGCTTCTGTGATATTTCTGCCCAAAATGCATAACCAAAATCTGATAAGGAGGAAACTGTGCACCAACCCAAACTGAGGGGACATTTTACAAAATAATTGGAGAGACTGAGGAACAGTTCCAGATTGAAAGGGATGACGAAACGCGCTATCTAAAGGCAAGACACCTGATCCTTTTGCTATAAAGGACATTATTAGGACCGTTGGCTAAACATGAATGGAGTCTCTGGGTGAAGAGAAGCAGGAATTTTTTTGTACTGTTCTTGTAACTTTTCTGTCGGCTGAAATTATTTCCAAACATTTTAACAAGAAAAAAAAAGATTAGATAGATAGATAGATAGATAGATAGATAGATAGATAGATAGAATCACTGGTGATCCCATACTCCTGATATGAATGTGTATTGCTTTTTATAATAACAAAGAAAAACAGATAAAAAATTTTCCAAAGAAAATAATTATATGCAATAGACATCATCAATTTTATGTTTTTTGACTTTTATCTTAAGTTCAGGGGTACATGTGCAGGATGTGCAGGTTTGTTCCATAGGTAAACTTGTGCCATGGGGGTTTGTTTTACAGAGTATTTCATCACCCAGGTATTAAGCCTAGTATCCTTTAGTTATTTTTCCTGATCGTCTCACTCCTCCTACCCTCCACCCTCCAATAGGCCCCAGTGTATGTTGTTCCCCTCTACGTGTCCATGTGTTCTCATCATTTAGCTCCACTTATAAGTGAGAACATGTGGCATTTGGTTTTCTGTTCCTGTTAGTTTTCTAAGGATAATGGCCTCCAGCTCCATCCATGTCTCTGCAAAGGACATGATCTCATTCTTTTTTATGACTACATAGTATTGCATAATGTATATGTACCACATTTTCTTTACCCAGTCTGTCATTGATGGGCATTTGGGTTGAGTCCATGTCTTTGTTATTGTGATTAGTGCTGTAATGAACATATGCACGTATGTGTCCTTATAACAGAACAATTCATATGCCTTTAGGTATATACCCAGTAATGGGATTGCTGAGTCGAATGGTATTTCAAAAACAGATAAAAATTTTTAACATGAGCATATATTGCATTTGTATTTACCCTTGTCTTTAGTTGGTTGAAAGCTGACAAGTAGAATATTTTAAACTCTCTTTGAGGCCGGGTGCAGTGGCTCACGCTGTAATCCCAGCACTTTGGGAGGCTGAGGCAGGTGGATCACCTGAGGTCAGGAGTTTGAAACCAGCCTGGCCAACATGAAACCCCATCTCTACTAAAAATATAAAAATTAGCCTGGCACGGTGGTAGGCGCCTGTAATCCCAGCTACTTGGGAGGCTGAGGCAGGAGAATCACTTGAACCCGGGAGGTGGAGGCTGCAGTGAGCCAAGATCACGCCATTGCACTCCAGCTTGGGTGACACAGTGACACTTTGTCTCAAACAACAACAACAACAACAACAACAACAACAACTCTTTGGATATTTATAATTTGCATAAACTGGAAATAATGAGACAATGTATGCATATAATTACCAATTAGTGAGGCTTTTCCTCTAATATGTCTGCATCTCATTCAATATGAAATGTACTTCAGACATGTTACGCTCTTGCCTAGTTGCTCTTGGAAGTGAATGCATGCACTGGGGTTGGTAGGACAGTCTTTACCCATGGCTGCCAGCTCGGCACCCTGACCAATGGAAGAGGCAAACCCATAACTGTGGCTTTGTCATTTCATTGTTCTGACAATAACCAGTCAACCTGAGTCACTTGAAGGTACTGTAAGTATTCCATTTAAAAATAAAGACAGGATTTAAGTGGCAACTTGCAATTAAAAGAGTTAACATAGGTTATCAACACGAATGTTTTCATTATTTCTAAAACTTGTCTCCAAGTGGGCTGTGGTGATCCTCATTTTCTAGTAACTTTCCGTTACTTATCAGTCCCATTAGACTCAAGTCATATACACAACATGGATAAATCTCACAAACCTAATGTTGAGTGAAAGAAGCCAGACACAAAAGAACATGTACCGTGTGATTTGGTTTCTATAAAGCAGCAGTCCCCAACCTTTTTGCCACCAAGGACTGGTTTCATGGAAGACAATTTTTCCACAGATGAGGGTGGGCAGGGGATGGTTTCAGGATGACACTGTACCACCTCAGATCATCAGGCATTAGATTCTCATAAAGAGAATGTAATCTAGGTCCCTTGCATGTGCAGTTCACAATAGGGCTCACACTCCTATGAGAATCTAATGCCACCACTGATCTGACAGAAGGCGGAGCTCAAGCAGTAATGTCCCTCACCTGCCGCTCACCTCCTGCTGTATGGCCCAGTTCCTAACAGGCCATGGACTGGTACTGGTCTGTGGCCTGGGGGTTGGAGACCCCTGCTATAAAGTACACAAGGAAGGGAAACTTGCCTTGGGTGTTAGGAGTCAAAAGCACCCCGAGGAGGGGTGAGGACTGTTTGCAAGAGGGCATGGTGGGGGCCATGCTGATAATATGCAATTTCTTGCTCTTAGGTGCTGGTTCCTGACTGTGTTCACTTTGTGAAAATTCATGCAGTTGTTCACTTAGGATTTGTGCATGTCTCTGTATTTACATCATACTTTCATGAAGAGTTTCTAAAGTAACACAGACTAGCCCTCTTTCTAGCTGTAATCTCTGATCCTCTTCACAGCTCCTGGCCTTTTCCCACTCCCAGGGCAGGGTATGGCCTTCTCCAGCCCACCCAGCAGCTGGAGACAGAAGGGCAGCATGTTCTTCACATGCTTCCCACCTCCTTCTTCTAGGGTCCAACCCTTTAGTGCCTTGGGAGTGGGGAGAAACAAGAGGGACAGGAAAGGGAAATGGGATGGGAAGTGTTAACTGGAAGAGGAGGCTGGTCCTGCTTGATCAGTCTCAACTGCAGGCCTCACTCCAGGTCTGTGGCATGCCCTTCACACTGGGGCTTACACCCATGTACCTTTTCTACCCATTGGCATTTGGCCACCTCTCCTAGTGTCTGTCATCACTGCAGCATCCTCTGATGTCCCCAACTCTGATCCTGTGCCTCTGAGATCAAGGTTAACAAGCCTGTGGTGCCATCTTTCATTCCACCAAGAAAGAGGGAATGGTGGTTGTCCTGGGCTTCTCCCTCACCACATTGCTGCTTTCCAATTCTCTTCCTCATATTCATCTGGCATGGGGGGTTCAGCAAGTTGTCTCTCTAAGCAGATTTCCAACTTGAGAGTGAAATTCCAGGCTCCCCTCCTTTTGAATGCCCCTTATCTAAACTTGTATTGCTCCCAGAGTACCCATCCCATAGCTTCCAGTGAAGGGGGGAAAAGCCTTGCTTTGCTGAATGGTAACACCCCAAAATGCATGACAACCACTGCTCCACATGAAGCTGTCTCATGGCTAGGAAGTATCAGAAATAGGACTGAAACCCTAGTTATGGGGACTTTAGAACACACCTTGTTCTGGTTTTAAGAACTATTGGTTTTTAATTTCTCCTTATTCTCGTGGTAGATTGACTTGTCTTGGGTTGCTCTGACATCCACCTCCTCTTTATAAATCAGGGGTCCCTAACCCCTGGGCCATTCCGTGGCCTGTTAGGAACCGGGCTGCACAGCAGGAAGTGAGCAGCAGGTGAGCAAGTGAAGCTTCTTCTGTATTTTTCTTTTTTGAGATGGAGTCTCGCTCTGTCCCCTAGGCTGGAGTGCAGTGGTGCAATCTCAGCTTACTGCAACCTCTGCCTCCCAGGTTCAAGAGATTCTCTGGCCTCAGCCTCCCGAGTAGCTGGGACTACAGACACACATCACCACTCCCAGCTAATTTTAGTATTTTTAGTAGAGACGGGATTTCGCCATGTTGCCCAGGCTGGTCTTGAACTCCTGACCTCAAGTGATCCACTTGCCTCGGCCTCCCAAAATGCTGGCATTACAGGCATGAGCCACTGTGCCCGGATGCTTCTTCTGTATTTACAGCCACTCCCCTTTGCTTGCATTACCTCCTGAGCTCTGCCTCCTGTCAGATCATCAGTGGCACTAGATTCTTAGAAGAGTGTGAACTGAACATACAAGGGATCTAGGATGGGCGCTCCTTATGAGTCTAATGCCTGATGATCTGTCACTGTCTCCCATCACCCCTAGATGGGACCATCTAGTTGCAGGAAAACAAGCTCAGGGCTCCCACAGATTCTACATTATGGTGAGTTGTATAATTATTTGATTATATATTACAATGTAATAATAATACAAATAAAGTGCACAATAAATGTAATGCACAAGAATCATCCCAAAACCATCCCCCCACACCCTGGTCCATGGAGAAATTGTCTTCCATGAAACCAGTCCCTGGTGCCAAGAAGGTTGGGGACCACTGCTATAAATGGTGTGAAATAAACCAATTGTACCACCCTAAAAGTAGAGATCCAGGGCTGGGTGCAGTGGCTCACGCCTGTAATCCCAGCACTTTGGGAGACTGAGGCGGGTGGATCACGAGGTCAGGAGATCGAGACCATCCTGGCTAACATGGTGAAACCCCATCTCTACTAAATGTACAAAAAAATTAGCCAGGCGTGGTGGCGGGCGCCTGTAGTCCCAGCTACCTGGGAGGCTGAGGCAGGAGAATGGTGTGAACCCGAGAGACGGAGCTCGCAGTGAGCCGAGATCGCGCCACTGCACTCCAGCCTGGGCGACAGAGCAAGACTCCGTCTCAAAAAAAAAAAAAAAAAAAAAAAAGTAGAAGTCCTTTTTGTTTCCCAACTGGAAACGAAGTAACTCTCAAGAAAGTAGCCTTTCTAGTTCCATCATTTCCCAGAACTTGCTTCAAAGGACCTTCAAGGGTTTTCACACAGAACCCTTTTCCAGAAACTGCCACAGTGGGGTCTCCTGCTTTTCTATCCTTGTTCCCAACAGAGTCTCTCACTCTTACCATTCTCATTTTGCAAACTGGAGCTAATTGTGAGAAATTGAGGATAAAAGTTACTTGGCAGCTTGGGAGTTTTTCCATTCCCTTCAGGAAGTATGCAACTGAGCTCTCCAAATAAATGAATGCTTAAGTAGGACTCAATCATTCTCTTCTAAGGCAATCTATTTTTAGTTTTTTGGCAGATCGCCCGTGTCACAGGGCTGCAAACACATTATGAAGATAGTTTACTCTACAAATATGTTTGCTTATTCCTGATGAGGTGTACGGAAAATGTTCAAGTGCTTTTTCATTTCCCCCTTTGAATTTTTCTCAGAATGTGATTTGTATCTCAGACTGTTTGAATGACAACTTCACAACAACTTCTAAAACCGTATATATTTCAATAACATTGGTTCAGATGGAGTACAGCTGTCTAAGTTCCAACCATTTGAGATAAAAAACGATTAAACTGTTTTTGTAATTTTTACTCTAATTTCAACAAGTATTTCAGATTACTGTTTTTTTATTTAAAAAGATGACCCAACAGCCGGGCGCGGTGGCTTATGCCTGTAATCCCAGCACTTTGGGAGGCCAAGGCAGGTGGATAACCTAAGGTCAGGAGTTCGAGACCAGCCTGGCCAACATGGTGAAACCCTGTCTCTACTAAAAATACAAAAATTAGCCAGTGTGGTGGCGGGCGCCTGTACTCCCAGCTACTCAGCAGGCTGAGGCAGGAGAATCACTTGAACCCAGGAGGCAGAGGTTGCAGTGAGCCGAGATCACATCACTGCACTCCAGCTTGGGCAATAAGAGCGAAACTCCAACTCAAAAAATAAAAAATAAAATCATATGAAACAAATCTTCTGTAGCATTTATTAAGGAAAAGAAAATTCATAAGGAATTTTAATTTTGAACCAAAATACAGGCAAGAGCCTAGCAGAATTAATGGTATTTTATGTGAAACAAAGGTAACTGGGAAAATAGAATGTATTTCCTGAGATATCTAAAATATTGTAATAAAACTGAGTTAAAATAAATATTCTCCAGAATGTCCAGTCCTAGAGAGGAGATGAGACACAGTGAGCTGTGTTAGACACAATTAACTATGTTGCAGTGTATTAGAAAGAAGGCTCCTTTGAACTCTTAAGGGCGGGAGAGCTGAGCTAAAGGAGACTGGTGGAAGGTAGAGCCTCTGCCAAGGACTGGTTGTCCCAACCTAGGAAAAGCCAGCAGGCACCTGATATGCAACTTAGAGGATGGTTAGGCCAATGTTTGTGGAGACAACCAGCAAAACTAAATAAGAGCAGAAGGCTAGGTCGAGGTTTGGGCAAGAATGAAACTAAGGCGATCCTATTGGAATGGAAAAGACAGGAAAAAGGATTCAGAATGCTGAGTTAGGCAGAGGCATAGCTGTCAAATCATGGTCAGTCCATCAACAAGTGATTTTAAGCATAAAACTTAGAATAGGACTGATCTTTTAGACACAGCTTAAAATAGCCCTTTTTTTTTTTGAAAGAGGGCACTACAGTTCTACAACGTCTTATCTGCACTTGTAAAGTTCCTCCAATTCTGAAAACCAAGCTTTACCCCAAATTTGATGCAAACTTGTTTAGCAGCAAAGCATGGCCAGGACTTAGGTTAAGCAATTTATTATTTGTTTTATATTTCCATCTAGTGTGAATACCTATATGTTCACTATAGAAAGATCAAAATGTTTGACTGTGGGAGGCAGCTCCAGGCCCCACCAGAAGTGCTGTGCAATAGACAGTATGCACATTGTATGATCTTTCTAACATTCAAAAGCTATTGAATTCTGAAACATGGCTGGCTGAAGGGTTATGAATAACAGATGATCAATCTGTATCTACACTATATTTTCTTTCTTGATGACCAAGTCACAGTACTAAACATAGCTTAATACAAATTAGCAAAGCTTGAAAAATCATACAATACATCTCTCCTGAGAAAGTGCCTGCAGAAATATCTATGGACTGAAGGTGGGATCCAGTGATCCATCTGGTGCTCTAGGCATAACACCAAAGGCCAAGGACAATGTATTAAACTTTAAAAAAGAAAAAAAAATATACATATAATAGACAAAATAAACAAAGAAGCTTAAAAACCAAAACTAATAACAGTCAACCATGGCTTAATTCAACTATGATGAGTGATCAGCAAATGTAATAGTTTAAGCCACAAAGACATATAAAATAATGTATTCCAGACTATGAAATCCACCCCCACCCGCCCACTGCACAAAAAAAAAAAAAAAAAAACAACTTTCCAAAAGGTTTTACAGCACAAAGAATGATATTTAATGAGGCATGTGGTGTTAAATGCAGCTTCCAAAAAAAAAAAAAAAAAAGAGTGCTCTGGACCTACAAAAGTCTAACCTGTGTGCTGGCTAGGTTTTTCCTGCCCTTCCTTGCTTTTGACATTGCTGACAATAGTTTACAGGAATAGCATATGCTAGCAGACTCAAGAAACTTAACCTTGGGCTGGGACTTTTGTAAGTCAATTAGCTAATTTACTGATTAAATGTCATATATTTTCCCAACAAACATTTGTCTGACCAGTGCAAAAGTGACCAAAAGCAAAGGTGATTTCTGGTTTGAGTTTGATTTCTGGTTTGAGTTTAACACTTCCACAAAATTTTGTTCTTGATTTTTAATACACCTAAATATATTGTTATGGGATAATTTAGGAATTAGAGAGACTGAGGGGTTGAGGAGGATTTATTGTTTAGGTGTATTGGCCTAGTTGCATTAATATTTAAAGGACTGGGTTTTGAATAAAGAGTTGTTATTTTTTAAGTATTTTGTGGGGCGGGGGAAGATTTGTAATAATATAGTATCTGACTGTTAACAGTGGTATCAAAAGAAAAACACAGAACCATGTGAAAAATACTGGTCCAGGCATGTTACTGCCTACATTCTTATAGAAAGACTTATTTAGCGGCCAGGCACAGGTGCTCACACCTATAATCCCAGCACTTTGGGAGGCCAAGGTGGGCAGATCACTTGAGGTCAGGAGTTCGAGACCAGCCTGGCCAACATAGCGAAACCCCATCTCTACTAAAAATACAAAAATTAGCCGGGCGTGGTGGCGTGCGCCTATAATCCCAGCTACTCAGGAGGCTGAGGCACGAGAATTGCTTGAACCCCAGAGGAGGAGGTTGCACTGAGCTAAGATCGTGCCACTGAACTCCAGCCTGGGTGACAGAGCAAGAATCCATCTCAAAACAAACAAAAAAACAGAAAGTCTTATTTACCAAATCTTGGTAAATTTGGGGGTGGGGGGATTCGTGTATATGTATACACACACACACACACATATACATATATATATGAAAGAAATAAAACTGGGAAATTAACATGCACCATTCCCTGCCTCTTTAACAATAATTGAAAAATGTTTTTGACCTTAGAATACTATGCTACTTGCAAATTAACCTATTTTAAGAGATTGAACAAGTAAAGATATTTGCACTACAGAATGAACGAACTGTATTTAAGAGATTTGTATTCCAGCTCCAGATTAAATTCAAACCATGCTTACATGGGTTTTGACTATAAGGAGGTTTTATACCTTTTTTAAGAGTGCACTTGAGGCCGGGCGCGGTGGCTCACGCCTGTAATCCCAGCACTTTGCGAGGCCGAGGCGGGCGGATCATGAGGTCAGGAGTTCAAGACCAGCCTGGCCAACATGGTGAAACCCTGTCTCTACTAAAAATACAAAAAAATTAGCTGGGCATGGTGGCGTGTGCCTGTAATCCCAGCTACTCAGGAGGCTAAGACAGGAGAATTGCTTCAACCGGGACCTGGGAGGCGGAGGTTGCAGTGAGCCGAGATGGTGCCACTGCACTCCAGCCTAGGCTACAGAGCGAGACTCCATCTCAAAAAAAAAAAAAAAAAAAAAGAGTGCACTTAATTAAAGACCACAAAGACAGAAATAATGCGCAGGTGCAACAGGAGAAAACATTTGTAACATGTTCTTGCCAATATTGACTTTGTTGGACTTCATCTAATTTAGACCAGAAGAATGATTTATCTATGAGAACACCAAAACTATTATTGAAAATTTTAGAAAGCCCTTGCCCAAATTGACAAATTAAATTAGAAGATAACTTTTCAGATCATGCTTAACTTGAAACTTATCAGAAGCATTACTTTTTTTTTTTTTTTTTGTAACTAGTCAAAGTAACATACCTCCCTGAAATGTGTGACAAATATAATCCCCAAAAGAAATCTCTTTCCATGGTCCGGACCTTCTGATACGTTCTGAAACTTCACAATTCTTCTCATTTTCCCCAGTTAATTGAAGCATTCTGATGCTTCGTCCTTGGAGGTCTTATTTCTTTAGATAAGACTGCTGTTGTCTAGTGTCTTCTGAGTTGTCTAGTGTATTGGAATCACATAAGACTATTTTGAAAGAGAATCCTGGATGCAAATTGAAATGGATACTAGATAAAGAATGATGTAATCCTGGAACCCCTGCAAACACTAAAAATACACGGGGAAATTCTGAACTCTGTTTATGAATAAATACTCCTCTATTAAGTGACAATCCCAGGAGTGACAGGGATATCTGACTCATTTACTTTTGTAGCATCTCACCACAATTAAAGTAAATCATTTCTTGAAAGAAATGGACACTATTCTCTACAAAGCATGAGAATTTAAAATGTTTTGCCCAAATCTTGGCATTTCATGTTAGAATAAACTTTGTTTGGAGTGCTTTGCATGCTACCATATAAAATGGGTTTAGTGAAGAGCTTTTCCTGACAGTGACAAGTGGTTAATCAATTCCAGTTGCAAATGACAGCAAAAAAAATACACATAGCTTGCCACGTTTGCTGCTTTAATTATAATTTATTAGTCATTCTATTTCCTGAGAGAATTTAGTCTGGTTAGAATGCCCTTCATTGTTAAAGTTTGCTTTAAAATATTAAAGAAAATAATTATATACAAGTAATTACTTTGGCTAGTAGAAATGAAGTTTCTCAAAATACTCTTAGTAAGCCACTACCTATTTACTTCTTAAATAACAACTGCTACAAGATCTACGAACTTGCAAAAAATAAAGCTGAAAATCCTCCACAAATTGATGCAGCCAACAGCATTTGCTACTTTAAGTGACAATTTTTCAAACTACCCACTTAAAATCAAAGTATAAATATAATCTGCCTTCCAGAAATACTAGTCATATGAATTATCTAGGAGGGATTTTCTTTAAATATTAGGAACAAATTCATGTACTTTTACCTGAAATTCCACCATAGATCTCTTCTGCTATCCTAGCCGCTTCTTTTCTATTTCCTTTGACGATATAGAAATGGGTTAGGAGAGCCAAAAAAACTTTAATTAAAAGCTTAAAGAAAAAAAACGTAGCAAACATTGTAATAAAAATGTTTTTAAAGCCATAGAAAACAGGACCATCTTCCATTTTGGCTTATGCTCTGTATAGGGTCCTAGGACTGTAAAATTTCACTGAGTTATAATTGGTATCATATGACATCTATTTTAAACCTTCTAGCACTCAGTGCTCCTGTTACCGAGATCTCTGTAGGTTCTAATCTAACTGATTTGGCGACTGCATGTGCTGACTCCACAGCAGTGTTAAATAAACTAAAGAAACTTCCTTCTAACCAGAAACATCCAATAGTTCTAGAACTACATAACTCAGTACTATCTAACAGATAAGATTCATATCCAAACATTTTATATTCCTAAACCCCTATTTTTCCTATTTTATGTTAGAAAGCAGGGTTGGAAAGATAGAAACTTCTTGGCTTCCACAGAAACAAAGCAAGTTATTTGACATACAAAAGAAGTGCAAATATGCTGTATGTTCTAAGTGGGAAATACTACTCCCTGGAGCATTTCATTTTCTCTTAATTCTGAAGTTTATAGAGGATTAAATCCAAATCTAAAATATGACCAGTTAAAAAAGACCATTTACCTGGCCGGGCGCGGTGGTTGACTCCTGTAATCCCAGCACTTTGGGAGGCTGAAGCAGGCGGATCACCTGAGGTCAGGAGTTTGCGACCAGCCTGGCCAACATGGCGAAACCCCCGTCTCTACTAAAAGTACAAAAATTAGCTGGGCGTGGTGGCAGGTGCCTGTAATCCCAGCTACTCAGGAGGCTGAGGCAGGAGAATTGCTTGAACCTGGGAGGCGGAGGTTGCAGTGAGCCGAGATCGCGCCACTGCACTCCAGCCTGGGTGACAAGAGCAAGATTCTGTCTCAAAAAAAAAAAAAAAAAAGACAATTTACCCTAAAGCTGTATGTATGTATGTATGCATGTATGCACGTATGTATGTATTTAGTTTTAAGATGGAGTCTTACTCTGTTGCCCAGGCTGGAGTGCAATGGTGCGATCGCGGCTCACTGCAACCTCTGCCTCCTGGGTTCAAGCGATTCTCCTGCCTCAGCCTCCCAAGAAGCTGGGATTACAGGCATGCGTCACCACGCCTGGATAATTTTCGTATTTTTAGTAGAGACGAGGTTTCGCCATGTTGGCCAGGCTGGTCTCGAACCCCTGACCTCAGGTGATCCACCCACTTTGGCCTCCCAAAGTGCTAGGATTACAGGTGTGAGCCACTGCACCCGGCCAAGCCTGTATTTAATAAAAGGCCTATCTTGGATGCCTCTCCAAGTAAGTGTCACACTAGAAGCATCAGACTACTCGCCATGGTAGTTCCATCTGGGACAAGGTCCCATGGCAAGGTTCCCTCCTGATCATTCACTTGCATTTCAAGCATTGGTAAAGGTGGTGCCCATTTCTGAAAAATGTGGGCTATCCTTGATCATGGAAGAGTCATAGTGAAATGGACAAAAGAGATGCCCTAGGTTCTGGATGAAGTACCCAAATATTTCATGAATCAACCTTCTCTAGTTGGGCAATTTTCTCTTATCAGCTGGCCAACACAAGTGAAATGGGTTTATTTTTAGTTTTCCTCATCACTCTAGGTCTCTGCCTTCATTCTTGGCTATGTTCGATTTTGTAAATTTTAAAAATCAATTGAAAAGACAAGCCAAAATATAGTTATACAAGTGGCCTAATAAATCTTAACAAATGATTTATGCAAAAATATGGGAATTTCTCCTAGCATGCAGGCAAATTAGAATGACTGCCTGGTTAAGAACTGTTTCACTACATTAAAAAGCTGACATGTAAGAATACAATCTTGAGTCACAACATACAGCTCATCGATTTCAGTGTATCAGAGCACTATAAAGACCTTGAGTCGTCTTAACTCTCAAGGAACAGACATTAACATAAGATTTACTTTACTGAGCTTATATTACCTGGTAGAATGCCAGTGTATGAAAATACATGAATACAACTCTTTTAGTCCTTTTCATTTATCTTTCTTCAATTATACTCTAAGTAGGCAATCATTTAGTCATGTCAGACCAGTGATGTACATTGTTCTATAACATTATTCAATCTTGTTTTGGTCTTTTCATTTAAAACATGGCTGTCCTATGTTTTACACGCCAAAAAAGTTGGCCATGAAAAGCTCAACTTTATTAAGGTTCAAATGGGTGTCTATACTATTTCTGAGAGGCCATCTTTTTTTTTTTTTTTTTTTTTTGAGACGGAGTCTCACTCTGACTCCTAGGCTGGAGTGCAGTGGCGCAATCTCGGCTCACTGCAAGCTCCGCCTCCCGGGTTCACGCCATTCTCCTGCCTCAGCCTCCCAAGTAGCTGGGACTACAGGTGCTCGCCACCACGCCCAGCTAATTTTTTGTATTTTTAGTAGACACGGGGTTTCACCGTGTTAGCCGGGATGGTCTCGATATCCTGACCTCGTGATCCGCCCACCTCGGCCTCCCAAAGTGCTGGGATTACAGGCGTGAGCCACCATGCCCGGCAAGACCATCTTTACTATATTTGAACATTACATTTGTGATGGGCATAAAAGGCTACTGATACATAAGGACAGTTGATTCATGCTATCTTTCACAGATGAAATCATCAACAGCACCAAGGTTTCTCAGCCTCAGCACTATTGACATTTTGGGACAGATACATGTGTTGTGGGGGATGGCCCAGAGCATCGCGGAATGCTTAGCAGCAACCCTGACCTCTACTCACTTGATGCCAATGCCCCACCCCACCTAGTAGTAACAACCAGACATTGCCAGATGTCCCCTGGGAAACAAAACTGTCCCCCCAAGCCCTAGTTGAGAACCACTGAGCCATACCCAAATAGAAATGATAAAGGATAAAAATCAGTTCCCCCAAGTACTAAAGGCTACAAATCAAATTCTACATAGAACTTTTTCATAATTTTATATTAAAAAATCCAGCCACAGGATGATACAATTCAACATCTAGCCACATCCATTTGGGAATGCAGAGATGGATAAAGAGGCTTTAAAATTACTTCACAAAAGTAAACACAGACCTATACTACCCTGACTTTGCCAAAAATAAGTTTTGGCATAAGATAAATCAAAACATAAACATAGGTGACTGCTTTCCACTGCTTCCCACAAAAGGAGTGGGAGAAACTAAATCAGGGATGTCCAATCTTTTGGCTTCCCTGGGCCACGCTGGAAGATTTGTCTTGGGCCACACATAAAATACACTAACAGCAGATCATGAGATCAGGAGTTCGAGATCAGCCCGGCCAAAATGGTGAAACCCCATCTCTACTAAAAAATACTAAAGTTAGCCAGTGTGGTGGTGGGCGCCCGTAATCCCAGCTACTCAGGAGGTTGAGGCGGGAGAATCATTTGAACCCGGGAGGCGGAGGTTGCAGTGAGCCAAGATCGTGCCACTGCACTCCAGCCTGGGCAACAAGAGCGAAACTCCGTCTCAAAAATATATAAATAAATAAATGAAAATACCCTAATAGCTGATGAGCTAAAAAAAAAAGAAAGAAAGAAAGAAAGAAAATCACAAGTCTCATAATGTTTTAAGAAAGTTTACAAATTTGTGTTGGGCAAAGTAGAAAGCATAATTATGTAGCTCACATACACAGTATAGTTTGTAGATATTTTCCTTGTCTCACGTGATAATGCTAGGGCAATGAAAAACAAGGGCTTATTTGGGTAAGGAAACAAAGGCACAATTGAACTCGCTATTCCATGAGTGAGAGAGAGAAGATATTCTAGAAACAAAAAATGACAGAGTAATTCATCGCCCAAAGGGTATTTCTTGTTTTACTAATAGACCAAGCAACACATCCAAATTGCACTGAAAAAGAATGTGTCGGGGGCAGGGATAGCCTGTTCCACTAGTAAATAATAGTCTGTTCATAAAATAAGACAAACTCAGAAAATTATCAAAATGTCATTCTGGTCTTTATTTTTGGACATGTAGCATGTTTTAACAAATCAGTTTTTCATAGGCAACCTTTTGAAACATCAAAAGAAATACAATATATTTTTCACAAATTTCTCATCACTGTAAATTCACTTTAAAATCAACTAAGTAGCAGGGTAGAGCAATGTGTTTCCATATACCGACCAGTGCAAACTGACAGTTACAATTAAGGTATCCAGAAAGGTTGAAAATTAAGATTTACGTGAAACAAATTTACTTCCATTTGTTAAAAAAAAGAAAAATAATAATTTGCAAATCACATGTTTTACAGGCAAAGGCAACTAACTTTAGATCTTATTTCCATCTCAAATAAATGACAGTTTAAGAATTAAATGACAATTTAAAAAAATTAAGCAAAAATATAAGGAAAAAATGGTGGCATGCCTCTAAAACCTGTTGAATAGAATAATGGCCAAATATTACAGTTTCTCACTTTCCTATGAATACTGGCACTGTTTATTTCATGTTTATATGTGAGTTTCTATGCATAAAAATCCCAGTAAGACTGAATAGTTTAAAGATCAGTCCATTTTTCTCCAACAAAACCCCTAACTTCTAGATTTTAAAAATTGCACTCTTGCTTTTGCATTTTAGTACAAACAAAACACAAATATATTTCTTTTATATCAGTGCAACCAGTTAATAGGCATGTTATTTTTTAAAAAGTAATAAATTTTGTGAATGTTGTCATTTTTAAAAATCCTATACAGAATCACAACACTGTCAGAATCTATGTAGTGCACCCACAAGTGCCTTATTGTTTTGAATTCACAGTCCTTTTCTCACAAAAACCTTAAGAGTTCAAAGAATTCATAATACACACCATGTGGATAATTTGGGGTTAAAAAACCCATGGCTCTGGGCAACAACAATGACAGTTAATAACATCCACCCACAAAGACTGTTTCTAAAATTTTCAACTTAGTTTGCTATAAATAAACCATTCTGAAGTAAAGCCTTTTGCACACTGACAATACTTATCAGACATCAGCGAGGCCACAGTGAAGGGGAGTGACTTACATTAAAAGGACAGGGTAGCAGCTGGTTTTGGGATGGCACACCTCGTACATTCTGCTCAGAAAACACGAAGGCATTTATAGAAAACTCAATTATGCACTGAAAAATGTGGAGGGTTTCTCTGCACTATCAACAGTGATATCGGTCCCCAGTATTTAAAAAGCAAAAAATACCTTCACAAACACAACTGAAGATGGAGGCTCTACCTAGGAGAATGCATACAACAGGAACAAAGTACTAGTAGTGTGTCGGTGATTTTTTTCCTGGCATTAACTGGCATGAGCATTTTTGGCATGTTGGATATTGATCTCATATCAACCACAATTATGATGAAGTAAGCCATTTGAATGGTAAACAAAGAGTGAATGCACCCCTGGTCCTTAATGGCGGGAAGCATCTAGTTCAACATTCTACACAGAGCAGGGGTTCAAAATGTGCTGGTAACTGATGGACTATCTTACTCAAGGAACCTGTTAATTACATGTAACACCTACTGAGTGAACCTAATAAATGTTCAAAGACATGATTTAGATTCCTAATAAATGTATATGAACATGATATAAAACAGTTCATATAATTGTTGTAGTTCCCCTAAAGAAAACTTGTAAACATCTGGTGAGTGTCTAATGGTGTTACATTAAAAACTGGCCAAAAAATGCCCAGAAAACGTTTGGCCCTTCAGCACCCAAAGCTCTCAAAATATAATGTTAAAACATCTCTGCTACAGGGATTTCAGTAGTCTGAAAAATTGCATACCTGAGTGGCTTAAATGTTCTCTCCTAAATTTTAAATAAGTGCAAGAAGTTTCTACACTCAGGAATTGCATACATTTTTATCTTTCCTCAACAGAAAATATTGAATGATATAGAGGTAGCATAACTTACTAAATTAACTCTAAAAAAACAAAAACCCCCCAAAAGCAAGGTTATTTTCCATAGTCTTTATAGAACTATTACAAATGTTTAAAATCTTACAATCTAGGCTTCCTTCTACCTGGTTTCAGATATCTCATTATTCTCACCCCCTCTTTTACTGTGAGAATAGTTATTAGTCCAGGCACCCCGTGGCCCAGTGGCATCTATTGCAACATCAATGATAGAATCTGGAGTCATCCATCTCAAGAAAATGAGGAAGAGGAAGTTGAAAACTGCCAACAAAGCAAAGATGTAGCCTGTTACTGGGCCGCAGTGAGAAATAAGTCTGTCCAGTCGTTTGTCCATTGGCAACACAGCTTCCACTGATACCCGGTCATATACCTGGAGGGAGAGAAGCCAAGTGTGAGCACTTTCACCCATCACCCCATCACCTGTCCCATGATAAACAATGACCCGATCCTGCAGGAACATTTTATAAACAAATACAAACAAAAGTTGCTTGTGTTTTGTTGTTGTTGTCATAGTAATGATATCCTTAATGAACTTAATCACGATAATTATTGCCATTTGATTCAAAACTTATTGGGTACTTATTCTGGGCAAGACACCGGGCTAGAGGCTGTGTGATACAAAGAATAAGCCACAGTTCCTCTCCCCTAGGGAGTCACCATCAATTTTAGCCAACTACTAGAATTCCAAAGTCCCGCAAAGTCTGAACAGCTTTTGGGGTCACCACTGTAGGGTCAATATTTAATTCAGCAGTGACTTCAGCAGTACTGAAGCAGGATTTGCCTTTGAAGATTCCTTGACTAAGCTGAGATGCTCTCACCGGCATCTGGCAGACATCAACCACAAGCAGAGAGCTACAATCTAGCATACTTCTGGGAACACAGAGCCTCCTCTTTCAACAGCCACATGAGGCTGTACATGTTGCTGAGCATGGATGGTGAGGACATGCAGAAGCATTTCATGGATTTCAAATAAAAGAAGATAAAGAGATGGGGGAAATTTCAGTAGATAGTATAGGTCAAATGCTGGCAAATGAAATAACGTTTTTTGCTGAGCAAGTAGGTGGCTTGCTTTTTAAAACACTGCTAAGTACTAAGCTCTAAAATATCAAAAAACGAAGATCTTTAAACATACTTGTTCAGAACACATCAAATGGGCCAACATTCATATTTTGTAATTTGAGTATTACTTGTGCTTAGTCTCATATATTAGACCTTTAAACCGTCTCCTTTTGAACTCAAGGAAGTTATAACATGCAGTGCATGTTGTACAGGTCAACAGCCCTTGAAAGGTACGGCATGTTTTCATCGAGCTCTTTTACCCTGAGGACATTCTGAATACAAACATTTTAATCAGAATTATGTTGAGAATTATGCTGAGACTGGTGAATTGCAATTGAAGAAGTATGTTTACAGCATGAACTCCAAATTAATTTCATGATCGATTTCCTAAATAGCACAGTTAAACTAAGAAGGAGGAGTTGAAATGAATTAAAATGTCATAGGGTTAAAAGAGTAACTACAAACTGACTTTTTTGTCCAGCTTTATTTCAGGTCAATTAATCTACTTATAGTTTTAAGTGATAAAATAACAATTTACTATTATGAAGAGAATGTTAGCGATGACAATCCATTATAGGCAAGGATTTACTTTTTTCTAAAAGTGTATTATAAATCACCATAGAATTAAAAAAAATACAGATGCTGTACTATTACTTTAACCAAAAGAAAAATGTGGTTACCAAAAAAATCCCAATTAGCCCCTTTACTATATGCTGACAAACCGTCACCACAGTTCTTTCCCTGTTAACTTATTACCTACAGTGGCTCAGGCTTCTGGGGTTTATACGATGTCAATGAAGAAGGTCAAGTCACAACTTAACAGTGCCATGGTTCTCAAAGGGAGTGGAGATCAGGATGGTATCATCAAAATAACCTGTCTGACCAAATATCCCTGCCAATTATACCCCCAATTCTATCTCTGCTCCTAAAGGATAACACTGGAATCTAGGGAGTGGTTGGGGAGGCAGGGGGACATCAAGATGGAGTAGAGAGAGTCTGAAAAGGCTGCCCGGGGACTCTGACATGTACTCCCAACAGGTAAGCACTAGACTCCAACTTTCCATGTTTCATATGGGAGAGATAGTACAAGACTTGTAGAAGGTCAGAATGTCTCAAAATGCTTCAGTCAAAAATGTTTGACTGTCGCAAACATCTCATGTTTCAATGGAAAATGTATAAGACAATTTTTAGAGATAAGTTTTTAGAACTTCCATTCACATATGAGTTCATCTTATATACTGGAATTCATCATTCAAACCAAGTAAGAAAGCCTTACAGTAAAGAGCTATTCTCCTCAGCTCCAACTTGCTATCTACTCTAGGCTAAAAACTCATTGCTCCACTGAATATCACGTTGGTAGCATTACTCTAAACTACTACCTTCTCCATGTTCCACCTGGTTATCTTTCTGGTTCACAATTTCTACATACTAAGAAGCTGAGTTGTTTCTGTTCAGCTTGTTACATGGTAATAAGAGGCATGAGGCAGAGAACATCATGAAAAGGACGTAAAGGATGAAACTGAGAATGAAAGCAGTCCCTAATTCAAATTCAGGAAGCATTTCCCACAACTGTAATCTCCTACCTAAGGGTGTTAATCTATTTCCTATACCTGTCCTTTTGGAAATTCTCTGTTGCTGCTTTTTATTTGTGATTTTTCCCACGTTTGTCACGTACATTTTGAATTCTAACTTACTATGTTCTCAATCAGCCCAAAGATGCAAAAATCCTTTTCCTGGAGAAAATCACAGTAGTTAGCAAAAGGGCTACAAGAGGTTTAGGAAGTAGCCTGAATTAAATATTCACAAGTTATAAAGTTGCTGCAATCAGCAAAACCATGCATTTCCTAATAGAGATGTTTGCTTTAGAATTATCAACAGCTTCAAGAAAATATCTAAGAGTAGATTTAATACTCGTCTTGTCTCTACTCATTGTGACTTTTAGAAAATTTTGTAACTTCTTTATGCCCAGTTTAATGAGGGGGCTAGACTGTATTACTGCTATTTTCAAATGTCAAACGCAATAATTTGACCAGACACTTAGCCCGGTGTGTGTACCAAAATCTGTTTCTTTTCACCTGGAAGAGATTTCATCAACTTAAGCAATAGAACAAAAATGGTAAACATCTATGTAAGAAAAAGCAAATGTGTACGTGAAACATCAAGTAAGAGTTCAGACACAATCTTTTCTCAGCATGTGACATACCTTTTCAGTTCTTTCTGCAACATTCCTCCAGGTGTAGAAAGTCTTTACTATGTTATGGATGTTTTCTGGAGCTGGCAATGTCCCTGACTTCAGTTGGAAAATAGCCTTTTCCAATCCTTCACACAAAGATTTTACTGAAGGCTCACATAAAATAATAAGGTTTTCTGGAAGCACCTCAGGAATTCCACCAACTCTGGTACTTACAACCTTAAAAAGAAAGAAAGAACACATACTCCACCATAATCATACCTCAGGAAGATCAACAAAACCAGTTAAAACATTATTATGGAATGTGTCTCATTATTTTTCAAAATACACAGAAATCCCAACCATGAATGCCCTCAAAGCTTTTTACCTGTAAACCACAACTGGCTGCTTCCACGATCGCCATGCAGAATGCTTCAGTAAGGGAGGTATTCAGAAAAATATGTCCTTGAACTAAGACATTTCTAACATCCTTGTGTTCTAAAGCTCCCAAAAGACGCACCCTGATTTTTTAAATGAGAGGGGAAGAAAGGAGTGAAAACTCATGCTACAAAAGAAATTTAATTTATAAACCAAGTCTGCTATTTATATTACACTTAAATTCTTATTGCTGCTAATGTTCTCCACCTCAAGATTAGTATCACCAAACACTGATCTAATAGAAACAGCCTTATAAAGCAGTTGGGTTAAAACTCATACAGCGAACATTATTTCTAACTTTTGTTACACATATCAAACTTTATCTTCTCCAAAACTAGTCTGTATGTAATAATATTAATAAACTTTGATAATTTAATGTTAAAGTGCCATTTGTAAACAGGAAAATGGCCTTTTTATTAAAATTGATGCTTTACACGTACAAGCCTTGTGTTGTGTAAGTTACTGAGGAAGAGACTTGTCCAAATCTGTATGTGCAGAGCAATTTACATGATTTGAGCCCTATTACTTAAATCACTACACAGTATGGCCTGGAAATCTGCAAACGCTTCCAGTTAAAGCAGCTGTTTTTTGTGCCTTTCATGGTGCCTCCAACAATGGCCCCCCAAAGTCAAATAATATTGGGCTAATGGAAAAAATAGTGAATTAACTAGGTTTCCTATTTATATAAAAATTTTGAAAACAGTCCTTGCATTAGATTTATATCAATTATATGTATATCAATTACATGCAGGAGAAGCAACACACCTAAGGTACGCATGCAGTTAAAACCAAATAGAGATAATTGACATCTTCTCCCTCAAGACAACATGAAATTCATCAATACCTGTCATGCAGCTGGTATCTTTCCCGAACTTCTTCCAAAATGATTCTCTTTGGTCCCTCTCCTCCAATTATGAAATTTAAATCTGGATATTTCTGACAGAGTTCAGGTATTATACCACTAAGCAAATCGATCCCTGAAAATATAAAGTTGAATGTTGGAGATATTAATATTTAAACTTAAAAAAATTCACCAGAACGACTGAGAATCCACTTATTTTGAAAAGTATTAGCTATGCACTCCATAAAGGAGAGAAACTCTCTTAAACCTTTTCCAGGAGTGGAATTGTTTGCAAACTGGCAGTGGTCCCCCAAGAGTTACAATTCTTGAAGACGTAGACCTTGACATGCATTACCTTCCACACACCCAAAATATGGACTATTCTGTTTCATCTCAACAGACTATTCTTTAAGTTATTCACTTGTGTTTATACATTGCGTACTTCTAAAAAAGGTATATTTAAGGTGGCTAAGGTTTGAGTTCGTTTTCTCCAGAGCAGGCAGCTGATTGGAGATCTGGGTCTTTTCCCAGCTTTTTTAACCAGCAAGCCCATTGATCGTGGGGAAGTTTCAAGATCTATAAAATAAAGATACCTATGTACCTAAAGTCTCTTTCAGCTATAAAATTCTATCAGTCTGTGATCCCACTTACTGCCACAGGAAAAGGCTAAGCAACGAAATCTAACTGCTGCCTCCACTTTGTTTAAAATGTGGCTGGTACAGAGAATTTTGCAGTGAACACTACATTATCGCAAAATTTAAGTTCAAACCAGCTATAGCCCACTTTCCTGGAATGAGGGTAAATGAAGGCAGCAGGGCATCAACTGTTAGATCACTACAGTCCATAGAACAAAAGGATGCATCTTGGCTCCTTTTTTCTCCAAAATGATTTTCTTATAATATATAAACACAATCTCAGGTAATAGAAAACAATAAAGTAAATTATGCCCTATTAGTCTGAAAAAGTGAGTGGCTATCCAAAGTCCCAACAATGTCAACACTATTTAAGAATCTAGTTCATTAACAATTACAAAACGTACATATTCAAAAGTAAGAGTAGGCAGGGCGCGGTGGCTCACGCCTGTAATCCCAGTAATCCCAGCATTTCGGGAGGCCAAGGCAGGCGGATCACAAGGTCAGGAAATTGAGACCATCCTGGCTAACATGGTGAAACCCCGTCTCTACTAAAAATACAAAAAATTAGCCGGGCGTAGTGGCGGGCGCCTGTAGTCCCAGCTACTCCGGAGGCTGAGGCAGGAGAATGGCGTGAACCCGGGAGGCGGAGTTTGCAGTGAGCCGAGATTGCGCCACTGCACTCCAGCCTGGGAGACAGAGCGAGACTCCGTCTCAAAAAAAAAAAAACAAAAAAAAAGTAAAAGTAAATATAAAATAATCCACCTAGAGCTAAGTTTATTAATTTTAAAAATGCACACACACATAAGAATTGTATTTCTTAATCTTCCACCCCAAATAGGCAGATCAGTTATAAAATAGATGATATTTTATATCAGATATAAAATAGGAGAAATGACATATATATTATAGGGTCATTTTTATTAAATAATACAAAGTAGAATTCATTAAGTAAACTCTGCTAGTACTTTCAAACTGTTATTGTATGTATCAAAAATTCCCACGCAGCTTTTCTGAATATGAAGGCTTCTCATTAAAATCATAGCTATCTTTGTTTCATGTCTACTAACAAATCACTCAATTGGATTTCTAGATAAACCAGAAGGTAGTTTAATGACTTTTAACATTTAGTCTCCTACAATTCCTTCAATCCATTTTCTTCCTCACCCTTTTCTTTCTCGTACAAGGTTAAGAGCCCATTCTTCAAACAAACAAAAAACAACATAGAGCAATAGTCATAAATGATAATAGCTAACAGTAACAGAGTGCTTGCTATGACAGGCAATATACTTTAAATTCATTATGTCATTTAATCCTGACAAGTATCTCATAAGAAATGGAACTGATTACTATTACCAATGATCTATATTCTTATTCTAAGAATAAGGGCTTTTCCCCACCACTATAAAAAAATTTATTCTGGAGCCTCTAAGAAGGGTATAATGCAATGGAACCTAGAGACTTTCGACTGCCATGTGAACACAAAACAGACAATGAAAATCTCTGATCCAAACTGCTTTTAAAGCTCAGTCTAACAATATTTTTAAGAACCTTCTGATCTACACCTAGGATATGAGTGGCTGGGCATGGGTGGAGGAAGAGGAGAACTTAGCTCCAGAAAAGCTGAACTCGTGTGTCATCTCTGTTACTTACTGTGTAACCTGGGTGAGTTACTTACCCTCTCTGAGACTCAATTTCATGTAGATAACATCTACCCTACAGTTGTTGGGAGGGTCAAATGAGGTATTGTACCACGAACAGGCTTTATCAACTGCAGAATACAAATGTAGGTTGTCATTACCACTACAGAAGGAAGCAGGTGAGCGTGCCTACACATGCAGAGTGCTGGTAAATCCTGACTGAGAGCAAAACAGGCTTGGAAGAGGAGGCTCAGGAAAAAGACATCCAAAAAGCCTGGATAAGGAAAACTTTGATTTATCCTCTCTCTCACTTAAGACATTCCAGTGGGACTTTGATATCTGGTCCAATAAACTCCTGAGGAAATTAATTTGTTAATAAGGAATGGACCATTAATACAACTACTCACTTTTGGGCTACAGGCATGGCTGTTCCTTTTCAGAATGTTACTTTCTGCAGGGTGCCTGGCATCTGGAGAGGGTTCGATAAATAACTGTTCAATTACTGAATTGAGTACAGGAAAGGCCATACCATCACTCCATTGGTGGTTAGCTCAGCTAGTTAAAATACCACATTAGGGAAGTAAAGGTAACAGGTTTAATCTTTGCATGGGTAGTTAATTTTGCTGATCCTTGATCACACTTGTGTCATACTCTTTCTCAGCTAGCCATCTCAAGAAGATATGCTATTTGGTTAAAAAATAAATTAGGTACAATTCCTAAGTTACAAAAAAACACATCACTAATGTCCCAGGAGGAATTCAGAATACAGAATGCCAGTCGGTTCACATGTTCCTGATTAAAGAATGAAAGCATGTCATTGCCTTCAAACCAGAAAATGAAGTTCAGGCCAAGTTTCCTTGCCAACCTCCACTTAAATGGACTGCTGGGTCAATCAAGATTCTCCATTCCAAACGTAAACTGACCAAGGCCCACATCTAGATTTTAGGCCACTCCCTAGCACACTGGCACACCACTGAATTCAGTGCTTGTCAAGAATCAATTGTTTGTTCACACATCTGTTTGATGTCAGTTGTACTTGTTATCGTCGTGTTGAGTAATTTAATTATCATATAAACTGACAAAAAGAGTATCCACAAAAACTAAGCTGAACAGTTTGAAAAATCCAATAAAGGAATGTCACAGAAAAAAGTTCTTGGCAGATGAGGGGTGTCCTAAACTACTGTATAAAATTGAAAACAAATTAAAACTCCTGAAGCATATCAGTTCATACGCCTTTAAGTTCTGACCCCACCCAAAAGAAACTCAAAGTAGCAATGGTAGATTATGTTTTATGAAGGAGGGTGTGCAAGATGCAGCTGAAACCAGTGGCCCAGCACTCAAAGCCTGCAATCCTACATCAAACTACGGGCAACTCAGTGTGTATTAATATTTTGAGTTTAATTCAAATATTAACTATTTAAGGGGGTATGTATTTATGTATTTTTTTTAATGATTCCCTACTATAAATGACACTTTTGATTAGTGGACAGGTTTTCAAATAGCACTCAGAAGACACTGTTTTTTATAACCAGACTGTGTCAGACTTTTAGTAAACAAGCCTCCACACATTCAACTGCAGTGTCCATTAAGTGCTGTAGAGGTACAAAAAACAGCCTCCTTGGCCAGGTGCAGTGGCTCACGCCTGTTAATCCCAGCATTTTGGGAGGCCGGGGCAGGTGGATCACGAGGTCAGGAGTTTGAGACCAGCCTGGCCAACATAGTGAAACCTTGTCTCTACTAAAAATACAAAAAATTAGCTGGGCTTGGTGGTGGGCGCCTGTAATCCCAGCTACTTGGGAGGCTGAGGCAGGAGAATCGCTTGAACCTGGGAGGCAGAGGTTGCAGTGAGCTGAGATCACGTCACTGCACTCCAGCCCGGGGGGTGACAGTGCGAGACTCCGTCTCAAAAAAAAAAAACCCAAAAACCTCCTTGATAATAGTGGACAGTTACAAACTAGGCTAATAGTTTATAGGAACTATCACTGAACCCTTGCGAGGTTCCCAATGTTGCTTACATTACACAAATGAAAAAACTGAGACTTAGAGATGTTAAGCTACTTGTCCTCGATCACACAGCAGGACAGACCCATCATCTGATCCCAGGACATCTAATCCCCTTTTCTTCATCACTTACCTGCCAATATGTTACTAATGTCTTATACATGATGAAATGAAACAAGCAAGCTACAATACAGTAACGTGCAGAGCAAGCCCACTGATTTTCAGTATATGTACGTACACATAAAAAAGACAGGAAAGCTATAAATCAAAATACTCATTAGGGTATCTCTGAATAATACAGTTACAGCTGATTTTAGTTTTCATCTTTGTGCTTTTCTTAGTTTCCAAAATATCTGCAATGAAAAGACATTACTTTGGCAATCAGAAGAAAAAAGCCATCTGTGAGCTCTGCCCTTTACTTCTTTTTTTTTTCTTTAGAGACGGAGTCTCGTTATGTCGCCCAGGCTGGAGTGCAGTGGCACGATCTCTGCTCACTGCAAGCTCCGCCTCCCAGGTTCATGCCATTCTCCTGCCTCAGCCTCCGGAGTAGCTGGGACTACAGGAGCCTGCCACCATGCCCAGCTAATTTTTTGTATTTTTAGTTGAGACAGGGTTTCACCATGTTAGCCAGGATGGTCTCAACCTCCTGACCCCGTGATCTGCCTGCCTCAGCCTCCCAAAGTGCTGAGATTACAGGTGTGAGCCACCGTACACGGCCTGCCCTCTACTTCTTTACCACATGTGCAGGGCTGTTTTAATTTTTAAAAAGATCTGAAATTTAACAGCATCAGGTTATTCTTATTTTTAGTAACCATTAAAACATCAAAGGTTGGGGGACAGCATTCACCACCATCCTGAAAAATCGCTCTTCTTGGATATATAAACCAATATTAGAACTTTCTTTGCTATAATTTATAGCATTATAAAACCATAAAACAAAATGAAAAGCCAAACAATCATTATATACAAGTATTCAACAGCTTTCTATAGGGAAAAAAGTCTACAATGCAATTATAGCTATCATTTCATTACCTTTTCTGTAAACAAGTCTGCTGACAACAACAATAGTTATACTATCATGCCTTCTAAATGGGTCTGGAGTGAAGTCAGTAGGATCTACAGCATTAGGAATGACGGACACTATTTCAGGATTCAGTGCTGCTCTTAGTACAGTATTTTCCTTACTAGTATAAGACACACAAATGATGTGGTTTGTATCACAAAGAGACACGGTTAGAAGCTTGTTTGTAAGCACCGAGCTGACATCAGCAAATCCAAAAAGGGAATGGTCCGTGAAGACTGTCTGAAGCCCCATTGTCTTGGCGTGGAAGAGAGCATCATGGGCCATAGCAGAAAAAGAACTATGTGAATGGATTATCGTGACTCTCTCCCGAACAAATATGTACCTGAGCAATGGCAGACTGTGAAAGAGGGTCGTGGCTGTAGACTGGTTGTACATGACTTTCAGAGGCAAGTAATAGACTTTGAGGCCACTGGTGAGGTAACGGATGCCTTTTCGATTTCCATAAGCATGGGTGACAATTATAACCTTATGCCCTCTTTCAATCAGGCACTGAGAGAGCTGGTAAATGTGGCTTTCCACGCCTCCCATATTTGGGTAGAAAAAGTCAGATACCATGCATATATTATGGGTACGGGTTCTACATGTGTAAAGACTTCCAGGGCTAACCCGAGAGAGTGTAGCTGAGGCACGGTGGCCATTCCCAGCTCCTCCTCTACAGGCCATGCTGAGACGGTTTAGACATCAGTTCTTAGAGCAACCCAGTTAAGAGATGTGTCCTCTATTACCTGAAAAAGAGTAAAACAGGATCTCAGCTCAGAAACAAAACACATTCCATATTACAAATCCAGATATAGATATTGTTTTAATGTTAATGTAAATTTGTTAGCTTTCCCCAGAATTAAAAATAAAGCAAATCATCAATTTACTCATTTGACATTTACTTGCTTGGCATTTACATACAACAAAACTAGGTTCTACCATGTCTTAATTTTGCCCTAAAAATACTGCTACATGTAACTTTAAATAGTAAGTTTGTTACACCACAGCATATCATGGTTTACCACGTTAACAAACCAGTCTCTTCCAATAATTAAGTATATATACACACATACATACACACATTTATATATTTCCCCTTTACTCTTATACTTTACCAGCTTCTATTAATACTTATTAAATGGCCACTATACATCAGCTACTACATGCTAAGACTCTTCTATATCTTATTGCAGCCTCACCAAAACTCCATGAGTTATCAACTCCATCTTATAAATGGAAAGTCTAAAGCTTAAAGGGGTTAAGAAATTTGTTCAGTTATTCAGTGCTTAGAGGTAACACAATGTAGCAGTCTGATTCATTAGCGGTCATGTCTTCTGGTATTTATGCCCTTCTATAGTATAGTCCCTTCCCGTTGCATTTGGACCTGGTTTAGCCCATAGAAGGTAGTGAAAGTGATGTGCAAATTTTTGGCCTCGGCCTAAAAAAGGTGTGGTGATTTCCAAGGTGTGGTGGTTTTCACTTGTGCACTCTTAGATATCCTAAGCCAAAGTGTAAGGAATCCATCTACTGTGCTAGAGGGACAAGGGAAGAGATAATATGGAGAAGGAAGAGCTCTGAGACTACATGGAAAGAGCCAGAGGCCCAGCCATCCAGCCAACTTACCAGCTAAATGCAGCCTCCTAGTGACCACTGGCAAGACCAAGAGAACCACCCAGCTGAGCCTAGCTCACTGCAGTATCATGAAACATACCAAAATGGCTATTGTTTTACATCGTCTTGGGGTGGTTTGGTAAAAAATAACAGACAACTAAAACAGGCCAGGATCCAAACTCGGTTATACTGGTCCACTGCCTGTTTTTGTAAAGTTTTATAGGCTCATAGGTGTGCCCATTCATTTATGTGAATGGCTACTTTTGTGCTACAAGAGCAGAGTAGCTACAACAGAGACCATATGACCCACAGAGCTGAAAATATTTACCATCTGGTCCTCTACTAAAGTTTGCCAACCCCTGCTCTATAGCTTAGCCACTGATTCAATTACTCTCAAAGTTTTGCTAGCATTACCTTTGTGGTTTACACTAAAACACACCCGGAGCTCGAACTATCTTTTTGAGAGCACCTTTTTCAAATGTCACCAGAGCACATGCTGCACACATGTTCTCCTTCCTTATTCAAAGAGGGTGATTATTTAGGCCGGGTGCGGTGGCTCACGCCTGTAATCCTAGCACTTTGGGAGGCTGAGGTGGGTGGATCACCTGAGGTCAGGAGTTCAAGACCAGCCTGGCCAACATGAAGAAACCTCATCTCTATTAAAAATACAAAAATTAGCTGGGCGTGGTGGTGCCTGCCTGTGGTCCTAGCTACTCGGGAGGCTGAGGCAGGAGAACCGCTTGAACCCGGGAGTCCGAAGTTGCAGTGAGCCGAGATCGCGCCGCTGCACTCCAGCCAGGGTGACACAGCGAGACTCCATCTCAAAAAAACAAAACAAAACAAAAACAAAAAACAGAAACACAAAAACCAAAGAGGGTGATTATGTAACTGCTCCCTTCACTTTTTAAACTTTTCTATCAGTTATGCAGGCCTTTCAAACTCAATGAGTGTCCCTCCCTTCAGTGCGGTGTCTAAAGATAAAGGCTAAACTAGAGATGGGCTGTATCTGGGACCATTTTCTCAATTTAAAGTGCGAAATGTTTATCTCAGGGGTCCCCTAAAGCTTTATTAATGTGAAATGCCCACTCAATATTTAGTACTACTGTACATTCTTAGACACTTAAAGCTAAAAAGAATCTTGGATATCTAGTCAAAATCTTCCTCAGCTTTACAAATGAGATTTCCAAGGCTCCAGAAAACAAACAACTATACAATGAGAAGCCATCCTAAAGCTCTGAGTTTCCGGTTTCACCTGCAAACTCAGAAAATGCCAATTAACTGTATGTGCAAAGGCTTAACTGTCTAGTCTCTCCAACAAATTCATCTACTTTTTTTTTTTTTTTTTTTTTTTGAGACGGAGTCTCACTCTGTTGCCCAGGCTAGTGTGCAGTGGAGCGATCTCGTCTCACTGCAGCCTCTGCCTCCCGAGTTCAAGCGATTCTCCCACTTCAGCCTCCTGAATAGCTGGAATTACAGGCGCACACCACAAGCCCAGCTAATTTTTGTATTTTTAGTAGAGACGGGGTTTCATCATGTTGGCCAGGCTGGTCTCGAACCCCTGACCTCAGGTGATCCACCAGCCTCGGCCTCCCAAAGTGCTGGGATTACAGGTGTGAGCCACCGTGCCCGGCCTCATCTACATTTTAAATATACTCTCGGAAAGACCCCAGAAGTGTTTGTTGACTGAGTTTACTAATTAAGATTCAATATTACCAAATATTGAAATTCCCCAAGTTTGTACTTTTAGGTGGCTTAACTAACATTTTCTTACTGTGGTCACCTAAACCCGAACTTCCAGTTCTACCAGTTTTAAAAGATGAACGATAGCAAAAACAGTGAGTAATGAACCAAATGATATCATTTAAAATGTTGTCATTAGCCTGCAACGTTCTGTGAGGAGTCTGCCCACTTCCGCCAGGTTTTCAGTCCAAACATCTTTGACATAAAAGTTCATTATGCTGCACAATCGCAGAATCTTAGCTCTTAAAGCCGAAATGAGGCTTGGAGCTCTAGTGAATACCTCTCTCGTTTTACAAATGAGAACCCAGACAAGTTGAGTGATTTGTCCAAGGTTCCCACCCAGCCACTTAAAGTGGCAAAGACATTACCGTAAAATTCTCGACCACGACCAACGAGCCCTGGGCAATCATTAGCAGTAGAGGTTCCTGAAGAACCTTAGGGAGACCTGGCAGGAGTTGTGGGTCAAGAGAATGGTACTTCCACCGACAATTCCTGGGCACTGTCTGAGCTTCATTCCCTGATTCCCTGAGAGGTCGCTGGGGAAACGCTCGGGCCAAGGAGGGGATACCCCTGCTCAGACAGCGACCCCGCTGGGTTCATGGCGGGGATGGCCAGGCCCAAAGAGAGAAAGAAAACAACCAAAGAGTGGACGTTGGTCTCAGGCCCGGGGTTCCGGAGACCCCAGTCCCTCGACCCACCCGCCTGAGCCAAGGAACCCAGCGCGTCCGCCCTAAACGCACCCTCAGCCCCAACCTACTCTGGAGACCCTCCGACCCAACTTCCGGGCTTCGAACCGGGTCGGTTTCACCCCCTCCACCACCCGCCACGATCCCACGCGCGCAGAACAGCCCCATCCGAAAGCGGCCCAGAGCGCTGGAGAGGGGCGGCGCGACGCGCACTCACCGGTGAGTTCCATGGCCGCCAGTGTCCGGACCTCCCGCGGCTGCAGCCGGAGTCCCTCCCTGCTGTTCCGCAGCACCAATCTAGGGCGTCCGCGCCCAAGGGCCGCGCCCCCGAGGCAGCCAATCACAAAGAGGCGCTGAGGTCACGTCCGAGAGAGACGCTCTGTCGTCCCCACCCTTAAGCGCGAGATGTAACGTCAGCGCGCGCCTGCGCCCGTCTCCTAGAAGCGGCCGACGGTAGGGTGGGTGCTCACCCTGGTTTCCTGGTTACAGCGTCTCTATTCCGGACGCCAGTTCTCTGCGCGCTTGCTTCTGATTGGAGAGACTTTTTGTTTGTAATCAGCTGTGCCACGGCAAAACCGTGCCGGTTCTTACCGCTCTGGGACGTTTGCCAGATAAATAAATAAAAATACACAAAAAGTCAAAACAGATGAAACTATGAAGTTTTAATTTCAGATAAAGCACAAATGATGTTTAATACAAGCATGTACCAAATATTGGGGACTTCACTACACATTCGTTTTTTATCGGACATGTAAATTTAACTAGACATCCTGTTATTTATATGGCAATTCTACACTCTGAGGGAAACATACGAGGTCTGATCTGAAATATCAACTCCCACTCGACTGGTTCAACTAGTTACGATGGTGCTTGACTAGGAAGCTAAAGAATCAGTGAGAGTGGTATGACGGTCATCCATGCGTCACAGCTGGTACTTGGAATCCCCCATCCCTGCCATACGTGCGTTTTCGAGAAGAAATTCCTTTCTGAGTACCATCACAGCCACCGTTACTGGCACCCATTTTATTAAGCCTAGTGTAAGCCTATTCATCCCTGAAAATGTCTGCTCCTTTCTGATGCTTTCCCCAAGCCTCCAGAGAATGAAATACTCTCACTTTTTAATTTTAATAGTACTTTGGCCACATGCTGGCCAAAGTATAACATTTATCAGATGATATTCAAGTTGTTTGCCTGATTGCATTCTCCCTCCTCACCCTGATCCTTGATTACTTGTCTCTTGAGATCTCACATGGACTTCTTTCTGAAAACGGAAATTGTATTTGCTTGTTAAATGTCTGCCTTCCCTGCCAGATAGTAAACTGAGGCAGGATCTGTTCTTGGTAATGGATGTTGAGGAAGTTTTAGTTTAATACATGAATTTCTTTACCCAATGTCAGCACACTCCCTGACACATATTAGATGCTCACAATAAAATGTATTGACAGTATTTCGTGGAGTGTACCTTATACAAATTACAGTGCAATAACATCATTGAAAGAGCATTTTAGTTGTGAGATTTGAAGCGAATTAATGAGTTGATGAGTAAGACTAGAGTAGCAATCGATACTTTGCCCTGTGTTAATATTGATGAAGCATCGGAGAATTACAGTGATGAAGACTCAAGGACACTTAATTAAGCTTTATAATTTGTAGTTGGTTTCACAGATAACAGCGACATTACCAGATAGGTACAGCATTTGGCCTCCTTTCCATTTTTGTAATAGGTTTTAAGACAAAGAGTGGGGGTAGAAATCCTGGAAGGTATAAATGAGGGTTAAGCCTCACTTATTGAGCCCCTGGTTTGCCCCTGCCATAGTTCTGATCACAGTACACGTTTGAAATTCCACCATGAATCTTTTTTCAAAATATAACAAATATTTCTTATTTTTATCATCAAACATTTACTGGATGTCTGCTCTGTAAAAGGCCTTGTGGGGAATACAAGAAATATTAAGCATAGTCCCTGTGTTTCAACAGCTTTTTATTTTTTCTAGCTTTTCCTGTACATGTTATCAATAGTCAAAAGAAATCCACCTTTCTTAAAAGGTTCTTTGTGTTTCAAATATAGAATAGGCTGACCTTTATAAATAGATATTAATAGAGGCACACTGTTGCTGAGTCTCTGTGGGGGAGGGCGTTGAGGAGCCTGCAGGCTGTTCCAACAAAGTCTGAAAACATTGAACATTTATTTAAAGCTCCAGCTTCTGTCCTAGGCACTGAGCATTAAAAGATAAATAAATCATGATTCCGACTCCCAAGGGTTCATAATCTCACCTGGGTACATGACTTCATTTATAGTCAGTTAAGTAAAGGTCTCCATTTAAGGCTATATTCTAAAAAGTCAAAAGAAATTTGTAGTAGCAAGATTAAGATATAAATCTGGAGATGATTCTAATTATGGTGTCCTGCCTTAATGTATGGTCTCAAGGTATGTCTTGAGAGAATTTTCTCCGGAACCACTAAAATTAGACTAAGATACTTACATGCATTATATTCTGATTGCACTTAATAAAATATGAGGGCAATTGGTACCAGTTTTAGTATTAAACGACCTGAGATGATGAAGATGTAAAATAAATGTAGATATCATCTTCCCTTGAAATTCAGTTTTTGCAACTTCATATGTAAATTAGCTCTTTGGGATAATCTTGGAGTGCGAAGGCAACAAACATGTCTTGAGAGCCTACTATCTGTGTACAAAGCACGATGCAGAGAAAACCTGGCATGAGCTTTACTTGCAAGGAAACAATACAGAGTTAAGGCATATGTAAATATCTACGATAAAAAGCAGGAAGTGATAAATGCCATAAGAGAAATATAAGAAAAATATTGGGAGTTCAAAGGGGAAGAGTATTTCTAGCTGCCAGCATTTAGCTAGAAGAATAAGTAGATGGTGTCATGCAACTCTTGGGAACAGGGTAATTCCAAGAACAACATGAATGAGGTACAGACAGGTGCTGTCCAGCAAACACTGCTTTGTAATCACAAAGGAAAAGAGAAGGGAAAGTGGGCAGACAGAAGAAGAGTGGCATTATCAATGAAGGTTAGAGCAAACTGGTAGAAGATATTACTAAGGAAAATGGGCTTGATGTTGAGGCGGACTTCCAGCCAAGATCACATTTTCAATTAGTATTTTGAGACTCCTAACTCCTGATTCTGCTTCAAATATAACAATAAGTGATACAATATAAATGAGAAAATTTAATGTTTTACCTGTGATTTAAACAAGAAGATAAACATTTCCGTGTATCAGAAACAGAACCAATACGCAAAATGGTGATCAGGAACAAAGCCACCTAGGTCCTGGATTCTGTATGTGGCAGCAGGAAGATGTGAACCAGGGTTCAGCCCCTGTAGAATAATAGACTAACAGGGTTCCATGTGTGGCTTGATACAGGAACCAGTTTTGTGAGAGACTGTTACAACGGTGACCTTCAATAAACCAGTATTCCATATTGGCAGCCTTGTCTAATCCTCTCCCACATTGGCTCTGGGTTTGAGCATGTGACTGGAATGGCCAAATGAGATGCCACAGATGCTTAATAAGTGTTTATTTACTGGGATGCATCTTGTTGGAACCTTTCCTCTTGAAAGCCAATGACCATGCTGTGAAGCTCAGACAAGATATTGGATAATGGCAAGCCACATGGAGAGAAGCCCTGAAGAATGAGAGGTCATCTTGGGCATTCCAGCAGTAAGTGAGTTCCCAATTTAATATAACCACTGGAGTGACTTCAGCCTATACTATGTGGAAAGAACCACTTAGCTGATCCTAACTAACCCACAGAATTATGAGAAATAATAAATCGTTATTGTCTCAAAACATTAAGTTTTTGGGTGATTTGTTACATAGCAATAGATAACCAAGCCTTATTGCTTAACCATCTCCCCTACTTGTGAATAGACATTGAAAGAATTTTTTGCCAACAGTCTGAGGATATAACTTTGCTAACAGAACTGAGCCAAGCAACATAATTTGCAATTTTCCACTATCACTGCTAGTCTGGGGGATATAAGCACACACACACACACACACACACACACACACACATACACACACACACACACGGGGAGAGGAGAGAGTGAGAGTGAGAGCGAGAGAGAGAGAGCTCTCAAGATTGGTTTATAAACCAAAATTCAAAAACAATGGAAGATATATAATATTAAGAAAGACAACACACAAATGTAACAATGGAAGAAGAATTCACTCTAGACGCAATTCAAATAATTTTTGAAATGACATTTTTAAAAGAATAAGAATTTGGAAATAAAAACATGCAGAAATTAAACAAACACCAGTGGATATAAAAGAATCAATTAGATACCTTGAACATGAAGATGTTACTAGCATTTTTAAAACTCATATTGATAAGCTTTAGGCTACACACTGTTGAAACAAAGGTTAGTGTGGTGGAAAAGAGTAACTAAGGCAGTTACTTCTTTTTGATGCAGAATATGAGATGAAATGTCAAACCACAATCAAAGCTTTGTCCTAGGAAAATTGTTCCAAGAACTGGAGAAAAGGAAGGTGAAAGAGTGGCACAGCTGGAGAAGAGACCAGTTAGGCTGTTCCAGTAGTCCAGAAGCCTCCTTGCAATTTAAAGTAGGGGCTGCAGATCAGCAACAGCAACTGGGAGCTGGTCAGAAGTGCAGACTCTCAGATTCTCCAGACCTGCTAAATCTGAATCTGCAATTTAACAAGATCTGGAATGATAGTATGCACATTATAGCTTAAGAAACTAGCTCTAGACTAGAGGCAATGAGGACCTGATGTTTTCTCGTGGCAATAAAAAAAAAGAGAGAGACAAGGAAAATCACAGGATATTGGGATTTGTTTGAGTGATGTCTTCCTTTTCGTTTTAGCACCCTTTTTTGAAGACCGTCCTCCAGTAGCCTCCTAAAGAAGACTGCATGGGAGATCGGGAGATTTTCTAAGAACTTTAATGTCTGAAAATTTATTTTTCAGCCCTCCAATTTTATTGATAGTTTGGGTGCCAAATAGTAGGCCAGAAATTATTTTCCTTCAGAAGTTTAGCAGCATTGCTCTAGCCTGCTAGCTTTTGGTGTTGCTATTGAGAAAACTAATTTCATTCGGATTCCTGGCCCTTTGTTTGAAGTTATCATAATTTTTCTTTACTCTGGAAACTTATACATTATCTCTTAGTCTCCCGTGTCCTGAAATTTCATCATTTTGTGCCTTGGTATAGGCATAGTTTCACCTTTTGGACTAGGGACTCAGAGAGCCTTTTCACTTGCCAACTCATGTGCTTCGAAATTCTCTTGAATTTTTAAATTGTTGATTACATCTCCTATTGTGTCTCTTCTCATTTCCTGTAACTTCAGTTATTCTGATGTTAGACCTTCTTATCTTTTCACTTTTAATTTCTTATTTATTCTACTTCATAGGAAATTTCTTCAACTCTGTCTTCCTTTTTTGTTCTATTGAATTTTCAATTTATTATAATAGTTTTAGTTTCCTAGGGCTCAATTATGTCCTCTGACATTTTCTTTTTTAATAACACCTTCATTTTATTTATTAGTTGCACTGTCTCACCTTCTTCCCTCATCCCCTGGCTATTAATGATTTGAAGTTTTCTTCTGTTTCCTCCAAATTGCCTTTTTCTGTGTGTTTTACTCTCTGTCTTTCATGTTAGAAATTTTCCCTGGAGGTCTGGGAATTCATGCTTGCTTGCTCATACTTAAAAGAAAGGGACAAAGGAGCTGATCTGAGGTCTGAGCCCAGGAATGGGGCTTGATGACCTCTTTGGGCTGTTCCATTTGATAGTCCCTCCCCCAGCTAATTTCAGTCCTTTTTAGGTCTTTTCTCTTAGGCTGGTAAGATTCCCCCTAGAGAAATACTTTTCCAGTACAGATCCAACTGCCTGAATTGTGGTTGCACCTAGTATGTACGCGTTCACTTAATCCTCTTGTTAGTTCAGCACCCTGCCCTCATGGATGTCAGGCATCCCCCATTCAGGATGCTCTCTCTTTTACCTTAGCCAAACGACTAATAACCCATCTTTTGCCTGGGGTTGGAAGGAGCAGTCACTCCACCACAGGGAATGTGGGAGAAGATTTGGGATCAAACTGTTTCTTATACAGATTTTTGGAATGAACCTCATTTTAGCACCCCTCTCATCCCTCCCATTTCTAGAGGTGCTTGGGACACCCACTTCTGAGCCTTTTGGGAACTCATCTTTCCAGACTGTTGGCTTAAATTATTTTTTTTTTCAGGTCGGCCACATCATTTACAACTTATCTACGTGCTTTTCAGCTTTCAGAACATTGTTGTTTCTGTTGACTTTATCATTTACCCTGTCCTTGCGGGCTTATGCTTTAAAAAAAAAAAAAAAATCCTGGTCCGGGTGCGGTGGCTCACGCCTGTAATCCCAGCACTTTGGGAGGCCGAGGCGGGTGGATCACAAGGTCAGGAGATCGAGACCATCCTGGCTAACATAGTGAAACTCCGTTTCTACTAAAAAATACAAAAATTAGCTAGGCATGGTGGCGGGTGCCTGTAGCCTGTAATCTCAGCTACTCAGGAGGCTGAGGCAGCAGAATCACTTGAACTTGGGAGGCAGAGGTTGCAGTGAGCCAAGATTGTGCCACTGCACTCCAGCCTGGGTGACAGAGTGAGACTCTGTCTCAAAAAAAAAAAAAAAAATCCCCTTACTCTTTAGGAGTATTTACTTTACCCAGGGCATTGGAAAAAAGAGAAAAAACAAACAAACAAAAAAAAAACTAATATGTTTATGCACTATCTCTATTTAGAGTCCACGCCATCAACACTAACATTTTAGAGCTATACCACAAACATAACTAGAACCCATCAATAAATGTATCCATGACTTTATTTGAATTGTGGAAACCTGAAATTTAAATCACTGTAACTTTTTAGCTTCATTGGGTTGCACACTACACAATGACTCAAATAAGGTGAGGCCAGTTGATTCCAACAATCGATCAAGGCCAGGTAAAAGTGCCATTTCTTATAGGGGTTCAAGAAGCAGTCTAATTCATTATATTTAATGTTCATTGATGACGTGATAAAATAAGAAATATTTTTACACAAGCGGTTGGCTAACTTTTTCTGTAATGGACCAAAGAGTAAATATTTTAGGCATTGCAAGCCAAACAGTCTCTGTCCCCAACTACTCAACTCTGCTGTTGTAGAATAAAAGTAGCCATAGACAATACATCAACAAATGAGCATAACTGTGTTCCAATAAAGCAGTATTTACCAAAACAACAGGCAGTGAGCTGAAAGTGGCCTATGGGCCATAGCTTACTGACCACTGTTTCAGAACAATATCAGTGATAAAATTACCAAAGGCAGACTTTCTTTCATGAAGCCATTAATAAGGGTCAAATAACAGAATTTTTTTGCTCCTTTTCATTTCATAAATATTTTGAGAATAGATTAAATTCCTTTCTAGAGTTGCAACATCTGAATAATTCAGACATGCATATAATTTAGCTGAGTTTGAAAAACATGAGCTATGTAAAATTACTCTTCACTTTTTAAAGAGATAATTTCATTGGCTGGCCACAAAATCAATGTAATAACTTATTATTTATTAAATATTTATTGAGTACCTAATATATGCAAGACATTGTTCTCACACTGAGGATTAAGACTAAATTAGGCAAAGTCCAGCTCTTGCTGACCAAATCTATTAAGCTCACAATTTTCACTGAACTATGGCTTTTCTTAAGGGCATTAAAACGTAATGTTTGTATAATTTCCTTTATCAAGTCTCTCAGACAGTATTTTAATCTTCATTCAACTCTGATCATCATGCTGCCTAATCTGTTTCCATCTCTAAAGGGCCTCCTGCCACACTGTTTTAGTCATAGATTTATGACGTGTGCTGTCACATTAATAATTCTCTGGCCCTGTGGCGTAATCAGGGACATCATGCATTGCTGGCATTTATTGTGTTTGCTTAAAGCTCTTGGAGTTTCTCACATACTTTTATTTTGCAACAAGTTGAGGATTTTCAACTCACGTTCCAGGGCTGTTAGTATGACAAATATTCCTGTGCAATGTCTAGTGAACTCTAAGAAAGCAACAGGCCAGTTACCCCACCTCCGCCCTCAAGGACCAGACCCATCCTGACCCAGCGTCAGGGATCCAAGTGCAGATCTTGATGGTAATTGGGAATTAAGGAGGAAGAAGAGGGAGGGGTTTTAGAAGCACAAAGCCAGATCACATTGAGTTTTGGCTTAGCTTAGAATTCCCTATGATAATCTCCATCTAAATGGCAATTATGAAGCCAGAGGCATTTCGAGCCAAAACATGGTTTGAGTTGGTTTTAGGACAGATCCAAGGATCCAGTATAAGCCAAGAACATCTCAGAGGTCCCAAGCTTCTGAGATTTGCTCAGTCTTGCTTTTTTCCTTCAGAATAATTCCTTTGAGCTATAAGGTACATTGTATTGTTCAATTTTTTTTTTTCACTAATCGTAACTCTAATGAAATTATCAATTCTGAGATTTAGGGAAATGAGATTATCATTTACATTTGACAGATGAGAAAACTGAGGCTCGATGACATTGTTCAGGCTTACAATGTGTTTAGGTGGCAGAGTCTGTCCTTAAATTCAGGTCTTTTCTCCTTAGTGATACATCCCCTCTTTTTACCAGTCGAGGATAAGCAAAGTAACTCCTTTAATTGTGTGGTATCCTTGAATTGTCTTCTGCCCCAGATCTCAAAGGAATTTAAGCAAATATCATGGAGAAGTTGGGAGTGGTAGAAACTGAACGAAAAGGCAAAGCAAAGAGTCGAATGCCAAGTATGTTTTAAAAAACTAAGTTATGTGCAAGCATTTTCAGAAGCCTGATTAAAAATACAGTAAAATGAGAAGGAAGAAGCCTGTTGACATCAAGGTCATAAAGTGAGGGCAAAAAGAACAGTGGCAAAAGAGGAGTGACTGGGTTGGCACCAGTAAATGACAAGAGCAATGACAATGGCAGCACAGTGGGGAGTGGTTCCAAGGCCAGGTGAAGGTTAGCTCATGTCCCCAGGGCAGGGACTGAGAGTTAAAGCCAGGGAAGCATCAAAGGACCTGGAGCCCCAGGCTTCAGAGAATTTCAGTGAATGAAGGGAGAATTCAGGAACTGCTTAGAAACCCTGGCAGAGGAAGGGTAGGGATTTGGGCCAGGATCAAACAATGCCACTACCATGGGGCTACATTTGTTTACTATTCCATTGTTTATCATTGTCTTTCTCCTTTTGATTGTACTGTTCCAGGGTGTTCTGGCCTGAGAAAGTTGGGTTACACAAATTTGATCAGGACACCGTTTCCAATCATAATGAGGTCACAGTATGGTGGGGAGATAAACAGGAACACTACTATTTACACAAATGTGTTGTAAGTACCATAATGGGTTGTGTGTGTCTATATACATATCTATCTATGCAAGATACTATGCAGGGATTAATTTTAAGTTATTTAATACATAACTTAAATCTGCTAATGCTGCTAAATTCTCTCTGTTATGGCAAAATTTCAATAAAGTCTACATCATTAACAAATTAGATGTAGGAGTACTTTGAGGAAAAAGGCTTTATGTGGCCGGGCGCGCTGGCTCATGCCTGTAATCCTAGCACTTTGGGAGGCTGAGGAGGGTGGATCACAAGGTCAAGAGCTTGAGACCATCCTGGCCAACACGGTGAAACCCCGTCTCTACTAAAAATACAAAAATTAGCTGGGCGTGGTGGTGTGCATCTGTAGACCCAGCTACTCGGGAGGCTGAGGCAGGAGAATCACTTGAACCTGGGAGGCAGAGGTTGCAGTGAGCCAAGATCGCACCACTGCACTCCAGCCTGGCGACAGAGTGAGACTCCGTCTAAAAAAAAAACAAAACAAAAAACAAAACAAAACAAAACAAAAAGTGATAGCTGTAGAACAGAGAGAAGAACTGTGTTGCCATGAGAGTTGGGGTGTCCATGACACTGAGATTTGAGTAAGTGCAGAAACTTGGAGCCAGAGGTGGCTAGAAGAAATGCAAACTCTCAAAGAGGTCAAGGGCATGGATGGGTTCCCCTCTGCCATGGGATGGGGATCAGGTCAAGTTCAATTTAATCTCAAGGCACAGAGTGATTCGCAGTGGATTCTTGGGTCACATTTGCTTAGCCTCATTTAGGATCTTAACCTTTCTGAGAGCTATTCCCTTGGTTTCCCAAAACTGAGGTCCAGTGTTTGTGTCTCTTCCTGCACCTTCCACTTTGAAATTCCTTTCTTTCTTTAAAACACTTTTTCTTTAGCATAAATATAGAGTGGAAGCATATTAAATAACATAAAATTATATGGCTTGAATAATGGTGTTTATTTTCTTTAAATACACTTAAATATGAAACATCAGATGGTAGTTCATTAAACTGGAAGACTATAAGCTGGACAGTAATCAGAAAGTCAGTACTGATCATACGAATCAAATTCTGCATAAAAAAGAATCAGAATAATTCACAAGAGTTGCGATTAGCAAAGGACTCAGAGACTACAGTTTTCCTCATCTGCTCTGAGTAATCAGTCATATGACACCTGCCATTCCATGACCAGCACACCTTTCTCATTCACCAAAAAACAAAAACAAAACTAAACAAAAGGATTACATGGGTCCCCTCCTCTCCATTCCTTGGTGCGCAGAGGCATCTGCAGCTAGAAGACATCCATCAATGAACCAGGGACTCCTTAGCTGGTGTGAATGGAAGGTTGGTCTGGATTCACTGTGGTGCTGTGTAAAATGGATTTTTTTTTTAACACCTGGGAAAAAAACAGTGACAGCAACTTGGCAAAGCAGCATGCTGTTAAAAATGACAGGGATGGGGAACTTGGAACGCTGAATCAAGGATTCTTTCGGCTGTGGGGCCCCTGGGCAGCCCTTTTCTCCTTTGGAAAGCGGCAATGCTTTGCACATGCTGTTTTGCCACTTGCACATGGTCTGGTATGAAAGGGGCATCTGTCCTCACAGCTGTTGCAAAAGAAAATAAAGATGAGAATTCAGAATCAATGACTGGATTCAAAAGAATAACTCTGCTCTGATTTGATTAAGTTTTCCAGACATGTATTTAAAATGTCAGTATAAAATCCTGCATGGTTATCCCACATGGATTCAAAATCTACTGAAGTGAATCAGTAACCTCCAAGTGTTCTATTCATGAATAAATTACTTGCTATATAAATCCAATGATATTCCCTCCATTAAAGAAAAAAACAAACATATATAGACATAAACAATGAGAGATTGAACTAAACAGGTTGATGATCTGAAACCTCCCCTTCCTAAAATATTATTATTAAGCAATATCCTAATAACTGCTTAAATTTTACCAATTTCATTGTTGTTTAAGAGCTCTAAACCCCGGGTGGGCGCGGTGGCTCATGCCTGTAATCCCAGCACTTTGGGAGGCCGAGACGGGTGGATCATGAGGTCAGGAGATCAAGACTATCCTGGCCAACATGGTGAAACCCCGTCTCTACTGAAATACAAAAATTAGCTGGGTGTGGTGGCACGTGCCTGTAATCCCAGCTACTTGGGAGGCTGAGGCAGGAGACTCCCTTGAACCAGAGAGACGGAGGTTGCAGTGAGCCCAGATCACGCCACTGCACTCCAGCCTGGAGACAGAGCGAGACTCCGTCTAAAAAAAAAAAGCTCTACACACATAATAACAGGCAGGATTGATTTTCTTATTTTCATGATTAATCATGACTCGGTATACTCTTGCTTATTCCTTAGCTGCTAAACCTCTGTTCTATTATCCAAAAGGGACTCAGGCACCAAGGGGAAAAATTAGCTTACTAAGGAATCCCACCAAATTAAAATGGCATCTACGTTAAATGTCATGAGTAAAGGCAAGACAACTCAAGGCATTTACCTGCAGGTGTCTGGGTGAAATAGCTTGTGCTTCTGGCAGCAGGTCTCCAGACTTTCTTTGCACTCAAAGCAACTGCAGTTTTTGGGGTGCTGGATTAGATCTTTGGGACATGGTGTTTTACAGACACACTCGCAACGATCTTCGTCAAACATCATGTGTGGCCCACAGAGAGCTGGTTCCTGGAGATGAGAGTGGTCTAAAGAGAAACAGAAACGTGTTGGTCAGATAGTTGTAGTGTGGCAATTGGATCACCAAAGTTGATTGTATCTTTTATGTCATCCGTAAGTAACTTGGATTCACCCAATCTCCTTCCTATAGATTTATGCCCCTAATTTTTTCACAGGGTGAGGAAGATTAACCTCTGATTTCACAATACAAACACAGGTTTGTGTGTTTTCTTAGGTTTGTGATTTTTAAAATATCATAAGCTGAATATTTTTCATAAAATATTTTTAGAGATTTTTATGTTGATGACTTGTTTAGAATGCAAACTTCCACAACCAAGTATTAGTAATAAAATATAGGATGTCTAAGGGTTATGAATCTAGCTGTCTCCATTTTTTGGTGGAGATTAAAAGGAGAGACACACAAAATAATTGGTGTTGTAGAAATACACCTCAGACATTCCAGGCCAGGCGTAGCAATAGCAATGCATGTCCTCACTGCAGATCATAACACTAGTATAAAAGATATAGGAGTAATAATGAACTTTGATTCCACCAACATCTGCTGGAAGATACATTCAAGTAAAGGGGAGGGTCTGAGAAGTTTTTGACATACTCATCTGACAAATATTTCTTCTAGAAGGTGTATAAAACAATTGAATAGCTACTACTCCAAATCCATTTCTGATTAACAAGTTGAAATTCATTGCAAAATAAATGGAAGAGACAGAAACTTTGGAAGAACTTGACTCTGTCCCTTTAGCATTCTTGAAGGTTTTGGAGGGACGTACATGTTTAGTAGTTTTCTCCCCAAATCTGCTTCTCTCCCAGTTTGCCTCATTTAGGGAATGGTGACATCATTCTTGACTCACCTGCTCTGGTAAGTCTGAGCATCATGTCCACTCAGTTCTGCCTCTCTAAATTTGTTCTTTATTTTCCATCCCCACTACCACTCCCACAATTCAGTCTGTACCTTGTGTTTCTTTTGTAGATGGCTGTCGCTCTGTCACTCATCTCACCACCACAAGTTTTATCCCTCCAACCTATTCTTCTTCACATGATTAACAAATGCAAACCAAATCACTTCATTCCACTGCTTTGAATGCATTAAAAGGTTCCCTTCCCACAATAAAAACCAATTTTCCCACCAGGACATACAAGGCCCTCCATGAACTGGATCATAGTAACCTCACAGACTCATCTTCTGTTTCTTGCTTTCATATATCCTGTGTGTTCCATTTATACCAAATGACAGCACTTTCTGTTGCCCTGATATTCCAGTGCCTCCCAGTCCCATGCCTTTGGCCTTGTCTTTCCTTCTGCCATCCCTTTTCCCTGACATCTTTCCCAATGTCTGCAGGTTTAGCTAAGTGTCCTTATCCTGTGCATATTGCTGTCCGATTCTTTCTTGCACTGATTACATTTGTCTGTTTACTTGTATGTTTCCCCCATTAAGTAAAATGTCCTGAAGGAGAAGGAGCAGGTCTCATTGTTCTGATATAAAATAGGCACTCGATGGATGTTTGTTGGGTTTATTTGGTGTAATAAAAGGGTCCTGAAGCAGGCCGATGTATGGAGCTTCTGGGAATCCCATCCAGCATTCCAAGCCATTGGGTTAAACCATATGTTCTTGCCAATATCTGACTTTAATGACATATCAAAATGAGAATCTCGTGCGGTTCAACTTTATAGTTTAAACTTTTCTGTAATGCACGACGTTTGAGAATGGGTGCTGGAAGGCTAAATCTGAGAAGTCTCCATTTTGAACTTTGTGGAGAGGGAAAATGTGAGCTCTGTAAGTCATATGCCAGTGAGGCAGATGCCGCTTTGGGGTAAGACAAGAGTAACTTGTTAAAGGATAAAGAGGCTTTTTAAAAATTCGCAATGATCACTAGGTGGCAGCAGAAGTTCACTAAGAATACTTCAGACAGGCCCAAGGCCATTGTTGGACAGGGTTGTTCAGGGAAACACAATCCACAAGGTGTTTGCAGAACTTCAGCAGGCTGTTTGGCAGAGTCTGTGCTCACATCCTTATAGCCAAGTTAAAAGAAACAAAAACTGGATGCAAGAGAACTGGTGGTGGAACAGCAAGTAGCTGAGGGTGATATCTTGAAGTATTATGTATTGATTTCCGTCCCTAGAGAGTCTGATGATATGTTCTGTTCTCAGCTTTGTTCCTTTTACCATTTTTATCAATAAACTGATAGAATTTTTTCAAAATAAATTCTTGAAATTGTAGCTCTCTTCAAGAAGGAAGGGATATATTAAGTATTTTAAAATACAGAATTGGGACCTCCTCAATTTATTCTTTTGTGTGTGTGTGTGTTTGTGTATATCGTTTGTTTTAACAATTTAGAGCAATGACCTGACTCTAACAAGACTCAATTAAATTAGACTTGGATTCACTAACCTAAATGTGCTCATCTGGGCAAGAGAAGTCACTGTAGAAAAGGCAGTTGGCTTAACAGTCACATGTGCGGAAAAAAAGTATAGTGAGCAGTAAGCTCAGTAAATCCCATCAATTTGATGGGGCCACTGGAGAAATGAATGTGAACTTGATCCACATTGGGGACTTATAGGAGATGAGAATGAGAAACAATTGTGATCCAGTCCACCCTGCGCCTCTCACTTACATCATTGCTACAACTTCCCAAAAGGTTTCCTGCCTCCTTCCCTGCCCCGAGTCAACACATCCTCTTCTACACTGTTGCTGATATGATTTTGTTAAAATTCTAATGGGTACTGTCACTCTCCTGCTTTAGCCAGTTGTGTGGTTTCCCTTTGTCCTTAGTATCACATCCAAGCTCCCATGCAAGAATTACAAGGTCCTTCTGCTTTGCCCCTGTGAGCCTGTCCAGCTTCTTCTCTCACATCTAACCAGCCCCTTCCCCATTATGTCCCCACCCATTATATCCCCACCATGCTGAACTTCTTCCAGTATGTTCTCTCACCTCCAGCCCTGAGTGCTCATATACCCGCTGCTTAGAACAGCACTTCTCTTCTTCCCTATTCTTCTTACCACCCTCTACACACGTGTACTGGCTGAGTGCCTTCCCAAGAATTATCTCCAGCAGAAATAAGCTGCCTCTCCTAAGGCTACATCCCCTCTCCAAGGCAGCCAATGAACGGTCTACAGGGCTCAGCCTCTTCACCTAGATTTAAGACTTACCCCCGCAGGGGTTCCCAGCTTCAACTTCCCATTGGCTTAGGCTGATGCCTCTTAGCAACTGCGCTGTGGTCTGCTGCCTCTCTCTTTACCCTTTAATGCCTTGTGCCTGCCTACAAACCTCCTCCGTACAAAACTGTCTCAGAGGCTTTGTGCCAGGAAATCCTCAGCTAGAGCCTTTAAGCTCTAAGTATATTGCCCTTCCCACAGTAACTTACTTTCTTTCTCTTTCTTTCTTTCTATCCTTCCTTCCTTCCTTTCTTTTTCTTTCTTTTCTTTCTTTCTTTCTCTCTCTTTCTTTTCTTTTCTTTCTTTCTTTCTCTCTCTCTCTCTTTCTTTTCTTTTCTTTTTCTCTTTCTCTCTTTCTTTCTTTCTTTCTTTTTTTGGAGGCAGAGTCTCACTCTGTCATCCAGGCCCGAGTGCGGTGGCATGACCTCGGCTCACTGCAACCTCTGCCTCCCAGGTTCAAGAGATTCTCATGCCTCAGCCTCCTGAGTAGCTGGGACTACAGGCGCACATCACCATGCCCAGCTATTTTTTTTTTTTTTTTTTTTTTTTTTTTTTTTTTTTTAGTAGTAGTAGAGATGGGATTTCGCCATGTTGGCCCGGCTGGTTTTCTTTTTTTTTTTTTTCTTTTTTTGAGACGGAGTCTCGCTCTGTTGCCCAGGCTGGAGTGCAGTGGCGGGATCTCGGCTCACTGCAAGCTCCGCCTCCCGGGTTCACGCCATTCTCCTGCCTCAGCCTCCCAAGTAGCTGGGACTACAGGCGCCCGCCACTACGCCCGGCTAATTTTTTTTTTGTATTTTTAGTAGAGACGGGGTTTCACCGTTTTAGCCAGGATGGTCTCAATCTCCTGACCTCGTGATCCGCCCGCCTCGGCCTCCCAAAGTGCTGGGACTACAGGCGTGAGCCACCGCGCCCGGCCGGCCCGGCTGGTTTTCAAACTCCCAACCTCAAGTGATCCTCCCATCTCGGCCTCCCAAAGTGCTAGGATTACAGGCATGAGCCACCATTCCCGGCCAACCCCACAAAAATTTTCTAACACTTTTAGAACATGAGTCACATGGAGAAAGAATTAGATTTGTTTTACATGGTTCTATAGGGTAAAACCTGAACTAATGAGTTGATGCTCTTGAGCTGGGCTGTCCAACAAGGTAGCTATGGGCCATATGTGACTATTGGGCATGAAATAGAGAGTCTAAATTGAGATGTGCTGTAAGTGTACAACACACACTGGATTTCAAAGACTTAGCACAAAGAATGTAGGCTAGCTCATAAATTTTTTATATTGATTGCATGTTGAAATGATAGTACATTGGATAGATTGGATTAAATAAAATATATTAAGATAAATTTCACTTGTTTCTTTTTATCTTTTTAATGTAAAATGTGAGTTACATATATGACTCTTATTGTATTCCATTGGGCAGTCTGGTCTGTTCTGGAGAGAGATTTCATTTCAGTATAACAACAGGAGTGTGCCCACCCCTTGGTGCTGCCTCACTGGATGGCGAGTCTCCAAATAACTGATGTATGTTCTGGTAGAGGATGGCTGAACACTTGGTGGGAAGGGTGTAAAGAACATTCAAGATCGGCATGGGCATTTAAACCACATAAATATTAAATTTCCCCACATGCTCTGGGCTGAGCTTTCGTGAAAACATTTAGAAGGAAGCTGAGAGGCAGAAGAATGGAGAGTAGGTTGCTATTTACAGTTTATAGGACAGATTTCTTAGAGTTTAGCCCTTACTGTTCTTGCTTATAGATTATAGTTTAAAACAAGCAAGGTTAAAACTGCATGACTACTTGTGACTTTTTTTTTCTTTCTTTTTTTTTTTTGGTGGAACCATGTAAAGCTCTCTGGAAAATACATTAAAATGCATTCATTTTCAAGCAAATGTTCATCACCCAAAGTCACAGAATTACGGATTATGAGCAATGACAATTTGACTATATCTCATTTTGCTCCCAGCTCCCCTTAGACCAATAGCCATATTTTGCTTTTGCTTTGCCCTAATTCCAGAAAAATTTTCTCTTATTCTCCATTTCTTTTTTCAAATTACTGGCGTGTTTTCATATGATGCAGCTGACAGAAACCAAGTCCAAAATTACTTTATGTTCCTGTGAGACTTTTATACAAATAAATTAGTAAACTGCAGTTGACTAGTATTTAGTTCTGAAGCAGCTTTCATTCAAGTTTAACATCCCCTTTCAATTTCAGTGTTTCAGGATGCTCCAACCACTCTGGGCTTTTCTTTGAGATTAAAAAGCAGAGTGATGCATTGATGGACTTACTATATGATTATGGTACAGAGGGTTCTGGAATCTGACCACTTCTATCACTCTCAGCTGTGTGACCTTGAGGAAATTACTCGATATCTTGGTGTGCCCATTTTGTAATTGTAAAAAAAGAAATAACAATAGTACATTACAGGGTTGTTGTGAGAATTAAATGAGTTAAAACATATACAAGATTTACAACATTGTCTGGTCATACTAAGTACTCAATAACGGTTGCTGCTATTGTTGCTACTTTTATTATTACTGTTATTATTTTACTACTACTATCATTACCTTCTGTTCCAGCAAGTGGATTTTCCTCCTGCAAAACACATTTACATTTGTTGCTATCCCATAGCATGTCAATAGGACAGAGTTTCTTGGAATGGGAACAGCTAGGAAAAGAAAACAATGAACCAGATTTAAAAGCTTTCAAGGATAATCAAAACTTTGGAACATTAAATAAATTCCTGAGTAGATAATAGTTAAGATTTTTTAAATTTATTTTTTGCTTTTTATACTCAGTTTGGAGAAATAAGGTTTTGAGATCTATTGCACAGCATGGTAACTATAGTCAATAATAATAATGTATTTTATATTTCCAAATTGCTAAGAGAGTAAATTTCAAATGTTCTCACCACAAAATGATAAGGATGTGAGAAGAGTTAAGATTTTAAAGGAGCGGGCCAGGTGCGGTGGCTCACGCCTGTAATCCCAGCACTTTGGGAGTCCGAGGCGGGCAGATCACCTGAGGTCGGGAGTTCGAGACCAGCCTGACTAATATGGAGAAACCCCATCTCTACTGAAAAATACAAAATTAGCCGGGCGTGGCGGCACATGCCTGTAATCCCAGCTACTTGGAAGGCTGAGGCAGGAGAATCACTTGAACCTGGGAGGCGGAGGTTGCAGTGAGCCGAGATCTCGCCATTGCACTCCAGCCGGGGCAACAAGAGCGAAACTCCGTCTCAAAAAAAAAAAAGATTTTAAAGGAGCTTAATTTGTATTTATGAACTGCATCTTACTAGATAGTGATTCTGTAATTATAAATATTCTACGTGGAAATGTTTAGAAACTAAACTGTAATTTTGGAAATTGTAATCTTCTTAAGAAGGTATATGTTAAAACTATGCAAATTATAGCTGTCAACAGTTTATTTACGAAAATTAAATATGTTCTAACATACCTCCTAAGATTATTTTCTTTTCTTTTTTTTTTGACGGAGTCTCCCTCTGTTGCCCAGGCTGGAGTGCAGTGGCGCGATCTCGGCTCACTGCAAGCTCCACCTCCCAGGTTCATGCCATTCTCCTGCCTCAGCCTCCCAAGTAACTGGGACTACAGGCACCCACCACCACACCCGGCTAATTTTTTTTTATATTTTTAGTAGAGACGGAGTTGCACCGTGTTAGCCAGGATGGTCTCAATCTCCTGACCTCGTGATCTGCCCGCCTCAGCCTCCCATACTGCTGGGATTACAGGTGTGAGCCACCGTGCCCGGCCCCTAAGATTATTTTCTTTAAAATAAAGATAAAAGCATTGGCCAGAACAGCAGGAACATCTTGAGAATAAATGTTGCTTTTCTACAAGTTTTCTTTTCTGCTGGAGAGAGGCGGGAGGTGTCTTCTTGGTTCAATGTTAACTAATCACCAGCTTACTCTTTTACTTGCCACTCACACAATATATTTATTGCTTTACTTTTGCAAAGTCTAAGTATCTAACTAATGATCTTTTCATTCAGTTACCCTTTACTTGTTTCTTTATATTAAATCCTTTTTTTTCTTCAAATAAGTGATCCTTACCTTTGGTTTTGTCGTTTGTCTTATAAATAATCACAAAATTAATCTCAAGAGAATTTCAAAGCCAAATTAATTTTAAGTCATTTTAATTTAAAATAAGGGTTTTCCATTTGGTAATCTTAAGGGGGAAAGATTAGAAAGTTGCAAAACTCACGTGCTGCTAGTTTTGTCACTCCCCAATGACCCCAGGAATCTTCTTTGTTTTCTCTCATTTCAGGATGTAAATATACAAACAGCCTGAAATAAGTTTTATTTAATGCTTGTTCTGGAACATGTGCTAAATTTGAGGTTACAGCGGTTTTACACCTGCAGTAGACTATGCATATTAAGAACAAACGTGTCTACAAGTAGACATGACAAGCTCATACCACTGAGCGTTTTGGTCCTACCACAATATATATCTAACATCTAATAAAAATATGTATTTGCCAGTTATTACCAGTAGGTTCAGGTTAGAAGCTAAAATATGAATAATTTGAAGATAAATTGATAACTCTACATTAATGAAAAATCCTCTACACACAGTTTTGGCAAGGCAAAAATAAGCATAATCCAGTATAAAAAAAAAAACAAAAGTGCTTACCGATCTTCTTCAGGGATCTGGATGGATCTTCTGATAATTGAGTATGGATGGCGGGGGGCTGTTGGCAAGCACTTACAACCTGTATGATTGGCAACTTTAACAGGCACTAATTCAGGTACTGATGTCAAAGGCACTGATATCTCAAAGAGCTACAGCAGAGAAAGATAACCACAATATATTTTTTTAATTTTATATATCATTTTTAAAGTTGTTCTAGTCTGAATTTTTGCCTTTGTCATTTACGGCAATGACTTTAGCCAAGTTGTCCATTAAGAATGGAACTAAACAGGCTCATCTAACTTTATGAAGTGTTTAAGTTTGGTCAAATCTTTTAACTTTTTGATCATTGATACTCTTGTAAAATGGTACTGTTAATCCCTGCTCCTGCTTTAAATTTGAGTGTAAATCGTAAGGGTTAAATGAGATTAAAGCTATGCAGTTTCTTTAGGATTTTATTAGAATAGATTATTATTCAAACTATTTATTCATCCCTTCTCACACCATCTCTATTGAAGAAATATAGTTTCCTGTCTCTTGACTTTTTATTTGGCCATGTCACTTTCTTTGGCTAGTGGGATGTTAGCAGACATGACAGAAGTACAAATTTGAACTGTGCATGTTTTATGGGGCTTGTTTTCTCAAACTTATGCTATAGCCATGAAAAGAACATAATCCGGCAGGCTTGCTGGTCCAAGCGATGGGAAACATAGAAGTTGACTTGGACTCACACTGCAGCTTAGAGTCAAGCCCAGCTGAATCCACCCTAAACTAACTGAACCTCAGATACATAAGTGAGAGTAAATCATTGTTGTTTGGAACCACTGAGTTTTAGTGTGTTTGTTACGTAGCACTGTGTATTAATAGCTGACTGATACAAGATCATCATGCCCAAACAAATAATTATAGCTAACATGTATATCATTCTTTCTACGCTTTCCGTAGGCCAGGCCCTGTTGTAAGTGCTTTCATGTTAACTCATTTACCCCTTATAACAACATTATGGGGTGGGTTTTTATTATCCCCATCTTACAGGTGAAGAAACAGATGTACAGAGAGATTACACAACTTTCTTGAGTGGTTCTATGATGTGTGGATGAGTTTGAAGTTGATTTTAATGCATTGTCTATTCAATCACCATTCCATGTAGTCCTTACTACATAGAGTATTCATTTGTTCACTTTGTTTCTAAGAGGTGGTTTGCCAAATAGTCCATAACTTTGGGGCGAGAGATAGTTTTTAAAAAACTACTATTAAAATGTTCAAAAATGCATATTTGGAAGAAAAACTGCTGTACACTTACACTTAAGTACATTGTATGAAATTAATCATTTGTTGAGTACAGCAGTCAAAATAAAGTACTCAACTATCTATTAAGTGGAAGCAATCCATTAAGGTTGTGTTTATTCTGACATCTCAATATGTAATGGAACTTCCATGAGTCTCAGTGAGAGTGTTTTTGTAGTGTTTACTTTGCATAAACTTCATCTTCTTGCACAATTTTTTGGCTATGCTCTAGGGAATCACATGATCATGAACTAAACCCTCTTACGTTATGCAAGCTTTTTTTCTACTCAGAATTGATGCTTAGCCCTACTTGGGTCATTTTTTTTTCCTAATTGTCAAATAGTAGAGGTTAAAATACACACAAGCTCCAAGATTCTCTAAAAGAATTTAGAAAAAGAAACTCTGCAGTTTAAAGGATATTTTAGAGGGTGGAGGAACAAAATTAAGGATAAGTAAATCTATTAACAAAACAAATCAGCATTAAGAAAATTACCTAACATGGATATATTCAGTGCATGTAATTTTCTTGTACTACCTCTTTTTGCAGTTAAAAGGAGAATAAACCATATAGGCAAACTGACAATTAAATAAGTATATCAACATTCAAAGAATTTGCAACAGATACCAAAAATAATGTAGTTTGATGTACAGTTTTTTAGTATTGCTTTCCCAAGTTTGTTACTACTGCTCTCATATGCGACATTTATTAAAAACATGGTAACCAGAGAAAGGAAAACTTACCTACTAAGCAAAGGGAAATTTATAAGATGAAGAGGGCTGAATTATTTCTTTCATGGGGACTGCAGAATTATTTCCAAATGTCTTTTGTGCTAGATATTCTCTCTTTGCCCCTCCAGAGACACCATCCTCTCCCCTTCCTTCCCCATCAGGCTCTGTGCCCCAGGACGCTGCCCTCCATGGGCTACATCTATAAACCCTCTTGCCTCTCCCAGCCCCTGCCCCTACTCCCTGCCAGGCTAAGAGTTGACAGTGGCCAGTCCAGAAACCCTCTTCTCCGCTTTCCCTCTGGGTTCCCATAACTGCTCCCTCCCCTTGTCTCCTCAGTCGAAGGGTGGGGAAATCTCACCCTTTTTGCTAGCTTCAGGTGCTTCACTGTCCCATCCCTCTTTCCCCAATTCTGCCCACAACCTTCATTAAATTTTTCTCAATCACTCCATTTGAGCAACACAGAACCTGCCATCAGCTATCTTCATTCCTTTTAACATCCTGTCCTAGTAACTTCCATATGGTTTTCTGAGTCTTGACATCATAGCATCAGAGAGACAATAACTGATAAGAGTTCAGGCTCTGGCCTCCCACAGACCTGGGTTTGAATCCCAGCTCTGCTATTTATCAGCCGTGTAAACTTGGATAAGTAAGTTACCTCTCTGAGCCTCAGTTTCCTCATCTATAAAGGAGCATAAAATACCCTCTTGATTTGTTTCAAAGATTAAATGCGATTATGCACATAAAGCATTTAGTACAGTGTTTAGCAACAAGGTTGTTGTAGCTATCAACACTATTATCATCAGGGCTTTAGAGACGGCAGGCTTGCCGATGTCCTTATACCTGTTTGGAAATGTACGAGGTGCTGGTGTTCATACAGATAAGGCTCTCTTCATTGCAACAGCCACCACATCGGAACACGTTCACACAAGGGGGCTTGAAGAATGTGTTGGTACTCTTCCCCAGCTCACTGGCCACCTCCACGCACGTTTCTCTAGGGCTGCACTGAGTTCTTTGCCATTCTTCATCTATAACTGCAGAGAGAAAGAAAGCTCACTGGGGCTAGCAGGTGGAATGGTCCTGGTGTGCCAACATGTGCCAGGGTTATGCTGAACACAGTCATTTTCACATTTCTACTGCTTGTTTCTTTTACTAGATGGATATTTTTTGTCAGTCCTTTAACCAAAGATTGTTTGCAGAGAAGTTACAACCAATCTCTGTGCTCTTTCCCATTTATACCATACCTTGTAGAATATAAGTATTTTATTTCCCTTTGAGGTAGAACACCATGTCCTGTACATAATTACACTGAATACATCTGGAGAAGCTGGTTAATAGGGAAGTAAATAGAAGCGTGTAAAGAAATAACATGTAAATATTATTTATCAAGCAATTTATAGGATACAGCTGGATAGCATTTCTTCTGCTTTAAAGCCAGGTGTAGGTAGGTTTTAGCATCATCAAGAAATATGTTTCTGTTGGTTGCTTAAGTAACTACAGTAGGATTTAAACTTGGCAAACGCATAAATGGAAATTGAAGTGAAACTAATCCTTACTCAAATCAGAGTTTTCTCATTTGCAAGTGCCCGATACTGATATTTATGTAAATGATGAAATAAGCCTGTTCTTATTACTGGAATGAGCAATCCTTTGACCATAGTTAATTTGAAGGTAACAAAAAAAGAAGCCTATGGGAATAAAAAAATTATATACTTTCTTGTAAAACAGTACTTGCTTTTCTCTCATAATTTATTTTTTAAATTAGATTTTGACCCTTTGATACTTAATGCTGCATAGCCTTTCTACAGGTGTTTTGGGGGAAAGATTCAATTTTATGATAAAGACAACACAAAGACTTCCTTGTAGCTTGCCATGGAACTGTAGAGTTTATTTATTATGTGTGGGGTTGTGGTGCTGGTGAAAATCTCTTGTGGTAGGCAGCTTTGAAACTAACCCCCAGTGGTCCCCATCTCCTGATAGTCATGCCCTTGTGTAAATGCCTTCCCCTCGTGTGTGAGCTGAACCTAGTAACTTGCTTCTTATGAAGAGAATACAGCAAAAGTGATGGGATACCACTTCCATGATGAAGTTAAAAAAGATTGCAGTCTTGTTTCTACTTATTGCAAGCTCCCTTCTTTCTTACTCTGTCTCACTTTCTCACACACACTCTCTCTCTCTCTCTCCTCCTTCTCCACTTGCAGGCTTTTTTTTTTTTTTTTTTTTTTAGCTTATTTTACTTTAAGTTCTGGGATACATGTGCAGAACGTGCAGGTTTGTTACACAGGTATGCATGTGCCACGGTGGTTTGCTGCACCCGTCAACCCGTCATCTAGGTTTCAAGCCCCGCATGCATTAGGTATTTGTCCTAATGCTCTCCCTCCCTTTGCCCCCCACCCACCAACAGGCCCTGGTTTGTGATGTTCCCCTCCTTGTGTATATGTGTTCTCATTGTTCAACTCCCACTTATGAGTGAGAACATGCGGTGTTTGGTTTTCAGTTCTTGTGTTAGTTTGCCGCCATGTTAGAAAGGTCCACACGACAAGGAACTTGAGGCAGCCTCTGGCCAATAGCCAGCGAGGAACTAAGACCCTCAGTCCAACAGCCTGTGAGGAATTGAGTCCTGCAAACAACAGCTGACTGAACTTGAAAGCACACTCTGCTTCAGCTGTGCCCTAAGATGCCTGCAGCCCAAGCCAACATCTTAACTGCAGCCTCCAGAGACATCTGAAGCAGAAAAACTGATCTAGGCCATGTCAGCATTTCTGGCCCACAGAAACTGAGATAAATATTGTTTTAAGTAGCTAAGTTTTGTGGTAATGTGTTATGCAACAATAGGCAAACTCTCCTTTATTTTTACTGCATTTTCAAGAACTCTCCTGAGATTATCCTGAATTCCCATATAGGGGAATAGAAGGAATAGAGAAAACGTCTGCTTGAAGTATACTGATACAATATTACCATTTGAGATGTGACCCTAGTCCCTAAATTATTCCCTTATAACATCTTCTCCATTCCTTTCTCCTTTTTCATCCCTTAATACCAATTTTTTTCATATGTTGCTTCTTCAATCACTGAAAACATAATATGAGTTGTCTGGAGCACTGCATTATACTACACAGTCTACCTAAACTTTGTTTTTTTTTATTTTTTTCCTCATAATAAAACATTCTATCCTGAGAAACTTTTTTTTTTTTTTTTGAGACGGGGTCTCACTCTGTTGCCAGGCTGGAGTGCAGCGGCGCGATCTCGGCTCACTGCAACCTCCACCTCCTGGGTTCAAGCGATTCTCCTGCCTCAGCCTCCCAAGTAGCTGGGATTACAGGTATGCGCCACCATGCCCAGCTAATTTTTGTATTTTTAGTAGAGACGGAGTTTCACCATGTTGGCCAGGCTGGTCTTGATCTCTTAACCTTGTGATCCGCCCACCTCAGCCTCCCAAAGTGCTGGGATTAAAGGCGTGAGCCACTGTGCCCAGCCCCCAAGAAACCTTTTTAAAAATTTCTGATTATTAATATTTATATAAAAAGCCTGAAGGCTGAACACATGAGAGATAAATTACTCAATTAAGTATTATTATGGTTATTATTTAATTCACTATAATTAATCATGAATCCTTGAAAAAACAAGAAACCAACCTATGAAAATATTCCCAATTTAAAATTCTACTTAAAGGTTGCTTTCCATTTGCTTTTTCTCTTTTTATAAAACTAAGTTTTGAAATTGGAGTGGTAAGCTTTTAATCAAAATCATATGCAATTATGACCAACATCACTGATTAAAGGCTTCATAACTCTACTATTCTTTACTGCTTCCCAGCAGGACTGCTCTGCCTCAGGAAATTACCTTGAAATCCACAAGGGAGAGTTGATAACAAATTCTAATTGGTGTAACATGCTGATTTCATTATTGACTGCTTCTAACTTAGTAAATAACTTCAGATGATCCCCTAGAAATTACGAGATAAATTCATAGGGTTTGCAAATTCCGTGATATTTTAATGGTTTTCTCCTTAGAAAATGTCAATGTCATTGACTTTTTTTAGATCACCTAGTCTTGGTTTTATGGTAACGTTCATGTTCATGAAATAGCTCCAGGTTCACCTCAGGCCTTCAGTCAGGTAATCTGGTTAAGGCCTTTGACCTCTAGATGAGGTGCCAACCCTTTGTTCTCATGAAGGCTATATTAATTCACCACATAGAAACATCTAGAGCTTCAAATTTCTGTCTGAAGTGAGCTCGAGGCTATGGTTCCTACCACATCAACTCACTTAGACACACAGTCATACACATGAACACTAAGAATCCTCTTCACACTCATGCCCAAGGTGCTACCAAAGAATATGTCCCCATCTATGCACAGCTCTCCCCACAGCCAACAACAGAGGTCTGTGCAACCCCAACATCTTTTTACAAATGGGAAAAAACAAATACAATTTTAGGTAGAAAGAAAAAAATAGTTTTGGCCTAGTGGTTAATTTGAATTATGCTATATATATAGTCAGTTACCAGGTAATCATGTTAATCAAATCTAGAATGCTAGATCAGCAATGCTGTAGCAGCTTCTTGTGTTGTTTTGACATGACATCAAAAAATTAAGTGCCTAATCAGAAACCACAGAACTTTACTTGACAAGCATTTTATTCATTATGACAGTACCTACTCACACTGGTTTTCTTTCTTTCTTTCTTTGTTTTTTTGTTTTGTTTTGTTTTGTTTTTTTGTTTTTTAAGATGGAGTTTCACTCTTGTTGCCCAGGTTGGAGTGCAATGGTGCAATCTTGGCTCACTGCAACCTCCGCCTCCTGGGTTCAAGTGATTCTCCTGCCTCAGCCTCCCAAGTAGTTGGGATTACAGGCATGCACCGCCATGCCTGGCTAATTTTGTATTTTTAGTAGAGATGGGTTTTCACCATGTTGGTCAGGCTGGTCTCGAACTCCTGACCTCAGGTGATCCACCTGCCTCAACCTCCCAAAGTGCTGGGATTACAGGTGTCATCCACCACACCTGGCCTGATTTTCTTTTAAAGAATCTTCATACGTTACTAGGGAACGATCATTATCCTTATTTCAAATTATGTTATTTTCTAGTCTGGAGTTTTGATCATTTTGTCTTGAGAATTTTCTCCCTTCATTATTCTCCTAGCAATACCAGTACCCAATATTACAACTCAGTGTCTAACTTTTACTTTTCACTTTTACTAAAAAATCACACAACTTTGCAGAAATAAAAAAAAAAGCTATACCTAATCTATTGGTTCGGGGAGGGGGTGGTTTTTTTGAGACAGGATCTTGCTCTGTTGCCCAGGCTGGAGTGCAGTAGCATGATCATGGCTCACTGCAGCCTCGACCTCCTGGGCTCAGCCGATCCTCCCACCTCAGCCTCCCAAGTAGCTGGGAATACAGGCACGTACCACAATGTTCAGCTATTTTTTTCTATTTTTTTGTAGAGATGGGGTCTCGTCATGTTGCCCAGGCTGGTTTCAAACTCCTGGGCTCAAGCGATCTGCCGTTCTTGGCCTCCCAAAGTGCTGGGATTACAGGCATGAGCCACCATGCCTGGCCATCTTTGGTTTTTGTCTATGTATGTATGGCAGTAGAATACTCCTTGTGGATGAATCCCCAGGTTTTATTTTCTAAGTAAACCTGATGATTGTTTTTCTATTGAGAACAATAGTCTTCCTGGGTTTTCTTTGCCCCCACATCCTTGAGTTAAATTTATTTCTATATTTTGAGATGTTCTTTTGTGTTTTTTATCTCAAAATCATATTGAATATATTTCTCTGTGAAGTAAACATTAAAAAATCAAGATTCTGCACTAATACTGGAAATCAAAGACCGACTTTCATTCTCCCTCTGACACGTGTCTGCCCTACGCAGACTTTTGGAGAAAGTAAGTGTGTTTGTCACTATCTAATAAAGAGAAAGAATTTGTCTCCACATCCACACACCTACCTTTTAGTGTTTCAATGTCATAGAAAGTTGCCGCAAACCTAGTGGACCGATGGGATGCTGAGCGAGAGTCCATACTGGTAAAACTTTTGAGCCTCAGCCTGCATCTCCACAGCTTCCAGTCCTCAGAGTGAGTAATTCGAAGTAGTTCCTCCAAACTAGAAGCAGCCCTGATCTGCTGTTCAGATCGTTCCAATGTGGACTGAGATGATCGCTTAAAAAAACAAAAATACCAGTTTAAAAACAAGTTACTAAATTTTAAATTTGTCATAATAATCTTCATTTCTGACACTTAGAAGTGTAAATACATCTGTAATTAGAGATACTATTGAAACGTATGCCAGTGCCTAGGAAAAAGGATATCTTCTAGTATTTTTGGTTTACATTCTGCTCATTTTTGATTGAATCAGAGGATTTACTTATTCTTCCTGGGTTCTCAGAACACTTACAAAGAAAATTGTAGTGCATTGAATGGTGGGCCTCAAAATGATATGTCCACATCCTAACCCACAGAACCTGTGAACATTACCTTAATTTGGACAAAGGATCTGTACAGATGTAATGAAGTTAAGGATCTTAAAATGAGATCCTCCTGGATTATCTATGTGGACCCTAAATACTGTACAATGACAAGTGTCCTTATAAGAGACAGAAGAGAAGACAGGGACACAGAGGAAGGTCATTTGAAGATGGGGGCAGAGACCGGAGTGATGCAGTGACAAGCGGGGGATTGCCTAGAGCCATCAGAAGCTGGATGAAGCAAGAAAAGATTCTCTCCAAGAGTGTTTTGAGGGCGTGCAGCCTTGCTGACCCTTCCATTTTGGAATTCTGGACTCTGGAGCTGTGAGAAAATACATTTCTGTTATTTTAAGCCACCAAGTTTGTGATAATTAGTTATGGCAGCCATAGGAAACGAAAAGATGTTTATCATATTATTTTTGTGACAGTAGCTACTGACAGTTGTTTTCATCTCTGTTATTTGTTTGAGAAATTGATCCACAAAGGCCTGGGTAACCTGACTACAGTCACAAAAAAAAGATATCAAGCCCCTGATAACCTGAATTTTCTTACTTCTAACTCTCTTTGTTTTCTTTTAAAACCTACTATTTCAAAAACATGATTTTTTTCTGACAAAATACTTTTCTGGGGTTTTACGCTCTAGAAGTATAAGAGTTTAATATTCTTATGGAGCTATCAAATACTCTTCTAGAGTTTGCTTTCCATACAGTTGCATGAACTGTATTGGCGGATACAGTGCAACTGTATTGGATGGGTTTGTAAGAAAAAAAAGACTTGGTAGATAAAAGATTTTCAGTATGTAGCCTCTTGTTCAAAATTGGGGGCTTAGTTATATAAATAATGATATATGCATACAATGAATTCTATGTGATCATCAAAACAAAGGATGTAGAGGTATATTGGGACAGAACGAATTGAGATCCTTCCTGGAATGTGCTGGAGAAATGATAAGGTGATCTATCTATGGCTAGGGCCTCCGATTTTCTCTTGCTGACCCGGTAGTTACTAGATGTTTGTTTTGCTGGGTGGTTGGAATATGCAGGCTGAGGCCATTTGTAGAGCTGGGATGAGGGAGGAGGCAAAGGACCAGTGCTGAGAGAGGAGGGTGGAAGGGAAAGGTGAATGTCAGCTGCCTGCTGCAGGGCGAGGAACAGTGAAGGAAAACAAAGATGAGCAAAAGGGGCTGTTAAAAGGCTTTGCATTGGGTAGTGTGATGTACACTCTCCTCCACTGAGCCTCAAAAGCTGTAGTTAAAATCTACATCATGCATTAGCATTTTAGGAGGAGAAATTTTTTTTAGACATGCTAGTGGACACTGAGAGTTGTCCAAAAATGGGTACTCAGAAGAGCAAGTGTGGTCTAAGTCATGTGTGATTCAGCTATGATATAACCTCTTTTAAAATTACTTATGTATTTTTACTTATGCACTTATGTACATCATATATACATACTTATATGGATATATGAGGAACATCTGGAGACATATACATGAAAATGTAAACAAAGGTTATTCTTTATTTATTTTCGAGACCGAGTCTGGCTCTGTCATCCAGGCTGGAGTGCAGTGGCACCATCTCCGCTCACTGCAACCTCAGCCTCCCAGGTTCAAGCGATTCTCCTGCCTCAGCCTCCTAAGTAGCTGGGACTACAGGAGCCTGCCACCATGCCCGGCTAATTTTTGTACTTTTAGTAGAGATGGGGTTTCGCCATGTTGCGCAGGCTGGTCTTGAACTCCTGGGCTCAAGTGATCTGCTCGCCTTGGCCGCCCAAAGTGTTGTGATTACAGACATGAGCCGCTGCGCCTGGCCAACAATGGTTATTCTTTAGATCAAGAGCTGTCAAACTATGACCTCCCAGCCTAATTTAGCCTGCTGCCTGCCTGTTTTTGTAAATCAAGTTGTATTGACACACAGCCATGTCCATTCATTTACTTATTGTCTACGGCTGCTTTCATACTACAAAAGCAGAGTTGAGAATTTGAGACAGAGACCTTCATGGCAGTTTCAATCTGAGGCCACTTGTCTTTTTTATTCTCAATTCTTTAATATTCTCAGCCATTATCATTTTCATTATTCCACCTATAATATTGCCTCTACTCTCTTTTTTGAAAAATGTTGGAGGCTTTTAATCATCTTACATGTCTCTTAAATGTGCTTTTATATTTAGCTATTTTTTCCTCTTCACCTCTCTCTAATGTGTTATGGGTAAATTAATTGGTTCATCTTTCCAATCACCAACTCTCCAATTGTTGTGAGTCTAGAGTTTACTTTGTTAAGGTTTTAATTTCAATCACCGTATTTCTAATTTCAAGCATTTCTACTTCATTCTTCTTCCTATCTACTTTCTGTTACATTTCTGTATATTCTTCCTAGTTTGTTTGTTTGTTTGTTTGTTTGTTTTGAGACCCAGTCTCATTCTGTTGCCCAGGCTAGAGTGCAGTGGCGCGATCTCGGCTCACTGCAAGCTCCACCTCCCGGGTTCACGCCATTCTCCCTCCTCAGCCTCCTGAGTAGCTGGGACTACAGGCGCCCACCACCACGCCCGGCTAATTTTGTTTTTGTATTTTTATTAGAGACAGGGTTTCACCGTGTTAGCCAGGATGGTCTCGATCTCCTGACTTTGTGATCCACCCACCTCGGCCTCCCACAGTGCTGGGATTACAGGCGTGAGCCACTGCGCCCTGCCCCTAGTTTGTCATTTCAATTTTATGAATATTATTTCTTTATCTCTTTGAGGGTTGCAAATATTTTTAAGTATTTCTTCAAATTATTTTAGATTTTAACTTTATAGGTATGACATATACTGATTATTCATTTTGTTGCTGTCATTCTTAGTAATAATTATATTAACGTGATTTGGAATTTTGGTTAGTAGTTCCATTTTCATTCAGAGATTCATTTTTCTTTCTCATTATTCTTTCTCCAACATTTAGAAGTTTTATGGTTGTACCCCATAATACCCTGGGTCCTGAATCCGAATCTTGTTGAGTATTTATGATTCAGGGATCAGCTCAGCTCACGTCCTAGTTGCAAGGAAGTATCTGCTTCCTCCTTTGCCCCGTTAAGTAATTTCATAGAAGTCACAGCTCCAGGCAGCAATGAGCAGTAACTCTTCCTTCCTCTTTCATGGATCTGATGTAGTGCACTAAAAGAGCCGATTTCCAACTGAAGCTAAATTTTTGATGGCCCCTGTCTTCTAGCCCAGATCCATAAGTCCTGCAGCTTCAGCTTCATGGCTTTAGTGCCATTTCTGTAAATGATTGTCATCTGCAGATGTTTGCCATCATTCAATCAATTTTATATTCTGTGGACTAAGAACGATCTGAAAATATGAATCTACAAGGTTATCGCACTTGGGAATCCAGATGTGAGTGTGTGTCTGTGGGTGCATGTTTTTAATAAAAGCGGGAGAATTATAAGCTGGGGGAAAGAGGCAACAGACAGGAAGAAAGAAAAAGCATATGCAGGAGAGCTAAGGCAGGACCTAGAGGGGTTGTTTTGACATAAGTGCCAGAGATAAGTGGATGTAGTGTGACTAGATGAGAGGATCACTGTCAGAAACAAGAGGAAAATACAGAATGACATGGGTTTGTAGATGGCAAGACTGCCTGGGAAGCTCAGTGAGCTCATACCTGTGATTTCTCACTTTTCGATAAAGTTTGAATCAAGGCAAAATTGTGGGAGTGAGAGGAGTGGGGAGCATGAGGATCATAGATCGGGTTTGTGAAATTGGCTTGCCACAGCTTCTTCATCTAAGAAATCTGGAGATGAAACTGAACAATTGCTAATGTCTCTGGCAGCTTTGAAATTCAATGCTTCTCCATTAAGTCTTATTTGTCAATAGTCTCTCTTTTCCTGATTATTCATTCTCTTCTAGTTGGACAGTACTCCATATACAATTCAGTCTTCAAAATAAAACTTTGTGACAATGCTGCTTCCACGTGAAAATAATGAAACCAAGCAGCTTTTTAAAGATTTTAGAGTTGAAGCATATTGAAAGGATTTTTATGTATTGAGGCAAATTTCACTCAATATTATCCAAAAATACAAGGCCAGGCATGGTGGCTTACACTTGTAATCCCAGCACTTTGGGAAGCCGAGGTGGGAGGATTGCCTGAGCCCAAGAGTTCAAGATCAGACTGGAAACATGGTGAGACCCTGTCTCTACTAAAAATACAAAAATTAGCCAGACATGCTGGTGCATGCCTGTACTCCCAGCTACTCAGGAGACTGAGGTGGGAGAATCACCTGAGCCTGGGGAGGTCAAGGTTGCAGTGAGCCATGATCTCGCCACTTGCACTCCAGCCTGGGCAATGGAGCACGATCTTGAAAAAGAAAGAAAGAAAGAAAGAAAGAAAAAGAAAAAGAAAGAAAGAAAGAAAGAAAGAAAGAAAGAAAGAAAGAAAGGAAAGAAGAAAGAAAGAAAGAAGAAAGAAAGGAAAGAAAGAAAGAAAGAAAGAAAAGAAAGAAAGAAAGAAAAGAAGGAAAGAAAGAAAGGAGAGAAAGAGAAAGAAAGAAAGGAGAGAAAGAGAAAGAAAGAAAGAAAAGAAAGGAGAGAAAGAGAAAGAAAGAAAACAGGCAGATGTATGGTTTTATTATAGTTCTTACAGGATTCAATTCAATCTTAGAAATATTTTTAAACTATCCAACTGTGAGAACTCAGGAGAAAATATCAAATCTCTGGATTGAATTAAAGTAATTAAATGGCTCATACAACTTGCCTCATCATAAAAAATGCAGTGTTTACTCAAGTACTCAGAGTTATTTAAGCTTACTTTCAACCCCAGAATTTAAAACCTAGTTTGAAATAACAGAAATTGCAGACAGTCATTTTGCTATTTTAAGTGGAAGTACTAACAATTAAACTTAAGTAGAAACCTGACAAGTAATTCATCAAGGGCATACATTTTCAAAGGGTTCAAGAATGGTTGTTTGTTCCCAATCGGCTTTCTGCACTGGTTGATTTTTGTATAATGAACTTTATGTTATCCACTTGGGTAAGACAAAAATAACAATTAAAAATGTGTTTATCCCAAATACATACTTAAACCATTGATTTCAGTGGTTTTAATTACTAAACCTTTGCCAAGTAAATTGCTCCTAATTTCTTCCTATTTTCTGATGGAAGTGCTAATCAAAATCAAAATAATTAAAAGGTTTTCATCAAGAGGAAGAAAGTGAATGAAGCAGGGTTACCAGATCTCTGCTTTTTATTACAGCGGCAGCTTTTTTATGGTAATTAATTCAAGACTACTAGCAATTTCACTCTTAAATAACAAATCATTCTCTAATTTCTTGGCTACCACAAGCCAGCTTCTAAATTGGGAGGCTTAAAGTCTTTTTAATAAGACTTCACCATCATTTGAATGTATGCTCCTTTCTGTGGTACAATTTCAAGGGTAGTCATTTCCCCTTTTGCTAATTTCTAAGTTCACACAGCATTCTCCCCTGAGGAAGCATGAGCATCTCCATAGCTTCCTAAGTATTAATTTAGGTCACGGGTGACCAAGATGGCAGGCAAGATATTTGGAAAGGTATAGTGGTGGGGTTTGTAGGAGAAACTTGGAAGTGTCCCACGTTGTGAGGAAGTCAACGGCCTTCTGTACTCCTACCAATTTCATCTCTCAATTTCCAGCCCCTCTCCTTCACCAAAAATACATATCCAGTCAAGTAACACATTCAAAGAATGAAGAAAGGCATAATTTGGGGATATCAACGAGCCTCAGGGGAAAAAAAAAACAGCAAGGGGTTCACTTTGGTTGGGCATAGAGCAAGTTTAGAAGTGGGGAATCTGGCAAATAAGTTAGGAAGAGGGGCTGGTGAAATGAGATACCACTTCACACCCAGTAGAATGGCTATAAACAAAAGGACTGACAATACCAAGTGTTGTAATGGATATGGAGCAACAGGAACCCTCACACAAGGCTGATGAAACTGTAAAATTGTATTGTTGCTTTGGAAAAGAGTTCAGCAGTTCTCTAATAAGCTAAATTTATTATACAACCAACTAATTCCAATCCTAAGTTTCCAGCCCCTAGAGACAGAAAATAGATTATTGGCTGCCTGAGGCTGGGAGTGAGAATGGAGGGTTCATTGCAAAGGGACATAACGGACCTTATATGGATGATAGCTATACAACTCAGTAAATTTCCTAATATACTTGAATGAAATTTTATAGTATGTAAATTCTATATTAATATAGTTGTATAAAATTTTTAAAAAGAGGAAGGACTGGAGGCATGAAGACCAGGCTACTTTGATCCAATTTGGGAGGCAATGAAAAATGTTGCATAGTTGAACAATGGAATATTATTGGACATCCATTTTATCAACTTGCTCTTTCGTTCATTTCTTCTTGTTTTGACCTTAGTCCATGCTGTTTCCTTTGCCTGGAATGCCATTCACTCTTTGTCTAACTAAATCTTTCTCAGCTTAGATGTTACCTACTCAGGGAAACCTCCTCCATAACTCCCACCCCTGCCTAGGTCTGGTCCGTCACATGGATTTCTAGCACCCCATCCTTGTCCTTCACAACGCTACCAGTAACACTAATGAATTGTGTCATTTCTTGTTATCTGCTTGTCTTCCCCACTAGGTTGTAAAAACCACCTGAGCAGTAATGGTATCTGTCTTATAGCAATAGTAAGAGCTGAATAAATATTTATTAAATGTATGAATAAACAACTTGATTCACCAAAAGCTATAGAAAAAGTAACCCTGAGATTATTCGTGTATTCAAAACTACATCACTACATCACTTGTCTTTTGAATATCTTCTTTCAGTTCTCATTCCAGGTCCAAAATAAATGCCACTTCTTCCATCAAGCATTTTATGAAGTCCCTAACTTAGACTATATTATTTATGAACACATTGTATTTCCCTTCCTAGACTGAGATCTCTTTGAGGGTAGGATATGTGTCAGATTCATCTTTTTAAAGTAATAAGCACGTAATACATATCTGATGAAGGAATTTATAAGTAATAAATACATACATGTATCTGACAAATAGCAATTGGGCCCAGGTTTGTGTGGTCTGTTGCATATTTTATATGTAGTACTGCCTCTCAAAACTTAATGTGCATACCTGGGGATCTTGTTAAAATGCAGATTCTGACGCAGTGGGTTTGGGGCAAGACAGGATGCTGCATTTCTTTTTCTTTTTTCTTTCTTTCTTTTTTTTTTGGCTGAGTACAGGGAACTTTATTGGTGGTACATGACAAAGTGGGGCTCCCTAGGCCCTTCCCTCTTCAGGGGGTCTGCATGGAAATTGTGAGGAGAGGAGATCCTCAGTGTGGTGGGGACTGAGCGTGGCAGGGATTCCCAAGCAGCTGAGGGCCTCTCTCTTTCTCTCGTGCTCTCACTGGGGCTGATGGTCCTGGGGTGTTACTCCTTGGAGGCCATGTGGACCATGAGGTCCACCACCCTGTTGCTGTAGCCAGATTCATTGTCATACCAGGAAATGAGTTTGACAAAGTGGGGTCTAACAAGTTCCCAGGTGATGGCAATACTGTTGATTGGCTGACTGCACTTTGAGAAGGGTTTAAAGCAGGGGTTCACACTGTTAATTTTAAAGCTAGCAATCTATAAAGTGCACCAGGTTAACTTGAATAAAAACACTATCACAGCCAGGTTTGCCAGTTTGCAGAAACTATCTAACTCTTCTCTCTCACATCAACATTTGTAAAATTAATGTTATAGTGGAAAATAACATGCAGGTTAAACAAGAAAATTTTTATCTTTTTTTCAAGAATATAGCTGGCAATCTTTAAGAAAGATGATATATCCTAAATAGTTTTGCAAGTAATTTTCTTTTTTCTTTCTAGCATTTGATGTCTAGATAATTTTGGACATCTTTTTATTAGACCATGTTTCTGTCTTAATCTTAAACCTGATAACACTTGATTTGCCTTCTATAACCTATTTATTTCAAGCATTCATATTTGAATTTCTTTGGGAAGAAAGTAAATCTGATGGCTCACTGATTTTTGAAAAGCCTGAATAAAATTGGAAAGGACAGAAAGTTAGGAGAACTGACTAGATAAACTGCTACAGTATGAAATTGGTATTACAGGAGGGAAAAGTAAAATTATTCATTACCCAAAACTGACTTCTTACAGCTAGTGCATTGTGCTCATTCCAAATTCAGCAGCAGTTCTATCAGTAGCGCCATTGAACCTGGGTATATTTATGATTTCTTTCAACGTTAAAAAGAAACATAGTGTTGCTCTTTTTCTTAAAGCATCAGTGAAATTATGGAAAATTACTTAAAAAATGAATACATCATAACAGTAAAATTTATTATGAGAGCACGTAGTATGTATCTGTAGCCCTAACACACGGGATGAACATTTTACTACTACCCAGATTTGTGTTGAACGAAAACATCGTGTATTGGAAAGGAGAATTCAACAATTAACTGTTGAAATTGTGAGATTGATGCTTAAAAAGATTTACACCTATTTACAATTTGGGGACAAAAAGGCAGGCTTCATTTTTCATATGTTTGATGAAAACTGGCTTAAGATATTTGTAAATAGAATCAAGAGCAAAACTGCAGAAACTTGCACATTGGAAAGCGCAACAAGTTCCTGTGATTGCAGTAAAAATATTTACTATTCTAAAAAAATGAGAATTGAAGACTTAGCCAGTCAGATGAGGTTTTTCATGAACCCATTGTGGAAATTATTGGATTAACTGAGCCAAAGTGGTTATGCGTTCTCCATCTATTTAGTTAGCACTTTGTATCGTTATATACAATTTACAATACATGTATAACTTGTAGCTATAAACATTTTGTGCCATTAAAGCTCTCACAAAAAAAAAAATAATAAAGCAGGCATTCAAAATCTTGGCTTCTTCTTGAATCTACCTGGGAATAAGCTTCAAAGAAATACTGATGCTCGAATCTTAAATCTCACAGATTCTCATTTTTTGGGTCTGGGCTGCAGCTTTGCCATCAGGATTTTTTAAAAAAAAACTTCCCAGGTGTTAGCCTTAGAGGAAGATAGGTGAGGGCTATATAGGAACTCTCTATATTGTCTCTCTACTACTAATTTAGGGCATGAGAAATGCTGTTTTTAAGTTACAAGACCCAGGTTAACTCCTGAACTTCATACAAGTCCACTAGTCTTCAAACAGTCGATGCATGCTCAGAAATAGTCTTAGTCTTTAAATCTATTTGATGTATACCTTGGGTTCAAAATATTTGTATGAGTATCTTGCTGACCTGGATTTGTAAATCCTTTTCCTATCTCAAGATACCTGACCATTTGCAGGTCAGCTCCCAACCTGTACGACTTTTTCAAGGTTGAAGATCAACAATATCGCTTTTCAGGCTAAATAGCATGATGAAGTTGGCTGCCTTATATGATGCCATCCTAAATGACAGACTAAATTGCCTCTCAAATTCCCCAAAAGCCAAACCAACCAATTTTTCAAAATAAAATTAAAGATAATAGGTACTGCTTTAACCTACTGAATTCAACAAAAAAGTACAAATTATAATCTTTTCAAAAGGCAACACTGAAAGGTATTTGAAAGAAGATATGAGAATATAAATATACATGCCAAGTGGAAGAGGCTTTGGTTTGGGAGTACCTAGCCGGTTCCAATGCTGGTTTTGAGCTGTAAGGCCATCAGCAAAGAAGGTTTAAGGGGGGACCCTGGCTACTTTTCTCAAAGAGCTTCAAAAAGCTTTTCTTGAGCCATTCCAATCCCATGCTATTAACAATCCTCTTGTTCTATATATATGGAAAAGGAGGCCAGCTTTGCTAGATTCATCCCTGGACCTCTAGAGAGCCATGGGTCTGAGACTATCCTTCCAAGGCTTTAAAAAGCTGTTGGTGCTATTTTCTTTGTCAAATTGTGTTGGCAATATGCCTTCAGGAAGCTTGGTGATAAAACGGTGTGATGAATAGAATTTGTATATTTAGAATACCCAGAAGCTTTAGGGTGAGTTATGGAAGGGACACATTTTACACAACTTTCCCTAGATTTGCTTAAAAATTTACAAGTGTTCCCTGGGGGGCGTGGTTCTCTTCTTACTCACCCTGGAGTTCAGGGACATTGCAGTCAGCAATTTCCCTTTGCAGTGGGTTTGGGGAGGTGGATTCGGTTGCAATACAAATAGTTCCATGTTCCCTCTACCTCTTAGCAGCTTCTTCTGTTTCACTGGAAGAGCATTTTGCATTTCCTGTTTAACCTGATGGTTCAAGCTCAACCAAAACCACCAAATTTTTCCTGGTTTTGGGGTCCAAGTAGCAATGTCTCACTCCACTCCCGGCCTTCCTCAGCAGATGTTCTCCCTCCCCCACCTGTCGAGGTATCTTCCCAGATCAAGTTAGATTGGTGAGTCTGAGCTGAAGGTTTGTGACTTTGCCTCCCATAGCTCTCAGTTGGAAATAACATTCCCCAAGATGAAGCTTTGCCTAATATAGTAAACCACTCTGTCGTCTGGAGAAACAGCTTACTGGAAAGAAAAAGCATAGATTTGAATTGTTCAAAACTGGCTTTGAATGGTATAACACTCTGGAAAATGTGTTTGCAGTTTCTTATAAACATATGCTCACCATATGACCCAACAGTCCTACTTCTGGGGATTTTACCCTTGATAAATGAAGCCTTATGTTCACATAAATACATGTACATGAATGTTTGTAGTAGCTTTATTCACAATAGCCAAAAAACTAGAAACAACTTATGTGTCATTCAATGGGTGAACGGTTCAGCAATCGATGTAATACTACTCAGCAATAAAAAGGAATGAACTACTGGGACACTGGTAGAATCTCAAAGGCAGTATGAGTGAAAGAAGCCAATCTCAAACTGCTACATACTGTATGATTCCATTTATATGACATTCCCAAAAAACCAAAATGACAGCGAACCAAAAATACAAAACGACAGTGAAGGAGAACAGATCAGTGATTGCCAGAGGTTGGGAGGCTGGGAGGAAGGTCTGACTGTAAAAGGATAACGTAAGTGAATTTTTGGGGGGTGATGGAATAGTTCCGTATCCTAATTATGGTTGTGGTTATATAAATCTATACATGTGTTAGAATTCATAGAACTACACACCAAAAGGGAAAAAATCCATTTTACTCTATAAGTTAAAAAAATAAGCTGTCTTTGAATCCAGGCACTACCTTTTCTTTTTCTTTTCTTTTTTTTTTTTTAGCTATTTGACTGAGGATATGGTATTTGACTTCCTTAAGGCTTGGTTTCCTCATTTATAAAGCAGCATTGTTAATAATAGGTCACCTCATAAAGCTCATGAAGAGATCATATGTGGTCATATGTAGGAAAGGGTCAGGTATATGGTAGGCACACAATAAATGTTGCATTCCTTTCTTTCCTTCCTCTTTCCTTTCTTTCCTGCCTCTTTCCTTTCTTTCCACACTTAGGTGTGTCCTATGTGTTGGGGTTTAGAAGTCTGTGTTTTAGGGCCCCTGATATTCCTTAGAAGCCGGACAGGTGAGCTTGAAAAGAGCAAGACACGGCAACTCCATAGTAAATAAACATTAAAAAATTTTTTAAAAGACAACTTTCCCAGTGTCAACCAAAGACAAACTTTTTCTCTCCACCTTGCCTCCATCTCCTTTTTAAAATGGTTCTAGGAGGTATTTTCAGATAGAAGATGAATTTTAAGGTATCTGCTCAGGCTTTAAATGTCTTTAGAAGTGTGTAAAGAAAAAAACAACCCACATTTTACATTTTGATGTTTTGTTATTACGGTCTGACTTTAACTAGAACAGATGACACCTGATGGTATAGGGTGTACTAACTAGGGCAGGGAGAACGCACACTTGCTAATAATTATTGCTGTAGCTATGGCTGCTGTGGCTGCTCAGATGGAACCTGCCAAGGGTCTGATCTTGCTTCTCTGAAATCCAGAAACCTGGCCATTTAAGGTTGGGGTGGGCTCATCTTTCATTTCAGAGGCCTCATGCTACCATTGGTGGTTCTGGTGGCTCTTTTCTTTATGCAATTCTATATTTAAATGAATATATATGAAATCCAAGTTGTTTAATTAAACTTAGACTGAGGAAAGGAACTACAAATGCAGGAAAAGAGTGTGTGTGTGAATGTATGTGTGTGTGCGTGTGCATTTGTGTGAGTGTGTGTGCATGGCTGTCTGGGTTTTTTAAGGACATACTAGGGGACTAAATGCCTGGGACCTCCACATCCTCCAATTTGATGAAGACTGCTTGTGGTTTTCTCCCAGCCAGATCATCTAGCACTGCGGGAGATGGCCATGCCCTGCCTTTATGTGTTTGAAATCTGTGCTCCACTCAAATGCCTCTGTTCTCACTTGACATAACTGTGCTTAGGATATGTGGGGGCAGATGGGTGTGGGATGGGCTTGAATGGCAAGACAACCCCAGACCCTCTAGAAGTATGCTCTGAATAACCCCAAGGGGTTTCTGAGGTCTGTTACAGTCTATCACTGATCTCCAAGATCAAGGGCCCAGTGTGCCACCCAAAGCCTTTATGGTGATTAGGCTATTGTTAAAAACATTTTCATTTCCACTCCTGACTCTCTGAGGGAGGGATATATTTCCCAGCCCTACTGACCAATAGGACATTACAAGACATGATGCAAGGAGAGGCTTGAAACTCACATATGATTGCACGTTTTTCTATTTCCACCATCATTGCAAGCACATGCTCCTGCTAGCCCACTGATCAAAGGAGGATGAGAGACACCTGGGGCTGACCTGCACCAAACCTAAGCCTTGAGCCTTAATCCTCTGACTCCCAGCTGACTTGGAGACATAAGTGAGAATAAGGTAGTGATGTTTTAAGCCACTGAAATTTGGACTGCTTTGTTACACAGCATTATTGTGGCAATAGCTAACTGCTACAGCCCTATTCCAGCTAAAGTATAGCATAATCCATTGGATGGGAAAAAGGATCCTTATGCAAAACTTTATTGTCCCTTCTACAAAGCAGCCTTGCTATGCCAGCGGCAGTCAGCCCAGAATACCCTCTTTCACATTTCTTCCCTAAGGATCTAGTGTCCCATATCAAAATCCACTTATCTCCTCTTCCTCTTCCTTATCAACATCCTCTGCACTCTCTAAGATGCCCAATCATCCCTAGTCTTGCTGTGACAATGTACTTATAAACGAAGCACACCATTGCAAAGTTGTTTTCACTTTTTCATTCCACTCTGTTCTTTTTGTGAGTTTCTTATTTAGGGTGTTTTTTTTAGCATATTCATTCAATCAAAATTACACTCTTTCTAACACTCTCCATAATGGAACAGTAAGTAACAGCAAGAATTTGCCATAGGGACATTCAACACATGTTATTTTCTCTTTCCAGAAGCAATGTTAGCCAAACCTAGATTTCAGGAAACCAATACTTATCTCCAATATGTGAGTGTTATAGTTACTTAGGAATACTCAGTGAATGACAAAAAGAGAATCAGCATAAAAATTTACATTACTAAAGTTTCAGGCATAAAATTATCCTTCCCACTGGCCAAGTTGAACTCCCTGACTGTTAGTAAGACATGCAAATACTTAAGACATCTTTATTTTATAAAAACATCATTTCCACTCATATGCCTGGCACATGGTAGACATTCCACAAATATTTACTGAGATGAATATGTGTCTTTCCTTTTCCCAGGGAGAAGATGCCTCCTGAGAAATAAACCTGTCTTCCTTCAGCACACGTTACCCCATTGACCAGCCATGGTTGTTTCCCATCTTCACTAAAGTTGTTCTGAATGTGGTAATGTGATTTCCTAAGCAAAGTATACGTTCTTCCGTGCATTAAAGGAGGCATGACACATGACAGAAATCAGTGAATTTTTTTTATTCCATCTCCTTCTACTCCTCCCAAGTTGTCTCAATACAATTCATTTTCCAGCACTGCTGTAAAATTGAGAATGTTTTTGACATTCTACAGTCAAAGGTGTGTTCAGAAGCACTTAGAAGTCACCAATGTGAAGAACTCACCATGTGTCACAGTCATTAATACGGTTTGTCAAATATTTCCATCTCTCTGCCTTCTGAGCGCATGGTGGGATTGCACTTCCTGGCCCTTTGTGGCTAGATGGGGCAGTGGGTCAAGGGGCTGCAACTAGAAGTAATATGTGTCACTTCTGGGCCAGAGAATTTAAGTGCCAGGGTGAGGCGCTCTCAGGCTCTCCCTCCCTCTGTCATAGTGATTCCTAACATTCAAGATCGGATACTCAGCCAGCTTCATCCCCATGTGGATTTGACCCCAGATGAACCAGGCTGGTCATGTGGTATAAGCAATAAATAAGTCTCTGTTGTTTATGAACCACCAAGATTTCGGGGGTGTTTGTTTTCACAGCATATCCTGGCCTAACCTGATAAAGTATCTGACCAGAGTATTTTGCCATAATTTACCATGATTTTACAAACAACCTAACATAAAATGAAAGCATAGGTAGCATTTCTAAGGCTCTCAGGGATGAAGGAAAACATCAAGATGTTGAAGTTTTGTCCAGACCCCTGTGCAGCCAAATGCTACTTTGCTCATCTCTCTTTCTGTTACCAACAGGCTGGAATAATGGGCTCAGATGACTTCCTTCTATACCTCTGGCTCCTAAAAGGGAACGCCTTATAGGATGGCTTGTGCCTGGAAGGACAGTGGAGAAGTCTTTGATACATCCACACAAACCCTATCCTATGCCCACAGGAAAATAGCACAGGGTGAATATACTGCCTTAAAAATGCTTTAGAATTTTTTTTAAATCATGAAGTCAGACAAGCCATCATGAGAGTAGATGTTGGAGATGATTTAATGCAGTAGTTCATATCCTGATCCTGGGTATCTAAAAATCCTGAGGTCTAGTCCATCAATCAGTCAACAAATACTGTTTTTAGTATCTACTCTATTACATACAGGCTTTTCACTGGTGATTGGGATGCTGCAGTAAACAAGACAATTAAGAGCTCCTTTTCTCAAAAAACTTGTATTCTAGTAGACGGTGACAAAGCAATAAATGTATACACAGGCAAATAAAACATGTCAGGTATGGATGTGTACCATGATGAAGATAAAACAGTGTAATAATTTATATATAACACAATTGCCAAACTATGACCCATGGGCCAAATCTAACCTGCAGCCTGTTTTTGTATGGCCTGTTAGCTAAGAACAATTTTTTACATTTTCCAATGGTTGAAACAATTTTTTTTTTAATTTCATGATGCAGGAAAATTACATAAAATTCAATTTTTAGTGTCCATAAAGTTTTATGGGAGCACAGTCACACCTTACATGATCTTCTCTGGCTACTTCTCCAACCTCAACAACTGCACTTCTGGCCTCCACTCACCCCACCTCCAGCTGCACCGGCTCCCTGGCTAATACCCAGACATCGAAGCCAACTTGCTGCGCCCACCATGGCCACTGCACTGATGGTTGCCTCTGTCTCTCTTATTACCTTCAGGACTCTGTAGAGACATAACTGAATCAGAAAGGTCTCCTCTGATTTATTCAGTACTGTATCCGCTCCCCCTACTTGATTTTCTTCATAGCATTTATCACACCTGACATGTTACACATTTGCATATTGTCTGCCTCTACCCATCACACTTGGAATGCAAATTCCAAGAGAATTGAAACATTGTCTTATTTCCTGCTGCATTCCCAGCCCCTAGACTTATTTCCTGCTTCATTCCCAGCCCCTAGATCAATGCCTAGATATATTGGTGCCCAATAAATACCTGTTGAAAAAAATAAATGAATGAATTGTCAAATATTGGAAAGCTCTAATGAGAGACTAGGCAGATTCTTTATGAACTAGGACATCACAACCAGCTAAGGCTTTCATGATGCAGTAGCAGGGGGCCTCAGGGTGTGTTTGCTGTATAATGCCCTAGTGTCTTGGTAGGGACTGCAAGAACTAGTGGCAAGGAAGACAGAAGAGTGAACTTACCACCAGAAAAGCAAGGGAAGAAGAAATGCTTCCATGTCATCTTTGTCTCATCTCAGTCACATTCCCAATTATATACAGTTTCCACTCTCTCTGTTCATCCTAAGTTGTAGAAAAAAGTTGAGCCTAGAAATGTTCTCAGAAACAATTTTACTGTCATTTGTGTGCCTATTTCTGTAGCACCTCTATCCAATTGTGGTAATAATAAATGTATCTGGGAGTCCCAGATCTTATTACCTCAAGTTCTACATGGAATCATGTGTGTGGACAAATACTATATTCTCATTCCAGAAATTGTCTCTGGGATTTATAGTAAAGGTTTATCCACAGGTCTAAAACAGGATTTTTATGTTAAGAAATAAGTCATACAAGGAAGTACTATATTGAAGATGTAAGATATTGAGGATTCTATTGTATCCTGGGTACCAATAATACGCTATAGTGATATAAAAGTTTCAGTCACCAGTTATAAGTGAGTAACTGGATTAAAACAGATGTGTATAGAAGCATATAATTCAACACACTTAACTACAAGGTCATAAATAAAGAAGAAATTAATGGGAAGTATTTCAGATGTCTTTTGTGCCAAGGACTGTGTCTGACAGAAAAGTGGACAAAAGCTTGCTGGGCCATTTGACCAACATCAAAGTCAATGGACTTCCCTGTACATGACTTTGGAACTGGAAATCGGGCAGGGAGAAGGAGTGGGACTGCTTCCTGGAATTAAATATGGAAAATACACCTCAGTCCTTGTTATTTGATTCACTGTAGAGACAATTTCAGGAGAAGGCAAGTAACACAAATGTAAAGAAGTCTTGTGAGCCATGTGGCTTCTCATGAAAGAAGTATCCCACATTCCTGTGGATCTTGGACTGATTCTAGTCTTACACAGAATGTGAATGACTCCATCACCCACCAATATTCTTCTACCAGTGTAATTAAGAAAGAGGGTGGATAAAAAAAGACAGTACACAGGGAAGATAAAGCAGAAAGAAACAAATTCTGTCAGAAAAAAGTTGTGAAAGCCTACTATGGCCTGGTATTCCTTTGTTGCAATAGTGACATGTCTTCATTAGTGACATTGAAAAGATTTATGAAGGCTGGCTTTCCCCAGCATCTTCAGAAGACTCACAGAATTTCTGGGGGACAAGAATTGTTTATTAAATAAACCAGAAATAGTGCTGGCCAGAAGGCCAATGTGAATGAGAGAAGAGTGAGGATGTAGATACTTATTTACCAAATGTCCAGAGTGTCTACCACATTGTACTTAGGGCTGTCACATACAGATATGTCTATATGCATGGAGCACCCTAGAGTTGTGCAGTGCACATCGTGTACAACTGTATATGACTGTCTGAGCTGTATTAAAAAGCTGGAGAAAATAGAAACAGAAATAAATTCCACATCTAGGCCGTAATCTGATTATATTAATGAACGATGCATAGGTACTGGGTTAAGCTTATTTCTAGAGGAAAACGTGTTCTTCTTAGACTGAGAAACTTAACAGCTAAATAGTATACACAGTGGATTTGAAATCTTAAGTTGAGATTTTCAAACAGATTTGTCTCAGTTCACATGTTCCATGCACTGCTGACTCCAAACAGCTATCCTTGCAAACACAAGTGGTAAGACTAATGAAATTAGGAGGCCTTACACCCAAATGGCATTAAGCACAATCGTCCAGAGCACTAGTAGCTATTTCATGATTGCTACAGGAAAAAAAAAAATCTTCACAGATACCTAGAACTATCGTAGAGGCAATGCTAGTCTAAGCTGGAAAACTGGACAATCTTCAAAGCTAGAAAGTGAAAACTGGGCTGGGGGTGGCTGGAGGACAACCTAGGAGCAAAATTGGCATCACCATCCATTCTGGAAAAGAGGTGGTTAGAAGAGGGGAGGGTGAGGAGAAAGAAATACATATGGACCAAGTACCGAGGAAGACCATGAATTTCTTATAATAAATAAAACATTTTATTTCAAAAAGTAAAAAAAAAAAAACAAAAAATTCAAATACCACCACCCTAAACCATTACCACCATGAATATGTTTTCACACTACATTTTAATTTTAACAAGAAGAACTTTAACATTTAGAAACATTATTTCCTCTTAGATTTTCTTTTCTTAAAAGTTGGGGAAAAAAGAAAACTATAACCAATATTATATATCTCATTATCCCTTACCACTCAGTCATATCTATGCCAAAACTTCTGTTTAGCTATAGGCAATCCTTTCCTTCATATCAGAAATAATTTAATTGAGCGAGGGGTAGGGTGGATATAAGTTCAGTATATGTAGCTTCACTTTTTAAAGGAAATTCTGATATATTCTGAAAAAAAATTGCTAATCGTATTAGTAAGTATATAATGCTGCATCCTCCACGTGTAACAACTTGTTTTCTGTCACATGCAAATTCAGCTGCTTTCCTTCGTTACTCCATTCAACAAATTTATATATTAACAGTACATTCAAAGCATTTAAAACTTCACAGTGCCAGCCGGGCGCGGTGGCTCACGCCTGTAATCCCAGCACTATGGGAGGCCAAGGCGGGCAGATCATCAGGTCAGGAGATCGAGACCATCCTGGCTAACACAGTGAAACCCTGTCTCTACTAAAAATACAAAAAATTAGCCCGGCATGGTGGCACGTGCCTATAATTCCAGCTACTCGAGAGGCTGAGGCAGGGGAATCACTTGAACCCGGGAGGCAGAGGTTGCAGCGAGCTGAGATTGCATCACTACACTCCAGCCTGGGTGACAGAGTGAGACTCCGTCTCAAATAAATAAATAAATAAATAAATAAAACTTCACAGTGCCCAGGACACCTGAGACATTCTTGGTGCTTGTGCTCTTTGAAAGAGCTGAGCAACCTAAAGAATATGACTTATGTCCAACAATTCAGTCTCCTTTATTATACCATCAGATAAAGTGATGTTTTACAAGGAAAATGGAAATATTTTAAAACTCGAGGAGCCCAGCACATCTAAAGGATTTCTGTTTCATGAACTTACGAAAAAGCTGGACAGTCGGAAAAGTCTTACTTGCTTCAAACAAGTCAGACCGTTTTCTCCTGTTACCTATGCTTACAGTCAGATTCCCATTTACCTACAATCTGGCCTTGAGATCCAATATCAAGGCTGGTGGCAGTAAAATGGAGCCAAACACTGTGATTTCTCCCATGTAAATTTGGAATTTGAGAAGTTAGAAAAGTGCTGGCTGCCAGACAAGGTGACTTCCCACTCACCTCCAGCTCAGTGTTCAACATTTTTAAATATCAGCCCCCACCCTCGCCAGGCCACCAACACCAGCCAGGAGCCTTTGAAGACACTTTCCCCCTATGCAATTTGAATGTATAACGTATTTTAAACTACATACCATATGTACTGTATGTACGTCTGTGCGTGATGTATCAAAAGGGTAAAACTTTTTCATCCCTCCACGAACCAATTTTCCCCTGCTGGGGGCGATATCACCCCTGTTGAAAATGCACGTCCTAAACAACAGCTACAAAAACTCAAACTCACATTTAATTGTCTTTTCAAGGCCAGAAGTTCCTAAATCAATAATGATTTAGCACCACTTCAGTCAAAACAATTACATCCGAATCATTTTCAAAATAGAAGCTTAAAATATATATAATCCATGAAATGCATAAAATTGGGCTAAGTATTGTTCCAGCAGTCAGCAACATTCTGGTTAATTTTTTGCATTACTCTCTGTTCGTTAAGCTCTATTTGATGCTTGCTCACAGAACCAAAGATTTGATTAGTGTTGAATTTTACACCTTTCAAGAAGCGAAAAAACCAAACACTCTCTGAGAAAACATTTTTCTGGATGGCAGCAATTGGTAATTTGCAAAAGCAGATAGAAAATGTTCATAGAAAGCACTGCAATTTTCAATTTACCAAACGAATAAACTAACCTCTGCTGCTCACAAAGACCTGAAAATAAATGGCCCACAAAGTTATCAGTCATAAAAACAAATCAATGTTTCATTAAAAAACCACTGTGCCATCTGCATATGCAACCGAGGAGAAACTTCTCCATCCAAAAAGATTCCAGACTGCTCATGTTCTACCATAACTTCAAAAAACAACCAACCCCCACCCCAGCATTTTCAAATACTCATGGCCAGAAGTTTAATAAGACTAAGAAACAGAACAGTCACCAAGAAATGCAGGATATATCCTGTCCAGTCCACTACTAGGATGGTTCTGCATTTTTATATTGTTTCAAAAATAGTGAGGGCAAAGAAAGTCCTCTGTATGAGCCAATAAAAAGAACTTCATCACATTAAAAATTGAGCTCACCTACCTTCACTGGTCCATGTTCATTACTGGAGCCCTGCACCAGCTGGACGTACAACATCATGAAAACATTCACCACTACCCACTCTCTGTACATTTTGAATATTTCAATATCCACTGATTACTAAGCAGTTGACATCAGGCAGCTAGAGAAAATTGTTTCAAAAGGCATTCTCCAGAAGGAAAGTTTGAAACCTCAAAACTTCACACAGAAAACCAAATAATCAGTTCTGATCAAAATCCAATGAAATTATTTCAATTAGGCAAGGTACGCTTTTTTTGCACAATCTTAGGGGTGGGGAGAGAGAGATGAAAAAAATCAAAATGTTCTCCAAAAATAATCAGAAGGTGGACATGTCTTCTACCTGAAATTAGAAAGCACTCTAAATTTACTTCATGTCCAGAAAATTAAAAAAATCTCTCCAATGTATGCCGCAGGTTCTAGTTGCTTTGTAAGGAGGTGGTGTGGCCACCAATGCTTACAGCTACAGAAAGCTGGAACCCAACTCTGGATTGAAACTTTTTTGCACAACCTTCATGGAAGCTTGCAGAAGCATGTGTCTTAAATCTGACACAGATTTTGGCAGAAAATGCAGAGAAGTCTTGGCTGTAATCCTGTTGCGTCCCTACCAATAGCAGGGCAGTTTTAAGAACTGACTCAAATGTTCAGGGCTGCCGTTATTTTAAAGCAGATAACCTGTAACATGAAACCCCAGCACATAGCTTTGACCTTTGTATCTCAGTGGGATTGCTTAAGAAGGGACCTCAGATGCTCATGCATCTGCTGCCAATGACACACAGAAAGCAATCAAATATGATTTTTAAAACCTGCACATGCACAAAAATAATAAAAACATCCATCCATACATGCAAAAAAAGGCAAACATACACAAAACGACTTTTTAAACAGAAGCTTAGTAACTTAGGTATCTCAAATGAAAAACACTGATTTTTAAAGAAACAATGATTAGGTTTATTTGCATGTGCCAGGAAATATCCTACATTTATTGTTACAAAAACCATGTTATCACGTTAGTGTGGAATTCTTTAGAAGCACCGGCTAAATAAGCTTTAGAAATGGAATGCCTTCAATGGCTCAATCTCAGAAATGGCAAAATTCTAGGACACATCAAGACCTGCTCTTCCGCTTTCCACTAGTTCCCAATCTTTGATTTCCAGGTTTTGGCCCTTTCAAACCCATTTTTTGCGTTTCTGAAATCAAGAATAGCTTGAGAAATCTCTTCATTGGTGTTCATCACAAATGGACCTAGGGCAGAAAGAGACATTCAGAAAGTTCTGGGTGGCAATATTTTCCTCTACCACTAGAAATGATATATATTTCTGTAGTTCTTAATTTAAAACAAAATCCAAGCACATCCGAAGAGTAAAAGTTTATTTTCACAGTGTTCAATCCCCAAGGACTGTAAGATGAGTTTCTTGACTAGGATTGTATATGATTATTGATTATAAAGACGAAACTTCAGATAAATGCAATGGCATCTCACCCATTCAGTATAGGTTTCTCACCAGCAATGGTGATCTTTTTTATTAAAAAGAGTCTTAGATTTGGTTCTATTACAACCAATTTTGTAGTTATTTTTATAACATTAGCTGATGTCAAGAATTGAACCCATCTGATACAAAGAACTGACAAATCTTATCATAGCTTTGGTGTCTAAGCAGCATATAAGGCTGTATACTTATTTGAGGATTCTAAGTCATTTTTTGAAAATCAGCAGCACCTATTGACAATAAACAGAAGATTATAAAAATTTCAAGTCGAAGAGCATCATTTTTTAAAAGTTTTCTAGGGGTTGGCAAATGTTTGCTAGGAAGGGCTAGATAGTATGTATTTTAGATTTTGTGGGTCAAACAGTGTCTGTCTCAACTACTCAACTCTTTCATCAAAGTGCAAAAGCAGCCATAGATAATGCAAAAGTGAATAGGTATGGCTGTGTCCCAATAAAACTTCATTTACAAAAACATGCAGTGGGCAGATGTAGCCCATCGACCATAGTTTGCTGACCCTTTTGTCTAATTGCTGGGTCTGAACTCGGATTTTGCTAAAAATGTACAAGAAGTCCTCCCCTAATCTACCAGGAGGCAATGTGTGTTTCTTCCCCTTTCTTCATATATTGTAGGGGCAGAGAGGCACTGGACTGTCTCACCCCCATGATCTGCTAGATGAACAAGGCCAGCTTTTATATGGCATTGACAGTGTCTTTAGAGCAGTTGACAGACTTGTTCACTCAGTGTATGTCCTCATCCAGCCTGCAGAAGTTCCTGACATTCCTTTTATGGAACTGCCTGCTCTAAGGGGCTTTCTCTGGGAGATTCTGATTAATATACAACTGTATTGCTTAGAGAAAATAACATATTCAAACTTCTTAACCATTGTTATCATATCAACATGGATTTGGTGATCACTATAATTTAAATCTTCAGAAGGAAGACACAGGATAATATGTCTTGATGATGCTGAAATCTTTGGAGAGGATGTGGGGAATAGAATACAAGTAGAAAGAAAACACCCAGGCATCTAAATCCATTCATTCAATTACCTATCTATTATGTACTGAATGCCCATTAAATGACAGACATTGTGCTAGAAGCTAGAGACATAAAGATGAAAGACAAATAAATGGCAGACTCCCTCTCCTCAAGGATTCAAATCTATCACACAGATATGAAAAGAAATCATTACAAAACTGTTTGAAATATGGAAGGATAAAAGTGTAAAAACTATAAAATCAACACAGAAAGGGGGAGGAGGAGAAATCCAGGAAAGGATTCACAGAGGGAGTGATGTTTGAGCAGTCACACACGGAGGAAAGGCATGTTCAGGCTTAGTATGCTGGAGGAATACTGGAGGGGATAGGGGTACAGTGGTGGAAGGAGGGATCAAAGGCGGAAAAAATGGCGATCTGAAATATAGGAAGAAACCAGACCCTTCTGGGCTTTGGATGCAATCTACAGGAAGAAGTTTGGACCTACTTTTGCAGGTGATTATGAATCACTGTAAGGTTAAGTAGGGAGTAATATAATATGATTTATAATTTTTAAAGAAGACTTTGGCATCAAGGTAGAAGAGCAGGTGTCTAATTTGGGAGGCTGAGTCAATGGTGGAATTGTTAAGGGTATTTGAGATACAGGACGTGGGAGGCTTTGGATGGAGCAAGGTGTTCAGTTCTGGATATTTTTTGTTTTGTTTTTCTTTTCTTTTCTTTTTTTTTTTTTTTTTTTTTTTTTTTTTTTTTGAGACCGAGTCTTGCTCTGTCGCCCAGGCTGGAGTGCAGTGGTGAGTGGTGCGATCTTGGCTCACTGCAACCTCCGCCTCCCGGGTTCAAGTAATTCTCACACCTCAGCCTCCCCAGTAGCTGGGATTACAGGCACGTGCCACCATGCCCGGCTAAATTTTTGTATTTTTAGTAGAGATTGGGTTTCACCATGTTGGCCAGGCTGGTCTCAAACTCCTGACCTCAAGTGATCTGCCAGCCTCGACCTCCCAAAGTGCTGGGATTACAGGCATGAGCCACCGCGCCCGGCCCAGTTCTGAGTATTTTAACATAGAAGTACTAGAGACAATAAAGTGGTTTCCCAAGCAGAGGTTTTTGGTACATTGTTGAAACTATGGATCTGGAGCTCATGAGAGAAATTTCATCTGGAAATGGAGGTTTGGACTATATCAGGTAGGAAAGAAAAAGAGAGTTAACATATGCAGAATAAACAATAAACCCAAGAGGGTACCCTGGGGAAGACAACTTTTTAAAGGACACGCAGGGGAAAGGGAAATGCAACTTGGAAGATGGGAGCAGGTACTGAGTCAAGGACCAAATTCTTGTGCCTCATAATTTTGCTATGGTTGGGACTTGTGGAGCAGTACTCCCATCCCCCAACTGTTTTCTGTAAGAATGGTGTGCTTCTAGGCTTCCATTTTGACACTTTCTGGGGTAGTCTGCCATGTTTCTCAATTTATAACGTGCACATGAATCAGCTGGGAATCTTATTAAAATGCAGATTCTGATTCAGGAGGTCTGGAGTGAGGCCTGAGATTCTGCATTTCTAACTATCTCCCAAGTGATGCTGATACTGCTGGTCCATGGACCACACTTTAGGAAACAAGTATAACCTCTGTTATACAGGGAAGCATTGGAAGCTTAGAGTCCCCTAAAGCTAACTGATGAAGCTTATCTCCTCAAATCTTCAAGGAGAAAACTGAATCCAGAAAGCATGTTTTTAAATTGATCAACTACAAGGGTTGTGAACAAGAAAATTATTTGATAGTTACCTATAATTCTCTTTCAAATTATAGCTTTCATCACTTCTCTAATTAAGCCTCTGAAGCCCCCCTCTTGTATAAAATGGTGTGTCTAACCTCTTGTTATGTAGAACTTTGGTATAGTGGAGCGAACATAAGACATGGGGTCAGGAGACTAGGGTTCGAGTCCCAGCTCCACTGCTAACAATCGCTTTCCATTAGAGAAGCTACAGGGCAGAGCAATGGACGACCAGCATGGTAAGAGGCAGAAGGGCAGGGTGTTTGGAAAACAGACAGCCTGAGTGTGAATCCAGCTATGTGACCTTGAGTAAGCCAATGAACCTTTGACCTTCTGCTTCTTCATCTGTAAAATGGGCATGAGAGTACCAACCTCATAGGGTTGTTTTGAAGGTTAGACGGATTAACATTAGGAAAGTGCTTTAACCAATGTCTAGGAAATAGTAAATTCTATGCAAGCATCCATTAAGTAAATAAATAAAATATCTGGATTTTATTTTCCTCATCTATAAAAGAGGCATGACTACATCATGGCTAAGGTTATTTTCTATCCTAACATTCTATGATTTCCTGTGCTTAATCTGTGGATGAATAATTAAGGACACACGATGATAAGAGGAGAAAGGGTCTTAGGTAATTCATGAGATCTGTGCAAGTTCCCAATCAAGAGATGGTTGTGGCTGCCTTTAAACACACATAAGTAAAAGAAAAACTTAAATGTCTGAGTTTTTAAAAGTTAAAAAATAAAAACAAAATGCTTTGCTTCTCAGTAACTGAACTTTCAAGGGACATATTTATTTTGTCTGATTACTCCGAGTTTGTATGTGCAGGCATACCTAGTGTCCCTGTGTTCCAAGCCACTGGGAGAGGATCCACATGACCCCAGTGTAGGGTGGCTTTGAGCAGTCCCACTCCTTTGATCTGTCACCTAATTCAGTTAGACTCTTGCTTTTCATTATTGGTACAGAGGAGATTGCCTAAAATAAGACTTCCATCTCACACATGTTTTTCCCACCTAAATGTTAGTTACTAGGAATAAAGATTATGACCCTACTCAGTTTGTCTGAAGGCTTTTTCCAGAAAAACAAACTATAATATTGCAGTGCTTTTCAGTTGAGAGAAAAGGAAACAAGAACCACAAACCTTTGGAATGGAAATCGGATGCGTACAAAATGGTTGTCAAATGCTACAGGCAAGGCAGGGTACAATTTAATGTTCCCCCTGAAGTAGTTAGTAGAACAAAAAAGAATATTTTTAAAGCAATCCGTGTTCTTTAAATTCATGAGCAGCTGGGGTTTATCTGCAATCATTGTGTGTACCTGGGAATTCATGCAAGGCAGGGAAATGCAATGGGATTTTAATGCACGTTGAATTTAATAATTGGTGAAGTGGACATATGTTTTGTAAGCATTTATCTAAATAATAAAATGGGTTTTAATTGCTTTTAGATGTTCCTCATTTAATCAAACAACAATGATATGAAGAAGTCAAAACCCAAAGAGTTGAAGTAATCGTTATGGGTACTTAAGCCAGGATTTTCTGCCTCTAAGTATAGTACTATTTCGGCTATATCAGTTACCTCTACTCATTTTTTTAAATAAACAAAAAATAACAACTATTTTCTTAAAAATACTATTCCTAAGAGTTTCATATTTTTTACTAAAAATGCAATAGACTACAGGACAGTATTGAAATCACCTTTATTTTTGATAAAGATAAAAAGGATGTTAAAGTTCCCAGTAGACTGTAGACTCTTTTTTCAAGTTAAAATTCCCTATGACATAATACAAAAATACTATTTTTGTTCTTCCCACAGTTCCAAACTCAATATCCTATACATAATAGGTATCTAAGAAATGTTTCTTTAAAAAAAAAGAGATGAATAAACATCACATATATATTTCCCTCTGATGACAGAAAAATTAAACAATCCTCAGATTTATAGATGGAGAGACAGGACAAAAAAAACCAGCTATTCTTCCCAACAATAGTATACATGTATACTGTTTTCAAAGAAAAGGAAAATCAACCAAGAAAATCATTGTCATTTTGGTCTTACCATGTTGGATAACTGGTTCTCTTAATGGCTCCCCAGCAATTAAGACAAAGTGGCTTCTCTTGGGATCCTAAAGTTAACAAAGAAAACATCAAACAATAAGCAGGCTTATTTTTGAAGATCAAATTGTGAACAATTTGAAATTGACATGCTAGCCAAATAGGCGATGTTCCTAATTCTGAATATAATTTTCAAAAATATTTTCTGTGCAACACTCAATATAGACATGTTTATTTCTTACGTTGTTTAGTAGCAAGTAGAACTCAAGAATAAGTCCAAGCCACCAAAATATTAACATTCTCAAATTTAAGAAGGAGAACTTAAATTAAGATTTCTTTAACTGGAAATATCTTCACGACAAACCATGTGATTAAATGGCTTATCATGGGATTTATGATTTCTCAGTTACCATATAATTTTTAAAAGGGAAGATTAGTTATGGAAATCCAAAATAAGATTTTGTTACTTTTGAAAATTATTACTAATAATGTAAAATATGCCCCGGAAATATTGCACTAAATGGAACCTTATAAAAACAGAGCATCCAAGGGACATCTGCTCAAGCAAATTTCCCTCCAAAAGGGTCCTATTACGTTAAAGTCTCTAAAAGTTTTTGCTTAGAATTAAGGATTCAATTTTTTTCCTGAAACTGGAAAAAATATTAACCATAATATCCAGTGCTAGTATGGATACAGGGAAAAATACACTTTCATATATCGTTTGGGAGATTTTCAACTGGTGCAGTAATCCTTCCAGAGAGCAATTTGACAATATGACTCAAAACCCCCAATATTGCTAATGTCCTCCGATCCAGTAATGACAGTTTTAGCAATACAGTGTAAGGGAATTTCACTGTCGTAGCACTATTTATCACAGCAGAAATTGAAAACATTTCTCCAAAAGTGAGGGGTTGGTTAAATAATTATATGTTTATAAGAAAAACTATCAAGTGGCTATTAAAATTCATTTTCTCAACAAATATTTAAGTGTGTAATAAAATGTTCATAATGTCTTGTAAGTTTTGTAAATATCACAAAATGGTATGTATATACTATGGATTAAAAATACTAAAATATTAGCATTTATTATTTCTGAATAATGAGAATTAAAGCAAATTTTATTTTCTTCTTTATGCTTTTCTGTATTATTTTCAAATTGCTACAAAAATTTGCTAATTTTAAAAGTTAAAAGGAAACATAAAATATATATTTTCTAAAGTCTGTGTTTGGGGAATTGTTTTGTAATCAAATGCATTTCTGGTTTAACAATCATTAGATCATTTCATTATATAAAACTAAGTATTTTAAGTAATTCACATGTTATAATTGTAAGAGTCCTATCTATCAAAATCATACGTATATCATACATATATACACTTTTCAGTAATTTTATTTGTTAGAAATGGGTGTTTGATTTGAAATTAAGGAGAACTGTAGTTCCGTCAGAAGTGAATTACATATGTACTTAGATACACTTCTATGTGGTGTTTTGTGCCCTGGTAACTTAGTTAAGTTGAGACAATGTGGCGGTTAGTTGTAACAGGTAGTCAGAGGTGCTGCTAGACTTTAGCTTGTCCTCATCCTCCTGCATGCCATGTCCAGCTCTTCTTCCTGACTGCTAATTCTGCTAAGAACGGCCGCAGCTCCATCCCTAGACACTAAGCTGCAGAACTACAGACTTCTCCACTAGACTTCTTTTGTGGCCTCATTTTAGTGCCTGAATATGCTTGGCATTCCAGATTAACTGGTTGGTGACTTCTCTGATTCCCCAGCTTCTGCTTTCCTATCTTCATTTCCACAGCTCCTCCCATAAGCAAATGCTCCCTCTCTGGGAAGCTGTCTTGTGACTGCCCTCTCGCGAGGAATCCCAAACTAGCCAAATGGAGGGGCTACCTAGAGCAGAACTCAGGCATCTCTAAACAACAGCCCCAGCAGAGCCCAGCTCCCAGCCTGCCAGCCACATGAGTGACCCCAGAGAAACCGGCATTAGAACTCCCCACCACATGGAGAAATAATAAATGATTGTTATTTTAAGCCACTAAATTTTAGCGTGGTTACTCACTAATAGATAACTGAACATTATATATCTCTTTTCAGGCTTCTTTTAGGTATATCTTATTTAGAATAAAACAATAAACAAAGCCAAAATGATTACGCACTTTAAAATGAAGCCTTCAAAATTTTTGAAACTTCACCCCAATTCTAATAATATAGCATATTTCTAAATATGTAAGTCAATATTATACTATATCATACTTCTATTAATGCAAAGCTCTTTAATTAGAAATTATTGTAATGTTACTAGTTCCAGAAGATTACTGGATTCAATAAAATTAATAATTAATTCCTTAATCTTCCATGTATTTAATAAAAACTACCGTATTTGACATGACAGAAATTTGTTTCCCTTTCCTGCCTTCAACTTAAAAAATAAATGGGACTGTAGGGTAGAATGGTTTCTTCAAAAGTCTTGATTTACTCCCTACAATCTCAGGGCTGGGGTCATTTAATACTTTTTAAATCAAAGCTGATGTTTTGATCACTTCTTTACATTTTAAAAAGTCTCTGTTTAACCATTGCAAGGCCTATATTTATTTATGTACCATCACTTTACTTATCCATAACCCAACTAGCTGTCAAAATATGCAAACATGAACCTAGATGACATTTTCTTTCCTTAACTTGCCTTCTTTGGTGAAATCTAATCATCTTTCCAGATATTCCAGAAAATACAGTGATGATGTGGCTGAAAGTCTCAGTTGCTGTTATCTTGAAAAGTCCTTGTCTATGATGACTTTGTCTATGGTGTCAAATGATGAAAATCATGCAAAAGCCAAGAGAATTAAATACCCATTTAAAACCCAAGTCCTTGCATGGTTCTAAATGCCTTTATGGGATTTGATTTTAAAAACCCATACAAAAGTAGCAGAGGTCCACTTACTACTTCACCCCAACTAACGTTCACCATCTTTTGGCACCATGTCTTTTGCTTTGGTGCACCTTTTCAGAGTTTCTGGTACAGAGTTAAGCTCTTCTGGGTTTACTTAATAATTTACTTTTTTAAGTTGCTCTTGTTATTCCATAAGTATTTTTGCCAAGATATGTCTCGAGTTCTGCTGATACCAACAATAAATGATCAAAGCCCAGATGAAAGTTTTATGGTTCACTTAATATGTTGATAACTTCTAAACTATGAGTAGCTACTCAGTTTGATCAACTATAAATATAAAACTCAAGATGGCAGTAGGACTCTGAGTATGAATCTAAGGCATGGGTCCCCAACCCCCAGGCCATGGACCAGTACCAATTGGTGGTCTGTTAGGAACTGGGCTGCACAACAGGTGAGTGGCAGGTGAGGTAGTGAAGCTTCATCTGTATGTACAGCCACTCCCCACTGCTCGAATTACCACCCCAGCTCTGCCTCCTGTCAGATCAGCAGTGGTGCTGGATTCTCATAGGAGCACAAATCCTGTTGTGAACTGCACATGTGAAGGACCTAGTTTGCAAACTCCTTATGAGAATCTAATGCCTAATGATCTGTCACTGTCTCCCATCAACCCCGGATGGGACCATCTAGTTGCAGGAAAACAAATTCAGGGCTCCTACTGATTCTACATTATGGTGAGTTATAGAATTATTTCTGTCACTGTCTCCCATCAACCCCGGATGGGACCATCTAGTTGCAGGAAAACAAATTCAGGGCTCCTACTGATTCTACATTATGGTGAGTTATAGAATTATTTCATTATATATTACAATGTAATAATAATAGAAATAAAGTACACAATAAAGGTAATGCGCTTGAAGCATCCCCAAACCATTCCCAGCCACCCCCATCTGAGGAAAAATTGTCTTCCAAGAAATTGGTCCCTGATGCCAAAAAGGTTGGGGACTGCTGATCGAAGGGCATGTTTTTGCATCAATAACATTGATTATAGTGATATATTACCTGAAAAAAATTACCAGAAAGAAACTGTGCTTTAGCATGACTTATTGCATGCATTTGTTCCTACCAGACTTCATTGTTTATACTTCTTGGGCCAATGAAAAGATCAAACAAGTAACTGTTATCAGCTTAAAAATTTAGTGGTTTATTTCATCATGAACTTTTACACTAAACAAGCAAAAAAGTTTTCTCTAGTTTTAACAGGATGTTTTGTTTTATTTCTGTCTTTCAATGTTTATTTTAATCAAATGCTATATATAGTCAAATGTTAATCTTTATTATATTAATGAGTTTTCCATGAATAGTGCCAGTTAAAAAGCACTGTTACAGTGAAGTATGGCTTTGATGACAGCCAGTGAGGTATTGATTGTCTTCCTTGGTCCACTACGGGTGAGTTTGCTAATCCATGAGGCTTAAGACCTTCTCAATAGTATACCACTATAAACATAAGCCTAAGGGTGAGATGGAGCCTTTCATATCAAACTCTAGTACTCCTGATCGTGGAGCCATCAGGGAAACCATCATCTTAAGAGAAAGTCCAGAGTACCATCAGTAGGTCAAAGCAGCACAGGAAGCCTTAGCCCTTGAAACAGAAGCTATTCTGGGATGACTGGTACCAGTCCAGGATTAAATGTCCAGAGTAGTCTGGAGTTGATTCCAATCTCTAAGAACTCTGAAAAAGTTCTAAGATGGAACAGGGAAACCTGGGGCAGAAAGAAGCTGTAGTCTTTTGCATCATCCCTTCCTTGTCCTCCTCTCCTGTCCTGGAGATTGGCCACTATAGGAGATACTGCCCATACTACTGGTCAACCAGTAGTCAAATGGGTGTGATGGTGGAGAACACAGAAAGGAAGAGTAGTAAAAGTGCAGGAAGAACAGAGCCAGAAAAAAAGCCAGGCAAAAAATCAGCTTCTCATTCTTGACCACAGTTTAGTGGAAATGGGATTGGCGCGGCACTGGGCAGTCACATCTTCCTTCTTTATCAAATCCTCAGGCTAATGCTAGGTTCAAGTGAGGATAACACTGGCTTGGAGCGTGAGTGAGTCAGGGTCTCTTGGAGCCTTCTTCTACCTGTAGAAACTGTTATGTGCCCTAAGCCTTCAGGTCTACTGTATAAATCCTTATTAGGTAACATGCATGTGGTATGACTATCAAATTAGATATTTGGATTCATAAACTTTCCAGTTACCATTATTGAGCATCTACAACGTAGTAAACCAAACCTTTTCTGTAAAGGGCCAGAGAGTTTTAGGCTTTATTTGTCACAACTACTCAATTCCACTGTTATTGGATAAAAGAACCTATAGACAATATGGAAACGAATGGGTGTGGCTGTGGTCCAATAAAACTTTATGAAAAAGGTTTGGATTTGGCCTATTGGACATAATTTACTGACCCCCATGCTCAATCTGGAGTAGACTTGTAATATACGTAATCTCAAATATTCTTTCTAACAATCACTTGCAGTTGGCAGTATTATTTTAATTTTGCAGACAAAGAAACTGAAGCTCAGAGGGCTTTACAAACGTGTCCAAAGTCACAACAGCTAACAAGCAGTAAAGCCAAGATTCAAACCTTCAGAATTTCTTTTCTGCTGTAATCTAAAGGGGACTTTCTACTATTGTGTGGATATAAGTGACACATGCTGCCTTTAAATGCTGATTTTTTAATATCAATTTTTTCATAGAAATCTTTCTAAGGTTTTGATGGCTCAGGCTATGCTTATACACAGCAACAATTACAGAATTGCACATAACAGAACGATGCCACTGGAGCCAGGAGTGCTGCTTGCCAGTGAATTGATGGTTTCAGCTGACTCTTTTCTATGTTGGCTGCACCTGTTCTTCTGACTCCCTTCATCACTTCTTTCTGGTGTTCTGTTTTAGCTTCCAACTCCTTATCTGCAATGTGCTCTCTGTGTATTATAGGAAGAACTGAGGTTGCCAAGTTAAACCAGATAATGTTACAAACCATTCTGATATTAGTAGGTTCTGGCCTATGTGTAGCTTTCATGCCTCTTTCCTGTATTGGATTGAAAGATATAAAATAGACATTTTTGTCGGTCAAAAGTCGCAGTTTCATATGGCTCAGTCTAATATTAAAGGGCACTGACCCTGACATATGCATTTTTCTAGTGCTCATCAGGTTTTTCTTCCGTTTACCTCACAGTTCATGGTGGTGCTGCAGATGATTAAAGCAGCAGTAGATTGCTGCCAGAAAAGTGGGCTAAGATCTAATAACTCCTCAAATCCACTGTGTTCTATAACAACAGGCAGGGTCAGAAGGCCAGAAGTCAGTCCGACTGCCTCGGCACTAGTCATCCACACACTAAAATAGTTTTCAAAGTTTGTTTTTTTCAGGAGCTTTTGCACAATTTTCTCCTCAATCCTCTTTATAAGAATGACATAAAGCAGTCAGATTGACTAAACAGACTCACAACATGGTGACTGAATTACTCAAGGGAATGAAATAGACATGAGAAAGAAACCTGGAAATTTGGGAATAAAAACCTCCCAAGACTCCTAAAATATCAGAAACTTTACTTAAAGAGCAGGGATTCATCACAAAAAGACTATGAAATGCATCCTATCTTCCTCTCAGTTCAAAGTGGGGATTCTTTTTTTTTTTTTTTTGAGACGGAGTCTCACTGTGTTGCCCAGCTGGAGTGCAGTGGCGCAATCTCGGCTCACTGCAAGCTCCACCTCCCGGGTTCACGCCATTCTTCTGCCTCAGCCTCCCGAGTAGCTGGGACCACAGGCGCCTGCCACCATGTCCGGCTAATTTTTTGTATTTTTAGTGGACACGGGGTTTCACCGTGTTAGCCAGGATGGTCTCGATTTCCTGACATCGTGATCCGCCCGCCTCGGCCTCCCAAAGTGCTGCGATTACAGGCGTGAGCCACCACGCCCGGCCAAGGTGGGGATTCTTTTCAAAGGGCTCTATGTGAGTATGCATGTAGATTTATATTTCTACTTCTATAGGGCTGATCTATTTTCACTTATGCTAAAAACAAAATAAATCAATTGTATAAAGAAAGAAAATTAAGAGACAACAAAGATGTGTTGCTTCCAGATTCAAATTTCCAGGGGTAAACAATAGGGACTTTATATGATTTCTGAAGATAAAGAATCAATAAAGATAAAACTTTAAAATAAACCCATAGAAATAGCAGAAATTAATGAAAAGACATGATAAACTTCTGGTATAATTTCTTCTCCAAGGAAGAGAGAAAAACTTTCAGTTATCCACAACATTTAGGCATTTTCTTGGAAACCAGTAGAAAGTACATGTTAAGAAAGTTAAAGGAAAATAACATACTTACCTTGTTCTCCACCTGGACACTGTCACCTTCTCCAAGCACTGCTGTGTGATGAGGTTCTATTTTTTGTTGTGCATCATCGGGCCCTACAAAACCAATGACACACTAATTTAATACCCATTATAGTACATTTGTTATATGGTTACTTATTTGGTTAACTATATAGCACCACAACATTTATTTTAATTTGAGAAATAATGGACTTAGTAATTCCCTTGAATCTCTTGGTTAATTATATTTGCTATTATTAAAGCCTGAAACTAGTTTGTTTTCAATTTTGAAAAAGGACAAGGAGATGAATCCTGCGTGTGTTTCCATTTACACTTTAATTGATAAGCAAAGTCCTTGGCATTATGTGCTCATGTTTCCTTAGGTAAATTATAAAGTTTATAAGAATTAAAAATAGTTAGAAAAATTATCAAATGCCATAATTAATTCATTTCCACAAGTATTAATTGAGTACCTACAATTGCCTAGCACTATGGGACAATACAGAGACATGCAAAGTAGATTCCTTTCATAGAAATAATTCAAAATCCTGCTGGAGCAAACTAAATCTATACACACAAAATAATCAGAGAATAATTCAACTGAAAAATAAGTAAGTTGGACAGCTATTGAATAATAGCTATTGAACTCTGAATAAGACCCTTGGGTGGGGGTAGGGGGGAGGGATAGCATTAGGAGATATACCTAATGTAAATGATGAGTTAATCGGTGCAGCACACCAACATGGCACGTGTATACCTATGTAACAAACCTGCATGTTGTGCACATGTACCCTAGAACTTAAAGTATTAAAAAAAGACCCTGTTCTAAATGTTGTGGGAATATTCAGGACAGATACATTTCCATCTCTTCTATACTGAGGTTTACAAATAAAATAATACAAATGAAAGTGTCTCTTAAAGGCAACGATAAATTCATAAGCAAAGTTCAATAAGAGAACAGGGGTGATGGGGGCTTGTGCAGGTCTAGGGACCACAGATATTTGTTGTGGAGGAGGTAAGACTTGAACAGAGCTCTGTAGGATTAGATAAACCACAAGAGGGAAATCTGGGGGAAAGGGCATTCTAGACAAGAGAAAAGATTGCAGTGAAAATTCTACCATTCTTGGAACAGTCTTTTGGGAAGAACGATGGAAATGTAAGCTGTCTTCAGATCAGGGAAAGCCTTTAAACCCATGTTTATCTGTATAAAATTGACAGCCCTTGAGGAGGGAGGGTGTGTGTGTGTGTGTGTGTGTGTGTGTGTGTGTGTGTGTGAAATTACCAGATCTGTGTCTTGGAGAAATGACTATGATGGCAGAATGTGGAGTGAATTGGAGGGGACAACACTGAAGTTAGGATGACCTGTTAGGAGTTTGCTGTAACAGTCTAAGTGAAAATGAATTACACTCTGAATTGAGAAAGTGGCAACAGAAAGATAGGGATGGATTTGACAGGTGGAGTTGAAAAAGAAATCTAAAGGATTTGGCAACAGTTGGAGAGAGAAAATTCTAACATGATTCTCACTAGGAGCAGAAGAATGTAGTGACTTGAAGATTGCAAGAGTGGTTCTGCAAGAGAAGGCTACAGACTGGAGAGGCCAAAGTGCACCACAGAAGGCTGTAGAGAGGGGGTGAGATTTGGATTAGGTCTTGCAGTTGGGAAAAACCCTGATATGTTAATGGGCAGGAGAGAGAAGGTTTCAAATTGAATGAGCAGCCCATAAAATGTCTTGGGAGATACACCTGCATGCCCTTTTGGGATGTAAATAAGGGCATTCATGTGACAAGTTGGAGCTGAATAATCAATAAGGAAATGCTTATTTAAATGAAAACAATAGCTTGAGCAATTATTATGTAAACAGAAACATAATTTGTGAATTTTGGACATATTTGTTGGAGTCCAAACAACTATATTTTCTAGAGAAGACCTTCTCACCTCCACTTTGGAAATAACCAATATGAGGCAGCAGGGTTCATTCTGATGCTTGCAAACATGAAATAGGATTCTAACAGAGCAGGAGTTCTCAACGTGGAGTCAATGTCCTCCCAAGGGGGGTCTATGGATACAATTCAGGGCATGGGTGGACTTTGATAGGAGATAAATTACATGTTTACTTTCACTAACACCTAAATTGAAACGTATCTTCTCCTTCAATCATGAATGTAGCCAACAAGCCACAGTAGTATTAGCTGGGCTGATGACTTTGTCTCCAGCAGAAATCATAGATATTTTCATATCACATTATGGTTTTGTAGATATCTCAAAATATAGTTTATGTTAATTATTACTTAAAATTTAGAGCAGGCCTGCTACTAGATCATGTTATGTCAAATGTCATTAAAGAAGCACACATATAGCTATATCCGAAACCTGTTCTTTTAACATTTTCATAACTGCACTGACTTTAAAAACATTATTTGAGGAGGCAGGAGGCTTCACAGATGTCAGAAAGGTCCATGGCAGTAAAAAGATTAACAACTTCTGTCCCAGAGGAAGTAGTGTGCTGGATAATGTTTAACAGTTGGCTTTCAGGAGTAAAGGGGAGAACTAACCTGATTCCCGTAGTGTGTGCCAATATCTGTGGTGTAAATACTCCCACTGTGGCCAATTTCAACCTACTGATGTGAGGCCAGGGAAGGCACACAATCAGCTCCTGCAAGCTAGCAAGAGCCAGCCCCAGCATAATACTAAAGGTTTCTCCTCCATCAAAGATTTAGGTCAACAAACGTCATGGAAACAAATGATAGAACTCCATTGATTTTCCACTTATGCAGGGATTTGGCAATAGAAGAGAGGTCTGGGAGTTTAAAAAAATCTCATTTAGAGTTGAGTAATATTTTCAACTGTGATACAGAGCAGCATTTCATTAAGTGTGCTTTACTGAGATCCCCTGGGAGCAATGAAACATGTCTTTATCTTCAACTAATTCATGTATAACACCCATTACCCACGTGGTCCACTCCTGGCCCATAATTTTGTCATGTAGGATGTTTCGTGATACATATACCAAAACAGTTTATAAACCCCTTCGCTATGTTTTAATGGAGTGAGCTGGCAAAAGAGTGCTCAAAAATAATGCTGAATTGGTATTTCTCTGCACCCCCTATCAGGGGAGCTTGCTTGACTATGGTGTTCATTGGTCTGTGAGGAAATCTTAATTCAGCAACAAAAAGTTTAGCTTGTCTAAGGGGCTCTAACTCTAATTGTATGTGGGATGCAATTTCTGCCCATTCTCTTTGCAATCTCAGTGTTGATACTAAAGAGGTCATTTGAAATGCTCCACTCTAAGGTAAATATTTATTTATTTATTTATATATTTATTTATTTTTGAGATGGAGTCTCTCTGTGTTGCCCAGACTGGAGTGCAGTGGCGCAATCTCAGCTCACTGCAACCTCTGCCTCCCGCGATTATTCTGCCTCAGCCTCCTGAGTAGCTGGGACTACAGGCATGTGCCACCAAGCCCGGCTAATTTTTTGTATTTTTAATAGAGATGGGGTTTCACCATGTTAGCCAGGATGGTCTTGATCTCCTGACCTCGTGATCTGCCCCCTCGATCTCCCAAAGTGCTGGGATTACAGGTGTGAGCCACCGCGCCCTGCTGTAAATCTTTATTTTTATTTATTTATTTTCTTTTGAGACAGAGTCTTACTCTGTTGCCAAGTGTGAAGTGCAGTGGTGTAATCACAGCTCACTGCAGCCTCAACCTCTGGGGCTTAAGTGATCCTCCCACCTCAACCTCCCAAGTAGCTGGGACCACAGGCATGCACTACCATGCCTAGCTAATTAAAAAAATTTTTTTTGGTAGAGGCAGGATCTTATTATGTTGCCCAGGCTGGTCTCAAACTCCTAGGCTCAAGCAATCCTCCCACCTCAGTCTCCCCAAGTGCTGGGATTACAGGTATGAGCCACTGCGCCTAACCAAGGTAAACCTTTCTTATAGACACTGGAGTCAGGGTTCCAGGTTAATAATAACTGCAAGTGTACTTTTAGCTTCTGTATTATTACATGAAATGTTTAAAACAGGGTCACGGTCACAGAAAGCAAAGATTGATTCTATCTTTATTTCCAGATCATTTTTATGTTATTCGCCCATCTGGTTATCTCCTGAACCTAAAATAAGTCTCAAAAAATATATCTTATTGTTTCTGACTACTTTCAATGATAAATAGAGCCAAATCAGATAACAAATAGTTTCCACTGGGAATCACTGCCAAGAATGTTAAATTTAATAGCACAGTTAAGGAAAAAATTAACTGAAAACAATTTAATTGCAATTTTTTTGCCTAAATAGTCATAAAAGGGTGAAATACTTCAAAACCTATTGTAAAGTTAGTGCTGCATCTTCAGTGTCTGATTAATTGCTGTACAACTTTTCTGCAAATGCCAATTTTTCTTTTCCTTTTTTTCTATTTATAAGAATTGCTGTCCTATTTATTCTCTGTTCCGTACACTCTAGTACTTCTATCATAGGTTTGATATTATCAATTTTATATGTATAGTTGAAGCCTTCTTATCTGATGCAATTGAGATTGTTAATTGAAAAAGACAGTCAAACTGCTTCAAACATTTTATTTTAAACGAAAGCATAAATGTGCATTTGTTTGTAAATGTTTAAAAATACTCCTGTAGCAATTTGGGAGGCCAAGGCAGGAGGATTGCTTGAGCCCAGGAGTTCAAGACCAGCCTAGGCAACATAGGGAGACCCTGTCTGTACAAAACATTTTTAGGTGTGGTGGTGCACACCTGTCATCCCAGCTACTCAGGAGACAGGTGGGAGGAGTGCTTGAATGCAAAAAAAGAAAGAAAGAAATACAGTTAAGGTGGGTTTACTGACTTGATTGAAGCATTTTCTTTTAAAAGCATACCCATAATGCACCACCCATTAGATTATTAGAGTTTCCCCAAATCTTTCACAAATTCAAAGGCATTTTCTTATTATTAAATTTTTAATTTTTGTGGGAACATAGTAGGTGTATATATTTATGGGGTATATGAGATGTTTTGATTCAGGCATGCAAGGCAGAATAATCACATCGTGGAGCATGGGGAGTATCCATCCCCTCAAGCATTTATACTTTGTGTTACAAACAATCCAATTACACTCTTGTAGTTATTTTAAAATTTGCAATTAAGTTATTATTCACTATAGTCACCATGTTGTAAAATAGTAGATCTTATTCATTCTTTCTATTTTTTTGTACCCATTAACCATCCCCACCTCCCCCTGCCCAGCCCCCAACTACCATTCCCAGCCTCATGAACTCATGGTAACCTTCTTTCTACTCTCTATGTTCATGAGTTCATATTGTTTTGATCTTTAGATCCCACAAAGAACTGAGAACATATGATGTTTGTCTTTCCGTGTCAAAGGCATTTCCTTTAGCAATTCACTTTTACAAAGCATCTGCCTTAGTTGTTCTGGAAATACCAACTCTCTTTTCACATTTATTTAATTAATTTACAACTGTTTAATTAAATTACATAATTTCAATTATTGGTGCAACTAGCATAAATGGACTGAGAACAAACATAGGTGCCTTTAAGTCCACTACAACTCAGCTGATGGGAGCAGCTATGAGCAGGCAGACCAGGGAGGAGCGGATCATCCTGGGTGTTCAAGCACCTTCCTCAAAGTATTCACCATAGAATGAAGAGCACTGGGCAATTCAGTTAGTTGGATAAATGGAGGTCAATTATGAGGCCTGCTGGTGCACATTTGTGTTTCCCCGCCTTTACTGCAAGATCCAGAGCCCGTTTCAAACTGCTTAATATCACCCAAAACCAGAGCACAGAAGTTTGTGCTCAAAACGTTAGCACAAACTAAGCGTGAATCATTAGTTATTTAAATGAATTCAAAACATTTTACTGCCTTTGTAAGCCAGTTCATTTCACTAAACACAAACAAATGTTTTTAGATTTCTAAATATTTTCTAAGCACCAACAGTATACTTGATATCAGGCCTTCTAGGGGACTAGAATTCAAGCTGATAAACTGTACCAAGCTACAAGGATACAGGATGTAAACTTTTCTATCCTTTTGATCTCTGCATTAATGTGTAAAGTAATTTCCAGCACAGCTGCAGGGAAGAGATTTGGTACTAGTATCTGTGGGATCTACTGGTTTTCTGACAATGTATTTTTTATTTTCTTTTGACTTTTTTTTTTTTATCATATGATGCACAGATTCCAGCTGTGGGCTGGTCAGAGAACTTTTTGCCTTAGCAAAAGATTGTTGTCAAAGGTCTCTCCCTCTATTGCACACTTTTTAAAATTACTATTCAATAGTCAGTTTAGAAGGCTCTTCATTGTTGGAAAAAGCAAATATATTAAAAATTAAGAAGATCCTTGAAAAGCATAAAGTGAGTACTTTCAGATGAGTCTCAAATGAATACTTTCTTTGAATAAGAAAATGAGAATTCTACTAGTCTTATTTTAGCTCTGTTAACTCTTTTTCTTCAGGGTGTCATTAGAGGACAATTACATAGCCTCACAATACTTACCTTTACCTTTAAAATGACTGACTTACTTTGACAACTAGTTAAACATCCAGCATTTTCTTTTTTTTTTTTTTTTCTTTTTTTTAGACAAGAGTCCCGCTCTGTTGCCTAGGCTGGAATGCAGTGGCACAGTCTCAGATCACTGAAACTCTGCTCTCCGGGTTCAAGTGATTCTCCTGCCTCGGCCTCCCGTGTAGCTGGAATTACAGGCGTGCATCACCACACCCGGCTAATTTTTGTATTTTTACTGGAGACAGGGGTTTCACCATGTTGGCCAGGCTGGTCTCAAACTCCCAGCCTCAAGTGATCTGCCTGCCTCAGCCTCCCAAAGTGCTGGGATTACAGGCGTGAACCACCATGCCCGGCTGTGGAGCATTTTCTAATGTTCAAAACTCCACCTGTTTGTAGTCAAACTAAATTTATCAATGTCTTTTAAGCACTTCCTGTAATCAGTTAATATTTTAATAGCCCTCCTAAATTTCCATTTTATGCAGTCTCCTCAGATTATTTCCTCAACCCAAGTTGCAGCCCATTTATTCCAGCCCGATACACCAAGTATATATATATTCATTACATCTACTTCAACTGAACATGTTTGACATTTCGAAAAAGACAATTCCTTGCTTATCACTTCCTGCCATCTGTGGTTCGTTGGTGCCAACCTAGTTTTATAAGCAAGACAAAATTGAGGCAGTGAAGTCAGAAAACATTTTCTGGATTTTCTCTATTGATTTTATAAGTCAGTACATATTCAAGAGCTATTTCTGTTTCGTCATTTCTTTTTCCCTGATGATTTGTTCTTGCCCTTTTGTTTTTCTCATTAACCGCCCCCCCATTAGGGTGTTGGTAGGAGGAAGGGAAGGAGATAAAATTCAAATGAGGTCATTTAGCCAGCCACTCACTGGTTAAAGCACAGTCCCAAGAGGCCAGTTGTGTGAGCTGGATTCTCTTCACAGTCCAGTTTATTCTAGACAGATGCAACTTTGCTCCAAGGCTACAGACCCATCCCTTGCCAGATGTTTTGCACTGTGGCCCATGGTCACGAGGGGGGACCAGGTCAGTAAATAGAAATGACTCAGGAAAATCCTGCCTCATCTCAAGAAAAACAAGTGGATGTGTGGGTCATTCTTACCCCGAGAACTGCAGAGCATTTCACTTGTTAACTTCTCAGGCTAAAGGTCTGTCAGGAAACAAGGCTCTAACTACTGCTTAAAACAGGTTTTGGCAATTACTCGTTAATTTCTTTCCCCTTCATTCCCTGCAATTCATTTAAACCAAAATCAACTGTCACCTTTGGTAGAGCCCACAGGCTAAGAAAAATTTTCACTATTATAAATGGTTGAAACAAACTTAAAAAAAGCCTTTCATGACACATGAAAAAACATGAAATTCACATTTCAGTGACCATAAATGAAGTTTTATTGGAATAGCCACCCAATTTGTTTATGTATCATCTGTGGCCGCTTCTGTGAGACACGGGCAGGGCTAAGTAGTTGCAACTGAGACTATATGCCTTGCAAAGATGAAAATATTTGTGATCTGTCCTTTTACAGAAAGTTTGCTTCTCCCTGCTTTTTCTCATTCTGCACAAACATTTCTGTTATCCTTACCACCTTAAAATTCATGTGCTTTCTTCATTTCCATTTGTGTAGATTATTTTGTTGCTCTTGAAATCATAAGTCGGGAGCACTACCTCCATAAAAATGTTTTTTTCTATTTTTATAAAGCACTATGTTTTTCTCAGGATTTTCAGAAGATCATAAAAACAAATGATATATCATCTCTTCCAGATGGTTAATATAGTTTAAGCTGTGTACATATAAACTTATGATACTACTACAAGACTTTTTTTCACACTTTCTCCAGTGCTAAACTAAATGAATTTTGCTCCTGACCCCTAATTGAAATGCTATTCACTGAAAAGGGAACTAAGCCCATTTGTACTTTATTAGGAATAAATTCAAAATGCATGAGTTTGCATTACAATTATTTTCCAGAAGAATAATTTCAGGCAATTGAACATCCTTTTTGGAGAATAAAAGGAATGGTTTAAATAGCTCTGGGTGTGGCCTTCTATCCCTGAGCAGATGTTATCTGTCAGCCAGCTGCCTGGAGCTGGGAGTGTATTGCCCAAGGAGGTGGCCATGTTAGGGCCCCAGAAAGTGCAGTGCTGGCATCCCTGCAGGAGCGGGTGGAGAGCACCCAGCTGCAGAGGGTCTCAGAAATGGGGATTCTTGGCCTGTACCCTGAGATGCCCCACCCCATCCACACCACCCATAACCGTCTGTGGGGATGAGGAGGAGAAAACGAGGGGCTGGTTCTCTGAGCTGTCTCAGAAGTATAACTGGAGATGCATATATTCTGGTACAAGGAATTTATCTGGGAGATGATCTCAGGAAACAACAGTCCAGAGTCAGGAGAGTTAGACAGAAAAGGGAAGACAGACAACGAAGGGTATGTCATCAAGCACACTCAGGTGGCTTGGCTGTAATCCCACTGGGAAACTAGTAAATGGCTTTTCACACAGGCTTCAGAGTTATCCTGTCTGATGGGTGAGGTAGCTTCTGGGAATGTTAATTCTCCAGTACTTTCATGCTGCCCTGATTGGTTTCAGAGAAAAGCCTTCAAGCAAAGTGACACAGATACTGGCTATTATTAGTTGGTCAGTGGGCACTCAGGAAGTAAGGGCCCAGGGGTGTGGGTGGGGTACCAACAGCATCTGCTATAGCTGTTTTCTCCCAGTGCTACCAAGAGCCTTTTACGGGAACCCATGGCTGCTTTTAGGAGGATGGGAAGGGGAGGAGGAGACCCAGGCAGGAACCAGGCTGCTCTGCAAGCCCCTCTCTCCCACCCGCTCTGTCCCTTCTGCTGCTGGGTTCGCTAAGGGATTTAGACTTGAAAAGACAAGTTAGATGGTGCTATCTCTGCATTGTCATTGGACAAAAGGTATGGGGTGAAGCGTGGAGAGCAGGATTGAGGAGACCTTGATTCTGGTCCCACATCCACCAATGCGTAACCCTGGTAAGTTAAACAACTTTCTTAGATTTCACGTTCCTCATCTATAAAATGAGCATTGGTTAGGTCTCAAACATCTTTTCTTGATTAGACTCAACAAGCAACATATATACAACCCTCGGAAGAAGAGAAAAAAGCCACTTTTGAGTTTTCTCAGAGGAAACTAGCATTGCAAATTCACCTCCTTCCATTTCCTTCTCCCAGGAGATAGGCAGATTCCTGCTCCCCTTGGAGTCCACTGTAGCTCCATCCCTTTATCAGTATGGAGGTTGCCAACGTCTTAGCGAGGTATCAAAACACATAATGGTGCCTGGACTTTCATCTGTGCACAGGATGTGTCATGACTGGTGTTCATATTCTCTTCCCTCACTGAATGTTCTGTAAGCTGAAAGGCACCCTGCCCTGGGCATACCTGTGCTGGGATATAGAGAGGGCTAGTGTAGGAGAGAAGGTGGCATAGTATTCAATTACATAAAATGGTGTCATCCTACCTTTTCTCCCTTCAGTAGTTTAAATTAAATTGCAATTGAGCCCTAAGTGACACAGCCATAACTTACCAATATACACATCTCCAGATATCGTGTAAATGAAGCTTGTCCACCCTGGAAAGGACCAGCAACATTAACATGTTAGTGTCCATAATGCCAAAAGGAACAAAGACATATACGTATTACAAACACAAAGATAAATTTGGAGACGAAATCCTTTTTTTCCCTTTAGATAGACATTTTAAGATTTAAGTTCTGTGAACTGTTTAAAATATACACTGACACTCATTCTCTTTCTCACACACAAACACAGACATACCCCTAAACCTAAATGACTTGGTCCCAAATATTTAAGAAGCACCCAAAGTACAGTGTACAATTCACTTGGCTGTGTATCTATAGGCTACAAGCTGTATTACCAAACAAACTATTCCTTCCAGTTGTAATGTTATGATAGTAACTGCAACACTCCAGTCTGGCTTTATCTTCCATTTGTTGTGCCTCCAGTGTGTCTGAAGTGTGAAGCTGATGCTAGAAATATGCTTTTTTTTTTGAGCTGGAGAGCAGTGGTGCCATCTCAGCTCACTGCAACCTCTGCCTCCCAGATTCAAGCGATTCTCCTGCCTCAGCCTTCCTAGTAGCTGGGATTACAGGCACACGCCACCACATCTGGCTAATTTTTGTATTTATAAAATTATTTAGTAGAGATGCGGTTTCACCATGTTGGCCAGGCTGGTCTCAAACTCCTGACCTCAGGTGATCCGCCCGCCTTGACCTCCCAAAGTGCTGGGATTACAGGTGTGAGCCACCGTACCCGGCCTGCTTTTTTGTACTTAGTTGCATTCTAGTTCCAGTGCATTCTAGTTGCATTCTGGTTCCAGTGAACTCCTTCTTTTATTCTATCCTAACAGAATATGCATCAGTTCCAGGGATGCAGGAATACATAATCTTAGGGATATAAATGGGCTCCAGGATGGCCTGTGAACTCCCTGGAATTGTTCACAGTTTTTCAAGTGTGTACACTTTTCTGGAAAGAGAGTATATAGAATTCACCAGATTCCTACCATGACCCATGGGGCCAAGAAATCAAAATCACTCACAATAGGCTATTTGCACTCTCAGCACCAACACTTGATTTTCATAGATGTTTATATATTGTACCCATGGCTCAGAAGAGATGCTGTGTTTCCACTGAGAGATATGAACCTAGAAAAGGCACAGTCGAAATGGAATCATGATATCCCTCCATGTGCCTTCAGTGGAAAAGGAGATCTGGAAAGAGAATGCAGGGCACAGTTCAATGCTGGAAGGACAGAGCCCACACTGGAGTCTCTGGAGGAGTCAGCGTGATGACAGGGTAAACAAAGGCGAGTGCAGAAGGAGCAAGGAGGCCAAAATATGTTCCAAAGATATGACTGTCATGGCAGATGGCTTGAAACGTTCAACTGGATACAAAAGAAAAGCTATAACTGAGAAAACATAAATTAAGTCTCACTAAGAAAATCTGAAGGATGGCAAAACAAACACACATGAGCAAGTGCCAGAGAATATTTTCCCATCCCCCTATTTCACAGTTTTTCCTCTCTGAGATTTTACTAGAATGAGTTTAAGCTCTCTGAAAGTAATGTTACTTATTCATAGCTTACTCGTTTTTCTCCCTTTTTTTTTTTTTTTTTTTTTGAGACGGAGTCTCACTCTGTTGCCCAGGCTGGAGTGCAGTGGTGCGATCTCCGCTCACTGCAAGCTCCGCCTCCCGGGTTCACACCATTCTCCCGCCTCAGCCTCCCGAGTAGCTGGGACTACAGGCGCCCGCCACCATGCCCAGCTAATTTTTGTATTTTTAGTAGAGACGGGGTTTCACCATGTTAGCCAGGATGGTCTCGATCTCCTGACCTCGTGATCCACCCGCCTCGGCCTCCCAAAGTGCTGGGATTACAGGCGTTTTTCTCCCATCTTAACCCACTCATATTTAGTCTTCCGAGCTTTGTCTACCATCATTTACTGAACATCTACCATGGGCATGTACTTTAGAGGAAGATACAAAAATGAATAAGGCATAGCCGGGGTGTGCAAATTGTGCACCTTTGGCGGGGGGAGGTCCATGGTAGATGCTGAAAACACACACTAATAATTTACAGCCAGATCCCATGTCTTATCTGGATGGGCTGGCTCTGCTGGAGCACTTCTTTCTTTGTTTTCTAATGAATGCTGAGCTTTTCTACTTCTATTTAGCCTGACTTGTAATCATACTCTACAACCAAACCCCTTTCTTCTCTGCTTTTTCAAAAGTTTCGCCACAATTGTTTTTCTTTTTCAGAGCACCAATAGCTTCATTTTTTCTGATTATAAAAAAACACATTAATTTAAAAATATTTTAAGAATATGAAAGTGTGGGACATCTAAACTGAAAATCTTTCTGCAATCTTCATTCCTACCCTGACATAAATATTGTTAGCAATTTGGTATCTGTGTTTTCAGTTTTTTTTTTCTTTTATGCACTATAAGTTATTTCCTTAAAAACTAGAACTAACTCAGGTTGGGCACGGTCACTCACGCCTGTAATCCCAGCACTTCGGAGGGCCAAGGCGAGCAGATCACGAGGTCAAGAGTTCGAGACCAGCCTGGCCAACATGGTGAAACCCCGTCTCTACTAAGAATACAAAAATTAGCCAGGCGTGGTGGCACGTGCCTGTAATCCCAGCTACTTGGGAGGCTGAAGCAGGAAAATTGCTTGAACCTGGGAGGCAGAGGTTGCAGTGAGCCGAGATCTCGCCACAGCACTCCAGCCTGGGCGACAGAGCAAGACTCTGTCTCGGAAAAAAACAAAACAAAACAAAACAAAACAAAAAAACTAGAACTAACTCAATATTCTATTTTGGATACCTTTCCATGTCAAAACATAGAGAAGTAACTCATCCTTGGGAAAAACTGCATGCATTCCATTGTAAGGACATGTCATAATTTATACAACGAATCCTCTATTCACGGTTTAAAGGTATTAAAAAGTGGTTACCACATTTGACAAAACCTCAAAACTCTCAATAGTTCAACCAGGCTTTTATTTGAGTTCATTTTGATTGTTCTAATCTCATTTCTCCTCCACCTGCTTTGCTTCCTGTTCACCCTTCAAGCAGAAATCTAGTCCACAAATAATTGCCTAGATCTGTTTTTTTTCCTTTTTTATCTTTTTACATGATCTGGAAGGACCAAACATTTGCTTAAAGGAATGGCCTAAGTCAATTTACTAAGTGTGTTCATATATTTTTACTCCTTGTAAAAGTCTTCTGCTAGGATATAGTGTCCATCTTTGCCAGTAATAACACAACTCATGTTGCTGATTGGAAAGCACAGAGTGTTAGAGGGCATGGAATAGAAATGAAGGCAATTTACTTTTTTCTTTCTTTTTAGCATGATGCCCATCTGCACTTGCTTCTGTTAATTTGTTTAATTTCCACTAAGCTTTGTTTCTTCAGCTTGCTGCAAAAGAAAACAAATGCCAAATTTCATGAATGCTTACTATATGTTTAACAACAGCCACAGAAGAGATCTCTTGTCAGATTTTCAGGTCCTTCTCATCTTTCTTTCTTCCCTCACCTCTCCTCCCACTTTTATGTCCTGCACCAAGAATTGATGTCATCCCCCAATTTTTATTGCTTTGTCAGAGTTCACACCCTGCTACATTTTCCTTTCTCCTACAAATATGGTCTGCAAGCTACTGTCTCTTTGCAGCTGAAAAGCTCTTCCCTTCCCTTGGGCAGTGATGAATAAAATGAGCTGGGAGGGAGGTCACATTTTCGTTCTGGCCTCCTAGGACAGTTAAGTCAGCAACGCATTTTAAGTCAGACCTCCTTTAGCCAAACATTAAAAACCCAAAACTTTTAAAAAATATGTAAATCATTTTCTGTGGCAGTTGCTCTCATTTCCAGAGAGGCTCCTAATTCTTGCAAACGTCCCTAGTGAGAGCTTTCCTCAGCCTACATTCCTTGCCTTAACCCGGGTCATTTTCCTTCTGCCTCAGTCTTGGAGTTCATTATTCCAATGAACTTACAAGTATTCCTTACACCTGTATGTGCAGAAAAAATAGAAAAACACGGCCTGGTGACACACCAACACCATTAACAGAGATAAGGGCAACTGGGCTAAGGAGAGATTGCAACCCTTCACAAACTCTGGATCACATAATTGCCAGACCGCAAAGCAACCCTGGTCCCTAAGATCCTCCTCCCATACCCGCAACCTCCCCCCCGCCACCGGAAGTCCCCACATCAGCTTTGGCAGGTAACTCCTTCATCTAGGACCTCAACCCTGGCCTCCTAGGACAAGAGGCAGACCTGCCTGGTTCTTCCCTCCCGCTCCTCCTTCCACCAAATTCTTTTTAATTTTTATTTTAAAATAATTTCAGACATATCAAAAAGTTGCAAAAATACTACAGAGAATTATTGTACACCATTCACCTAGATTCCCCCAAAGCTAACATGTTAACATATATGCTTTATCATTCTTCTTGCTATAAATATATGTCATTCTTTTTTTTTCTGAACTATTTGAGAGTAATTTGCAGACATGTAGCCCCTTTACCTTGAAATAATTTTCAGTATGTATTTCCTAAAAACAAAGATATTTTCTTACAAAAGTATAGTGCACTTATGGAAATTATGAAATTAACATTGATACAATGCTACTATCTATGTACGGATATTCAAATTGTGTCAGTCATCTGAGTAATGCTTTTTATGGAAAAGGAGAAATAAATTTCTAGGCCAGGACCCAACCTGCGATCACACGCTGCACTTAGTTGTCATGTCTAATCTTCTTTCATTTGAAACAGTTCCTCAGTCTTTTTCTTTCATTAAAAGTACAGACCAGTTATTTTATAGAATGCCTCTCAGTTTGGGTTTATTTGATGTTTCTTCGTTAGACTGAATTGTTTGCTAATCCCTGTCCCTCCCAGATTTAGAGAATTTTCATTTATTTTCAATACTTTAATTTTTAATTCAGAAGAGCACAAAGGATGAAATAATGAACATATATGTTTGCCATACTTATTTCATATCTATCTTTTCTTTAAGATAAAAACCATACAGGTGAAAAAAAGTCCCCTAACTGGTTGCTGCCAATCCATTTTCTACACGCGTAAATTGCACCTTTTTAGAATCTCCACTTAAAATCCTTCAATGGCTCCCTGTTCTCCCAGGACAAGCCCAAACTTCTGACAGACAAACTCTTCTCAATATGGTCCTACATTTCTCCAGTATCATGGCCTCTCTGCCTGCCCCGCCTCCATATTTAATTCTATCCATGCAACTCTCTCTTGGGGAGTGGGGAAACAAAGCGCAGCAGCAAACCTTAAAGGAGGCTTTGTGGAGAACCACGGAAAACAAACCAACTAAGCAACCATGAAACAGCAACAAAAATGAGCACACACCATTACAGGCAGAAAGTTCCTGTTTCAACATCAGTGCATCACCCTCAGGGAGATCTAGGACCAGACTCTTCATCTCTTCAAGCCTCTTTGCTGGTTTGTAAAATAAGGAATGAATACGTATAACACAGAGCTGTTGTGATGAACACAGTCTAATGAGGAAACATCAAACATACTGTTTCTATTGTATGTCTGTATAAACATATATAAATGTCCTTATACATCTGTACATACATATGTGTGTTATATGTTTTTAATCTTCTCTACACAATGCCAGGCACTTAGGAGGTATTTAACAAATATCAGTTCATTTTCCTGCCCCTTTCTTCTTTTTCCACTTTCCTTCAAATCTGTGCATGTGGAGACGTTACACAATTCTGATGAGGCTGTGACCCAGGCCAGAGAAGGGTCATTGCTATGGAGATGGCCCTAAGCTCCCTGCTGCACCCACCTCACACCAAGCCAATTAGTCTCTTCGACTGCGGAGCAAAGCTCAGCAGGGTCATCATTTCCCAAAAGAAGTCTACATTTTTGCGACGTCTCCCAAAACGTCCTCATCAAGAACCTCATGGCATTAAGGATGCTGTCTGTGTCCCACCAAACACTGCAGACTAGAATTGGTGACATAAGTTGGGTTGTCTGATCATACAGCAAGTAACAGCTCACCGTAAGATCTACTAGCTTGCCAAGAATAGGCATTTAACCCCCATCTTATAACTGAATATAAACAGCAAGATAAAGAAATGTCAACTTTGTAACTCCACAATCTGAGAGATAGGTTATTACCTGAACTTGTGAGAATTCCATTGGAAAAAAATGAGAATGCCCGTTTTACCAAATTTGATGAGTGACACCAATAATAAAATGCCAAACTATATAACAAAATGGTATACACATCAAAACACTTGAGACAGTTAGTTTTCCAGAATAAAATAGACTCAGAATGCACTTTATACATTACAGAACGATCATACTACAGGCTGTTTATAAGCCATGGGCATATAACATTAAGAGCCATCCCTCAGGATCCCATATTTTAAGTAAGCACAATTGCAGCCTATAGGAGAACCCTGTCTTATGGTTTGGTCCACATTCATAATACTGAACACTCATTGCATCAGAAGCTAACAGGAAAGCTAAGAAATAAATGAAATTTAACATTTTGAATGAGAAATATATAAGCAATATAAGCTCTCTAGAATGTAAACTCAGAATACAGCCTTCTGCATGCCCAGAATGAAGCCTAGCCCGCTGGAGGGCAAACCCTGCTGATTATTTTCTTGCTAATACAATAGTACTACAAATGTATTAGAATGCCCTAGAAGCTTATTAGAATGCCCTAGAAGCTTATCCTGTTCTTTAAAAAAAGTTTAAAATCGACACATAATAATTGTATCCTGCTCTTTAGAGACTAAGTGCACAATGATGCATTGAGGTTTTCTCATCAAGACATTTAATAAAGTTTTTAACTAAAGTAATATATGCTACTACTATTTCTTGGTTTTATTTGAACAGAACTTGTCTCCTCTTCAGACACACAGTATTCACAACTGATTTTTAATTGCTCAGAAAAAAAATCAGAAAATAATTCAAATAATGTAGACATAATCATAAAATTCTATTTTAGCACTCTAAAACAGAAACTAGTTTAGGCATTCGAACTTAGATTGAAGCCACGTTTATAGACTATTAAGATCTGAAATATACAGAACTTTAAGGATTAAATACATGTTCAAAAAATAATAGAAACCTGAAATTAGCAGGGAAAGTCATAAATAACCCTAAGATTACTTCAGGATGTATTTGGACACCTAACTGTTTTTAAGAGAAAGAGGCCTTTTTTCAAAATTACAGACAGAGTCTCACTTTGTTGCCTAGGCTTGTCTCGAACTCCTGGCCTCAGTCCCCCAAAGTGTGTGGATTACAAGTGTGAGCCACCATGCCCAGCCTGAGAAAAATATTTTTTAAAAGCCCCTGTAAAATATGAAAAAAAATACACCCCTGCCAAAATTGAAACATATTTAAATTCTTAGAATAGGTTTTTAGTTTACATTGATCATCAATTTAACCTGTTTTCTCCTAAAGGTGACATAACAGAAAAACACAACACAATGAGATGATATTACTCATTTAAAATTTTCAAGAATAGTCGTTTTTCTAACCTATGTACAAAATCTTGGATTTATTTACCAATATGCCCAAGACACTACTAATAGAGTACTGTTCACTAAAGGTCCATGTTTTTGTTTGGTGCAGGACAAGATGGCAGTTAAGAGTCCTAGCAGAAACTCAGTCCCATTACTCACTAACTAATTGATATTGAGTAAGTTACTTAATCTCTTTGTACCTCAGTTTCCTCATCTGAAAAATGAGGTAATCATAATCCTTACCTCACAGGGTCGTGAGGATTACAGGTGTTAATTCTTAGGATAGGGAAGGTTCTTAGAGCAGTTTCTGGCAAAGAGTAGGCATTTAATAAATGTTAGCTATAATGATTGTTATTACTATATGATGATTCAGTGAACTGTGAACCCCTTAAAATGTTCATGGCATTCTCCATCATGGATTTTTGCCATTTTTTCCTCTGTTTCAAACCATGTTTTAAAAAATGTAATTGTATCTTACCATACATGAAAACCAATTTCATCAAAGGATACAAAATTTCAGTTAAATAGTAGAAATAAGTTCAAGAGATCTATTGTACAACATGGTGACTACAGTTAATAACAATGTATTGTATTCTTGAAAAATGCTAAGAGAGGGAATATAAAGTGTTCTTATCACAAAAATGATAACTATGTGAGGTAATGTATGTTAATTAGTTAAATTCAGTCATTCCACAGTGTATAAATACTTCAAAACATCAAGTTGTACAAGATAAATACGTACAATTTTATCAGTCAATTTAAAAAACAATTAAAAAAACCATTCCAGGTGAAATAAATGTATCAATATGAAAGGCAAAACAACAAAGCACTTATAGTAGAGAGTACATTTTTATGATCTTGAGTTAGGGAAAGATGATTAAAGAAGCCACAGAAAGCACTAATCATTAAGGAGCCAATTGATACATTTAAGGCATTTTTACTTATTAAAATAGAGAAACATAGTATAGAAAGGTTAAAAAAAAAAGCAGGAAAGACATTTGCAACACAAATAACTGACAATGACTAGTATTCAGAATATATAAAGAGCTCTTACAAATCAATATGAAAAAGACAACCCAGTCAAAGGAAAATGATGTTAAACTTCTTCCTGAATAATTTGATATTTCAGGCTCTGATTCACGTTAATCACTGTTCTGAAGACCTATAGATTTACATCCATAACTGTTATGTATATATTCTAAGTATGAAGGGAACTGTGATTGAATAGTCTAATGTACTGCTGGGAAGTAGAGAGCTCTGCAAAAAAATTACTCATGAATTAAATCGGCTTTTGCGTTCTATGAAAAGACTCAAAATGTAAAATTCTACATGAATCATTCATGTTTGGGGCATTCTCCTTAAAAGTAGAGAAAGACTATGAAAAAACAGGCAAGAAGCCTGTGGAAAAAATCACTACGCATTTTTCGAGGTTTACTCCAGTCATTTTTAAAAGTCACAAATGAGAGAGAGAAAAAAAATCACTACTTGTTTTCGAGTCATTGACCATATGGAAAAATGTGTGGTACTTTCAACCAAGATCATAAGTGTGGAGGTCGACTCTAAGACGTCTGCCTGATCCTGCCTCCCGTATTGCCCTATATAATTCCCTCTCTCTGAGTATGGGCTGTGGCTAGAGTCTTGCGTCTAACCAGTAGAATATAGCAAAACTGATGCAATGTCACTTCTGAGATTAGGTTACATAAAGTCTCTGGCTTCCAACTTGCTCATCTTTGTGCCTTCTGATGAAGTCAGAGGCCATGTTGTGAGTTGCCCTATATAGAGCCCCATGTGGCCAAAAACAAGAGAGCAGACTCTAGCCAGCAACCCTTGAGGAACTGAATGCTGCCAGCAACCACATGAGTGTGAGCTTGGAAGCACATCCTTCCCAGTCAAGCCTTGAGATGACCACAGTCCCAGATGACACTTTATTTATTTATTTTTTTCTGAGACAGAGTCTAGCTCTGCCACCCAGGCTGGAGTGAAGTGGGTGATCTTGGCTCACTGCAACCTCCACCTCCCAGGTTCAAGCAATTCTCATGCCTCAGCCAATCCCCGCCCCCCTCCACCCCCAGTAGCTGGGACTATAGGCCCGCACGACCATGCCTGGCTAATTTTTGTATTTTTAGTAGAGATGGGGTTTTGCCATGTTGGCCAGACTGGTCACAAACTTTTGGCCTTGAGTGATCTGCCCACCTCAGCCTACCAAAGTATTAAGATTACAGGTGTGAGCCGCAGCGCCAGCTCCGGCTGACACTTTGATCGTGGCCTTGTAACAGTACACAGCTAAGTTGAGAGACATTGCAAGACAATACATGTTGTTCTAAGGCACAAAGTTTTGGGGGTAATTTGTTATGCAGCATATAGATAATTAATACAATAAGATTTATTTAAATGTATACTAATGTGACTTACCAAGTAGCTACTGTATGTATGGCATTAAAATCTACTTTTTAATCAAGGAAGATGTAGCTCCTTTCCTTTTTTTTCCCCATAAACACAGAAGCAAAAATATATTGGTGTATCAGTTTCCTATTGCTGCTATAACAAATTACTCTAAAACTTAGTGCTTTAAAGTAACAAAAATTTTTATCTTACAGTTCTTGAGGTCAGAAGCCCCAAAATGAGCCTCATAGGTCTAAAATCAAGCAGGACTGTATTCTTCCTGGAGGCTGTAGGGGGACATTTGTTTTCTTGCCTTTTTCAACTTCTAGAGGTTGCCACTAATCCTTGGCTTGTGGGCCCTTCCATTTTCAAAACCAGTAATCACATCACTCTGACCTCTGCTTCTATTGTCACATGTCCTTCTCTCACTCTGACTCCCTGTCTCCCTGTTTCTCTTATTTAGATTCTCATTTATGACACAGGGTCCACCTGCATCATCCAGGCTAATCTCCCTATCTCAGCAGCATTAACTTAGTCACATCTGCAAAGTCGTTTTTGCCATGGAACATAACATATACACAGATTCTGGAAACTGGGACGTGGACATCTTTGGGGGGACATTATTTTGCCTACCACAGAGGGGTAGACTATATGGTTTCTAAATAAATTTTGTTTATTGATCTACATATACTGTAAAGGAAAAGTTATAAGGTGAGGAAAAGCAAAAAGGTTCATAAAATCAAGTTTTTTCCATAACAGCTCTCCATTTTTAACATTCCAGATCCTGCCTTTAAGTATCTAGAGGCAAAGGTGCTGTAAAAGGAAATGAGGAAAATAAACAGAGTGGCTGTTGAGGGCCAAACTGTGATACAGTCAGTCAGAAGACAAGGGGGACATGAGGACAAGAAGGCACATGTTTCTTGGAAAAGACTGATATTTTCCTAGAAATATAGATTTATGTCCTTCATAATTAATGGTAACAAACAGTGTTATCTGTAAATCAGTTTACAGCAAAAGGAAAGTCAGATTGCCTTGCGCCTTGCAAGAAATGGTAAAAGTCACCATTAAAAAACTACTTACTCTTATTTTAGCCAAGATCTAATATAAAAAACGTGTGGCCAATGTGAAAGGAATCTGGTACTGTCAGAAACTCGACAAATTAGATTCTTTGTAAGTGATGCACCGTCCAGCTCAATTCCTGATATCAACTGCCTTCCAAATCATCACTGCATGAAACATCTGTTTTCTGCAAGATTAGCACAACCCAAGAGAAACGTGCCTAGCCTGAAGGAAATAAAGAGATGGTAAAAATCGATTCAAATAGTATTCATGGGAAGGAACTCAGATAAAACCTAGTCTGATTCATGAGAAACGTTTTCAGTCTCCCTTAACTGGATTTCCCTTGGAATATATGCATTTTCCCAGTATCAGGGAGAGGATGGTAGCAGTGTATGCTTCTATTGCTATCCAATTAGTCTGTTAATGATAAAACCAAGTCAACATTAAATTAGTTAGACTGCAAAGCTTATGCCAAAAGCCAAACATAATCCAGACATCCATGTCAAATCCCTTTACCATGAGTAACAAAACAATCAAAACATTATAAACGAAACATGTCCAGGACCCAGCCAATGGCCTACACATTTCACGAAATATTTGATACAACAAAGCACCCAAATAAAAAGAATCTAGACAGTCCTTGGAGTTTATGATGGAATTTGACCTGGAAAGGTGGAAAAAAAAAAAAGACAAATGGTGACCTTGATTTGAATTACTTCATAATAAACTTTATACAGCATAATTTTACCATCCAGTATGTCTGATGACAGGCAGCCAGGACTATCAAAGCTGCAAATAATGAGTGCTTTATAATACTTGAATTAATTGTTAGGCACTAAACAGAGAAGCCTCAAACTTTGTATTTGTCACCTAATGCAGTGGAAGCATGGATAAGTCTGTGTGTGTGTGTGTGTGTGTGTGTGTGTGTGTGTGTGTGTGTGTAAGACAGAGAGAGAGATAGGGGAGGGAGAGAGAGAGAGAGATACAGACAGACAGACTGAGAAAGAGAGAACACTATAACTAAAAGTGATGTATTGGAAAAGAAAGGATCTTTTGCTTCATAGCTGGGTTCATAACGCACTTGTTTAAAGTGGGTTTACAGACGCTCAATGCTAAATGTGCAATTCTAAGCTATTTCCTGTTGTATCCCTATAAAAATGTTTTTGAGGCCGGGTGTGGTAGTTCATGCCTGTAATCCCAGCACTTTGGGAGGCCGAGGTGGATGGATTACCTGAGGTCAGGAGTTTGAGACCAGCCTGGCCAACATGGTGAAACCCCATCTCAACTAAAAATACAAAAATTAGTTGGGCGTGGTGGTGGGTGCCTGTAATCCCAGCTACTCAGGAGGCTGAGGCAGGAGAATCGCTTGAACCCGGGAGGCAGAGGTTGCAGTGAGCCGAGATCATGCCATTGCACTCCAGCCTGGGCGACAAGAGCTAAACTCCGTGTCAAAAAAAAAAAAGTGTTTGAGGCTGGGCGCAGTGGCTCACACCTGTAATCCCAACTTTGGGAGGCCGAGGTGGGCGGATCACCTGAGGTCAGGAGTTCAAGACCAGCCTGGGCAACATGGTCAAACCCCGTCGCTACTAAAAATACAAAAATTAGCCAGGCATGGTGGCATGCGCCTGTAGTCTCAGGTACTCGGGAGGCTGAGGCAGGAGAATCACTTGAACCTGGGAGGCAGAGGTTGCAGTGAGCCGCGATCACACCACTGCACTTCAGCCTGGGCGACAGAGCAAGACTTCATCTCAAAACAACAACAACGACAACAACAACAACAACAAAACATGATTGAAAACAAATCTCAGGTTTAAAATTCATGATGACAAAATAAAATGCAAATACAGCTTTGGAAACTGACAGATATACGTTCTCTCTCAGGAGGCAATATAAGGTGATGTCTGAGAGCAGAGCAAAAATGAACATGAACCATACACTTCCTGCTAGTGGGATTGTGGAGAAACTGGTATTCTATATGCTGCTAATAGAAAGTGTGACTGCCTCTTTGGATTGCAACCTGACAATGTCTTTTAAAACTAAGCATGCATAGATCTGGTGACCATCCCTGGAAACCTGTCTCATCAAAATAAATTTCCACATGGGAAGGCAGATACACAAGGTATTCATTGCAGACCAGTTTGCTGTAGCCAAGCACTAGGAACAAAGTGAATTCCCATTGATAGAAAATAGCTAAATACATCATAGTATGTATTTAGATGATGTAGAATATCACTGTTAAAAGGAGCCACCATTAATGATGAGTGCCTGTAGTCCTAGCTACTTGGGAGGCTGGGGTGGGAAGATCTCTTGGGCACAGGAGTTCGAGGTTGCAGTGAGCTATAATTGTGCCACTTTACTCCAGCCTGGGTGACACAGAGAAACCCTGTCTCTTAAACAAAACAAAACAAAAGGAGCTATATAAGTAAACTGGGAAGGATTTCCATGAGTATTTTTCAGTCAAATAAATAGGACGTAAAAGAGTAGTTATGATTCCATTTTATTAAAATGACAAAATAACCTGATATTTGCATATATGTGAATGCACATATATGTCAGTGTATAAAAATAAGTGTGGAGAAAAATACAGCAAGATATAATTCAAGGATATATCTGTGATCTATATAGTGAGGGTACTGGACATAGATAAGGGAGGACAAGGGATTGGAGGAAAGCAACTCAAAAGTTTAAAGATAAAAGCACTGCACTAAAAGGTTAAAGCACACATACACTTAATGTTATAAAAATCACGGATAGTGAAGGCTTATGTTTAAGCAAATTAATCTAAAATTTTTCTGTACTTAAATAGCCAGAATGGAATCCAAAATTAGTAGAAGGAAAGAAATAATCAAGATCAGAGTAGAAGTAAATGAAATTGAGACAAAAAAATACAGAAGATCAATGAAGTGACAAGTTGGTTTTTTGAAAAGATAAATAAAATTGACAAACCTTTAGCTGGACTAAGAATAAATGAGAGAAGACCCAAATAAATAAAATCAGAAATGAAAAAGAAGACACAATAACTGAGACCATAGAAATACAAAGAATCATTAGAGACTATTATGAACAACTATATGCCAAGAAATTGGAAAACCCAGAAAAAATTGATAAATTCCTGGATACATACAACCTACCAAGATTGAACCATGAAGAAATAGAAAACTTCAACAAAGCAATAACTAGTAATGAGATAGAAGCCATAATAAGTCTCCCATAAAAAAAAAAAAAGCCCAAGATCTGATGGCCTCACTGCTGAATTCTACCAAACATTTAAAGACAAATTAATACCAATCCTACTGAAACTCTTCAAAGAGACTGAAGAGGAGGGAGTACTTCCAAATTTATCCTATGAGGCCAGCATTACCCTGATACCAAAACCAGACAAGAACGCAACAAAAAAAGAAAACCACAAGTCAATATTGCTGATGAACATAGATGCAAAAACTCTCAACAAAATACTAGCAAACTGAATTCAACAGCACCTTAAAATGATTGTTCACCATGATCAAGTGTGATTCATCCCAAGGATGCAAAGATGTTTCAACATTCAACATACACAAATCAATAAATGTGACACATCACATTAACAGAATCAAGAAGAAAAAACATCATTATTTCAATAGATGCTGAAAAAGCATTCAATAAAATTCAACATCTCTTTATGACAAAAACCTTTAACAAACTGGGTATAGAATGAACGTACCTCAAAATAATAAAGGCCTTATTATGACAAACCCACAGCTATCACCATATTGAATGGGAAAAAATTGAAAGAATTCAGTTGAAAAACTGAATTCTTCTGAGATCTGGAACAAGAAAAAGATGCCCATTTTAACCACTTTTATTCAACATAATACTGGAAGTCTTGGCCAGAGCAACTAGGCAAGAGAAAAAAAAAAAACAAAGGGCATTCAAATAAGAAAGGAAGAAGTCAAACTAGTCTTGTTCACAGATTACATCATCTTACACTAAGAAAAACTTAAAGACTCCACCAAAAAAAACCTATTAAGACTAATAAACAAATTTGGTAAAGTTGCAGGATACAAAATCAACATACAAAAATTAGTAGCATTTATATACACCAAGAGTGAACAATCTGAAAAAAATATCAAGAAAGCAATCCTATTTACAATGGTTACAAAAAAAGATTATAAAATACCTGGGAATCAACTTAACCAAAGAATTGAAAAATCTATACAAGGAAAACTATAAAACACTGATGATAGAAATTGAAAAGGACACAAAAAAAATTGAAAGCTATTCTGTGCTCATGGATTGGAAGAATTAATATCATTAAAATGACAATACTACCCAAAGCAATGTACAGATTCAATGCAATCCCTACCAAAATGCCAATCTCATTCACAGAAATGAATCCTAAAACTTATATGGAACCATGAAAGACCCCAAATAGCCAAAGCAATCCTGAGCAAAATGAACAAAGCTGGAGGCATCACACTGCCTGACTTCAAATTATACTACAGAGCTATAGTAATCAAATCAGCATGGTATTGGCATAAAAACAGACACATGGATCAATGGAACTCATTTTTGACAAAGGTGCTAAGAACATACACTGAGGAATAGACAGTCTTTTCAATAAATGGTGCTGGGAAAACTGGATATTCATATGCTGAAGAATGAAATTAGACCCCTATCTCTTGCCATAAACAAAAATCAAATCAAAATGAATTAAAGACTTAAATTTAAGACCTCAAAATATGAAACTACTACAAGTAAACATTGGGGAAAATCTCCAGGACATTGGACTGGACAAAGATATTTTGTGTAAGACCTCAAAAGCACAAGCAACCAAAGCAAAAATAGACAAATGATATTATATCAAGCTCAAAAGCTTCTGCACAGCAAAGGAAACAATCAATAACATGAGGCTGGGTGCGGTGGCTCACGCCTGTAATCCCAGCACTTTGGGAGGCCGAGGCAGGCAGATCACTTGAGGCCAGGAGTTCAAGACCAGCCTGGCCAACATGGTTAAACCACATCTCTACTAAAAATACAAAAATTAGCCAGGCGTGGTGGCACACACCTGTAATCCCAGGTACTTGGAAAGCTGAGGCAGGAGAATTGCTTCAGCCCAGGAGGTGGAGGTTGCAGTGAGCAGAGGTCACACCACTGTACTCCAGCCTGGGTGACAGAGCAAGACTCTGTCTTAAAAAAAAAAATAGTGAAGAGACAACCCACAGAATGGGAGAAAATATCTGCAAACTACCTATCTGACAAGGGATGAATAACCAGAATATATAAGGAGCTCAACAATTCAATAGCAAAAAGAAATCCAATTTAAAAATGGGCAAAAGCTCAGAATAGACATTTCTCAAAAGAAGACATACAAATGGGCAATAGGTGTATGAACAAAATGCTCAACATTACTAATCACCAGAGAAATGCAAACCAAAACCACAACGAGACATCATCTCACCCCAGTTAAAATGGCTGTTATCAAAAAGGGAATAACACATGCTGGTGAGGATGTGGAGAAAGGGGAACCCTTGTATACAGTCAGTGAGAATGTAAATTAGTACAACCATTATGGAAAGCAGTATGAAGGTTCCTCAAAAAACTAAACATAGAACTACCATATAATCCAGCAATTCAACTACTGGGTACCTATTTAAAAGAAAGAAATCAATATATCAAAGAAATACCTACACTCCCATGTTTATTGCAGCATTATTCACAATGTACAAAACGTAGAATCAACCTAAGTGCCCAGTAATAGATGAATGAAGAAAATGTGATATAAATATACAATGAAATATTATTCAGCCATAAAAAGAATGAAATCCTGTCATCTGCAGCAACCTGGAGAGGACATTCAGTTAAATAAGCCAGGCACAGAAAGACAAATATTGCACGTTCTCACTCTTACATGGGAGTAAAAAAGTGGATCTCATAAAGATCTCATGAAGACTGGTGGTTACCAGAAGACATGAAGGGTAGGGGTCTGGGAGGGATAAAGAGAGATTGATTAATGAGTACAAATATACAATTTAATAGAAGAAATAAGATCTGGTGTTTGATAGATCAGTAGGACGACTATTGTTTACAACAATCTTTGTATATTTCCAAACAGCTAGAAAAGAATAATTCAAATGTTTCTAGCATAAAGAAAAGACCAATATTTAAGGTGATGAATATCCTAATTATACTGACTTGATCTTTACAAATTATATGAACGTATTAAATTGTCACATGTGCCCTGAAAATATGTACATCTATTGTGTTAATTAAAAAAATTATTTAAAAATAGACCAGACACAATGGCTCATGCCTGAAATCCCAGTGCTTTGGGAGGCCAAGGCAGGAGGATCAACTTAAGGCCAGGAATCTGAGACCAGCCTGGGCAACGTGGTGAAACCTCCATCTCTACAAAAGAATTAAAAAATTAGCTGGGCATAGTGGCACACATCTGTAGGCTCAGTTACTTGGGAGGCTGAGGCAAGAGGATCACTTAAGCCCAGGAGTTCAAGGCTGCAGTGAGCTATGATCATGCCACTGCACTTTAGCCTGGGTAACAGAGTGAGACCCCACGTCTACAGAAAAAAACAATTATAAAAATTAGCCAGAATTAAAAAAAAAAAAGAACAAAATAGGCCTTAAATACTTGGGAATTTTTAATTATTCTTTGGATTCAAATGTCAATCTAAAGGTAACCTTTACATAACAACACCTATATCAAGCAAAACCTGTATCTCAATCAAGTATGCACTTGTGTATAAGTAACACAGGTCCGAATTTGCCTTCAGGAACACTGTGAGTCAATAGGAGCTGGAAAGTCAGGAGACAGGGGTGTTTTCCTTGCCCTACCTCATCCAGTAAGTGTTTGGGTGGCCTTGAGCAAGTGACCCATCTTTTAGGCCTTCCACACCTGTAAATTGAGTGGTATGGCCCACAAGGTCTGGCCCTAACATTCTGTGAGTTCTTTCTGATTTTCTTTTCTTTCTTTCTTTTTTTTTTTTTTTTTTGAGATGGAGTCTCGCTGTGTCTCCCAGGTTGGAGTGCAGTGGTGCGATCTCGGCTCACTGCAACCTCCGCCTCCCGGGTTCAAGTGATTCTCCTGCCTCAGCCTCCCAAGTAGCTGGGACTACAGGCGTGCGCCACCACGCCCAGCTAGTTTTTGTATTTTTAGTAGAGACGGGGTTTCACAATGTTGGCCAGGATGGTCTTGATCTCCTGACCTCGTGATCCACCCGCCTCGACTTCCCAAAGTGGTGGGATTACTGGCGTGAGCCACCGTGCCCGGCCTCTTCCTGATTTTCTTAACTTGGAAGGTCCCAGCAGTATTTGTCAATTTAAACACAATTAAACATAAACAAGAGTTCTTAGAACTTTGTGCTGAGTTTCAGAAACAAGCACATTCCAGGCAAAACAGCCTCTTGTTGGTTTTTTCTTTTCTTTTTTTTTTCCTGACGTGACTACTAAACCCCAGAACCCATCATACCTTTAGGGATAGGTTGGGAATGTTTGGCTCCTGGGTCCAATTTGAAGTCCAAATATAAGGTTGGTGTGCGAGTGTAAACCTTGGACTGAAAAGGAAAAGGAAACCATCAGTGTTTTTTTCTAAGAATAAGGTTCTTCTTTCCTTCAGCTGGCCCTTCTGTAATAGGCCTGGACCTGGATCCATTATATATATAGTTCCTCCTAGGGAAGTGTTAAAGCCGAGGTGGGCTGCTAAAACAGCCCCTCTTAAAGGTCTTGGTCTGGAAGTTAGCCCTCCTAGCTTTACAATGTGGTTGACAAGCTAATTTCAGGATGACAGCTGTCTCCCTACAGCCAGTTCTCAAATATAGTCCAATAGTAACATTTTACTGGCCAATAATTGCTCCAACTTTCCCACCTCCAGTCTTCCACTTGATATGGCAGGTTATCTCACAACCAAATGTATGTTTCTTCCCCATGTCTCAAGAAAGCCATTTCCATTTTGGAATTTAAAAATGCGGCCTGCACATATTTTTTATTTTTTCTTACTTGGCCCTCTGGCTAACAAAAATGGTCCGACACTGCTCGCTTGAAAAAGCCACAACTCCAAATGTAAGAAAGGCAAACTTTTGCAGGATTTTCCATTATAAACAGTAACTTTTATTCCATCAAGAGTTAAGCAGAGTTTCTAATTTAATATAATACCATCCTGAATCATTGGCATAGACTAAAATTCAAGGGATTAGAACTGTTGCTACAAACTTTATGATGTCTCATTGTTTATCACAAAGCTCCAGTGGTTCCAGTCTACTTTATAAACTTAAAATGCATATGAAAATGAAAAAGCACATAACCTTAAGCTTGGCACGGATGTGTAGTAACTGTAATTTTCATACACTGCTGGTGGGACTATAACTTGGTATAAACACTTTGGGAAGCTGCTTGGCCATGTGTAGCACAGACGAATATATGCATAATCTATGACCCAATATTCCAACTCATAGGTGTATACCTAACAGTCACCTAAAGACAGGCACAAGTACCTTAATAGTGACAGAACTGATAATAGCCCCAAACTGGAAATCATCCAAATGTCTTTAATAATAGAATGGATAAATGAAATGTAATATACAGTGGAATACTATACACCAAGGAGAATGAATGAACTCAACTACATGCAACAACTCAGGTGAATTTCACAGGCATAATATTGAGCAAATGAAGACAGACACAGAAGATCATACACCGTATGATTCCATTTCTACAAAGTTCAAAACAAGCCAAAATTAATTTATGATGTCAGAAGTCACAAAATTAGTTATCTTGGGAAGGTTAGCAAGTAGAAAAGGATTTTAAAGGGGCTTCTGGGGGCTGGTAATGTTCTGTTTCTTAACCTGGCTGCTGCTTTTATGAGTGTGTTTACTTGGTAAACATTCTTTGAGCTGTATACTTGATCTGTGTACTTCTCTGTGTATATGTTATATGTTAATTAAAAGATTACATTCATTAAATACATGCATTTTTAGACAAAAAGAGAGAATCTGGAGCCCAGAATTATTTACTCTCCTTGATGAAGGCATAATTTTGTGGAGAATAATGATGCAAGCTCCATGAGGACATGAACATTTCTGCCTTTGTTACTACTGAATTCTCAGGGCCAACCCACTATGTCTGTCAAATGCTAGGTGTTCAATAAATATTTATTGAATGATGTTTCATAATGGAAAACTCCATGTATAGTAATACAGTTATTGACAGTAGATATATGTATATATGAAGATATATATGAATATATGTACTGACAGTACATACACACACACACACACACACACACACATATATATACCGTCAATAACTGTATTACTATTCCATATACTGTCAATAACCGTATTACTATACATGGGATTTTATATACATATATACATACATATATACACACACAAGTGTGTGTGTGTGCATATGTGTGTGTATGTATACATATATATATATATGGGGTATTCATCAACATCTTCACCTACATGTAGCAAAATGCTTCTCTTCAGGACAGGTGAATTTGGTATGGTCAAAATATATTGTCTGTACATTAAATTTTGAAATAAAGAATCGTGAGTAATCTTGACTATCAAAAGATTTTTTTCCTTTCCTCTGAATGTCTCCAATTGAAGCTTTGGGGTTTAAAATGCTCTGGTAGACTTTTGCATGGCTTAGAAGGTCAAGCTGCATTAATACAGCTTCAAAGACTAGAAAAGCAAATTCCCCCGTGTATATATAAATGAAACCAGAAAGACCTGTGACATCAAGTGCAACCTGAGGCCAAAGATTCACAATCAATCAGAGAGCTTGAAACACACATAAAAGAAGGGCAGCACACAAGGGGCACAGGATCTGATTCTCTAGGATCATTAGGTGTATAAGACACCATCTGGAAAGGGGCTGGTTTTGTCTGATGAGGACTTCTAAAATTACCTCTAAAAAGATTAAGGGTAAACTTCATATAATATCGAATGACTCCTCTGTTCAGGCAATATTTCGCTGTCCTTCAGATAAAGATCCCTGTTTGGTTTAAGCATCTTTTTCAACCTCTGCCTCAGTGGCAGATGCAGTATCCCTTCCAACAGAGAAGAAATGCATCACAAAGAGGTTCTTGCTTTAATTTTTGCTAGCACTCTCCCAGAATGTGGCCATAAAAATAATCTTGAACTGGAAGTCAGGAGTCTTTCATGCTGTATTGCTTTTTCTTTTCTTCTTTCTTTACCTTTCTTTCTTTCTCTCTGTCTCTCTCTCTCTTTCTTTTTTAAATTTTCTTGTAGAGATGGGATTTCGCCATGTTGCCCAGGCTGGTTTCGGACTCCTGGGCTCAAGCCATCTGCCCGCCTCGGCTTCCCAAAGTGCTGGGATTATAGGTGTGAGCCACCGTGCCCAGCTAGAGGTATTGCTTTTTCTGCTGACCAACGAAACACTTATCTTCTTCTGGGTTAATTCGCTCATCTGAAAATTTTGTGAGGGTACTTGCTGTTGTTTAAGTCTATTTCTGGTTCTGAAATTCTGATTCAGAAAAGTAATGTTTTCCTCCACACTCTAATTTTTAAAATTCTCTTCCAATTTCTCAGACTAGAGCTAAAGAGAAGTGAGAATGTGGCTGGGGTGAGGGAGGGCAACTAGAGCTGTGGAGAGTTGGTGGGAAAGCTCTGGTTAACTCGCTGTATTCTTGCCCTCAACTTCAGTCATCAGTCTGCCCTCCTGGCTGGCTCTTTTTCCTTCTTCCTTCCTGTCTCTTGCTTCTCAACCTAATCCATATTGTTCAAAAAATAGTAGCTACCTCTCTAAGTTGCAACTACACAGGCACAAGCACACATGCAGGTGTATTCACACTCACACAGAACGTTCTATATTCATTTATGTATTCATCTTAAAAATTTTAAACAGAAACCAATGAGAGACTTTAATAAAGCCACAAAATATATTCTATCGTCTCACAGTGTGAAAAAGTCTAAGAGGAAATTTTTAATTCATTTTGCAGATGTTTTTCACAACATCTTTAACCTAAAACAGGATTCCAATTCTAGTATTCTTTTCATATTGGGAACTGGATCATTGAGGGTGTCAATATAACATATGTCTTGAATAATAAACTACCCCAAAGCCTTCAAAACTGAATGTATATTATTCTATTTAAAATAATCTATAATGAGGCCGGGCGCGGTGGCTCACGCCTGTAATCCCAGCACTTTGAGAGGCCAAGGTGGGTGGATCACGAGGTCAGATGATAGAGATCATCCTGGCTAACACGGTGAAACCCCGTCTCTATTAAAAATACAAAAAATTAGCCGGGCGTGGCGGTGGTCGTCTGTAGTCCCAGCTACTCGGGAGGCTGAGGCGGTAGAAGGGCGTGAACCCGGGAGGCAGAGCTTGCAGTGAGCCGAGATCCTGCCACTGCACTCCAGCCTGGGCGGAAGAGCGAGACTCTGTCTCAAGGGAAAAAAAAAAAAGGTGATGATGTCAGCCTCAAATGTACCTTGAGCAAACCTGGATTCCATCTTTCCATTACATACCCTGCTGATTTTCAACCATAAAGAAATCTTCCTATTAGGCACATTGTTTCCTGTGTTGTTTTGTTTATTTTTATGTATAGTATTAAACTATTAATAGAACCTCAAAATAGAATGATAATTTAATTAAATCATTCTTTTTTGGTTAAAACTTAGCTATCAATGAATCTATTTCCACAAGAGTCAAACAAATTGGTCCATAAGAAACTAAAAGAAAACATTCCCCTATAAATCCGTTGCAGCATGCACAGAGCTAATGCACTCAAATTCTATTAGTGAATTTGTTTTTTTTTCCTTTTTTTTCTGTTTCAGTTCTGATTAATAATGCCTGCAGAGGTACTAAAATCCAAAGCTCTTCCCCTTTCGTCTTTCTTTCCATTTCACAATCCTGTGTTGAAAGTATTTAGGAAACTTTCCTTTAAAGTTTTAGCCTATATTTCAAAAGCCTAATGGCTTAAAATATTATGGTTCAAATATTATGCAGGGAATATTTCTAGAAGGTAAGTAATTCAATTCTTCATAAGAGATTAAGGGTACATTTTGGCTAACCTACAACAGGGCTGCTACCAAATCCAGGAAAACCTTGTCTCTCCTTCCCTATAAATATGTCAGAACCAAACCCATAATGAGTCTCAGACACCACTCCAATAATGACCACAAAACAACCAAGACAAAACAAGGTCTATAAAACCACTTCCTTCCAAACTCCAACTACCTTCATCTTATGTCCTTCAAAGACTTCCCATTTACCCTGGCTTTTGGTAGGATACCCTTGTCAAGCTGGCTTCCTTCCTCTGCTTTTATTCATAAATGTGATCTTAATTAGGAGATGAAATCACTTCCACATGGAAGCTATGTGGCTTAAAAACATCTCCCCAAGAAAAAGAATGCAGCATGCTACGTTGCTATGTATGAGTGTGGCAAAGGAAGTATCTTGAATTTTGCCATTGCTCCTTTGACAGATAACTGCTGCCCATTGATTCCCAAATGCTGCTGTTTTTACCACCATCTTTGACTCTCCCTAAAAGCAAGTGGCAGCAATGTAGTGTCATAATGCTTTGTGAATGTAATAAATTGTGAATGTAATAAATGCATTCACAGTTCTTTGGGGGAACTATTTCAAAAGCTCTTTATGATTTAGTTATTTCTCAGGAAATGCACTCAAATTGTCAATCTTACTATAATATGTTGCTTAAGGAAATTACTCTAAGTAACCATATTAATGAGTGCCAATCCCCAATATCCTATAAGAGAAAGAAACAGTGTTTCTACTTGTTCCTAGACACACACCCCCCATTTTGGACAACTCCTCTAATATTGGACATTGTGTTTTATGGGGTTTTTGTGTGTCATTGTTAACTTTCGACGAATCTCTTTGCACATAAATCTTTGATTACATTTCTATTTTTTTCCTTCACAGTGAAATTATAGATGTAAAGGTTAAGACATTGTGGCCAAAAGCAAATTGTTCAACATAATCATCTGGTTAAACAGCAATTTTGCTGAAAATCTCTACTGCTAGTCACTGCTTTTCCTAGTCTTGGTAATTTTGCTACACCACAGGGCAGCCTTTCAACTCTTTATGTGCTCTAAATTGTTTTTTCCCCATCCAGTCTCCTATTGTTAGAAAGTTAACATATTCCAACAGATCTCCTATTGTTGCACATTTTTTTTCCTTGTCACAAACATAGAATGGAAAAATTAATTGCTGAAAAAAGGTAAAAGTTAAAAAATAACCACCCCCCCCCCGAAAACCTTTGGAAAATGGACAAAAAGTAAGGAAACAAGCTTAATCTGAAGAAAAAAGTTTAAAGGCACCACCTCCACAGTATAAATACCATTATCTCAACAACCCACATCTAGCAGTATCTGTTCTTGAACAAATCATCATCTGATCACTTGTTATACTAACTAACTTGCTTTCATCCAAATTGGTTTTGTCAAATCACTTGGTAACTACCTTTAAAAAGTGCCCATCTCATCAAAATGTTGATCATCTTATTTTTTTTCATTGTAGTTCATTTAAAAAGCAGAAATTGGTATCTCCTTACTCTTTAAATTTGACTATTAGTTTGGGTGATATTATTATTATTAATTTTAAAATAATAGTAACTATTATTAATATAAAAATAGCAATAACTAAATATGTTGAGGGCTTAGTATGTACCAGGCACTATTTTAGGGGCATCGTATGTATTAATTAAGGCCACTTGCATTTCTCTTTCAGTAAACTATCTGCTCATTAACCTATTTAACTTTTCATTCATTTATCAATTAATTTCCTCATTCAAAAAATATTGGTTAAGAATCTATAATGTGCTAGTCATTGGATATATATTGCTGAATAACAGTTCTGCTCAACCCTTGTGAAGTATTACTTTCTAGTGAAGAAGATAATTTAGCAAATTAAATATAAAACTTTAAAATGTGGTACTTGCTAGAAAAGAAATAAATAGGATGCAGAGAGAGAAAATAAAATGAGGAGAGTAAGGGAAGTCCTCACTAGGGAGATTACATTAAAGTGAAGACTTGAATAAGAAGAGTTGAGGGTAAGAGATTTCTGGGCAGAAAAAAGAGAATAGCATGTGTGAAGGCCATGAAGCCATAAAGAGCTTGAAGTATTCAGAAACTGAGAGGAGAGCAACATGGCAGACATAAAGTGGTTGCTGGAGCGAATGACATAAGTTTAGAAAGTTAGGAAAGATTCAATCAGATATAGGCCATAGTATGGCATTTAGGATTTCTTTAAAATACAATGAGAACACATTGAAGAAGAACCAGATCCAATTTTCATCTTAAAGAGATGTCTTAAGCTACTATATAAAGAACTGGAAGGGAGTAAGAATAGAGGAGAGGAGACTCCTGAAGAGGATGCTGGAGTAGGCCAGAGAGGGATGGGAGAGAAATAGGTAGATTTGAAATAATATATTTGGAGATAGAAAGGTTTTTGCTGAGGGACTAGATGCAGTGGGTATAAGGATGGCCATCATGTTTCTACTTTGAGCAGTGAGTGATAATGCCATTTATTAAGATGGAGAAGACTGGAAGAGAAACAAGTTGTTTGCTGTCAAGACAGGTGAGGGTGGGGAGAACAAGACTTCAACTTTTGCTATTTTAAATTTGACGTGCCTGGGCACCATGCAAATGGAGATGTCAAGTTGGCAGTGGCAGATATGAATCTACATAGAGCTCAAAGGGGAGGCTTGTACTGTGAATATCAATCTGGGAGTTGTCAGACTATACATGGTATCTAAATCCATGAAATAAATAAGCTCACTTAGGCAGATGCTCAATGAAAGAGAAGACTCAGGACTGAGATCCAGGGAACTAAAGTGTTTAAGGGTCTGGCCAAGAAAACGGTGTCACCTGGAGAAAGGAAACTGAGAAGGAGCAAAGAGCAACCAGAGACACAAGAATGTATTATCTCAGAAACCAAAGAAAGAGAGGCTGTGGAGAAGGACAAAGCAATCAAGCCATGGAGAGGAAGAGCTGACATGAAGAAGGAACCAAAGAAAGAAGAAGAAGGAGAAGGAGAAGGAGAAGCAGAAGAGGAAGAGGAAGAAGAAGGAGGAGGAGGAGGAAAGAAAGAAAGAAAGAAAGAAAGAAAGAAAGAGAGAGAAAGAAAGAAAGAGAGAGAAAGAAAGAAATGAGGAGGAGGAAGGAGAAAGAGAGGAGGAAGGAGAAAGAAGGAGGAGAAAGGAGAAAGAAGGAGGAAGAAGAGGAAGGAGAAAGAAGGAGGAGGAGGAAGGAGAAAGAAGGAGGAGGAGGAAGGAGAAAGAAGGAGGAGGAGGAAGGAGAAAGAAGGAGGAGGAGGAAGGAGAAAGAAGGAGGAGGAGGAAGGAGAAAGAAGGAGGAGGAGGAAGGAGAAAGAAGGAGGAGGAGGAAGGAGAAAGAAGGAGGAGGAGGAAGGAGAAAGAAGGAGGAGGAGGAAGGAGAAAGAAGGAGGAGGAAGGAGAAAGAAGGAGGAGGAGGAAGGGGAAAGAAGGAGGAGGAGGAAGGAGGAAGAAGGAGGAGGAGGAAGGAGAAAGAAGGAGGAGGAGGAAGGAGAAAGCAGGAGGAGGAGGAAGGAGAAAGAAGGAGGAGGAAGGAGAAAGAAGGAGGAGGAAGGAGAAAGAAGGAGGAGGAGGAAGGAGAAAGAAGGAGGAGGAAGGAGAAAGGAGGAGGAGGGAGGAGAAAGAAGGAGGAGGAGGGAGGAGAAAGAAGGAGGAGGAGGAAGGAGAAAGAAGAAGGAGGAGAAAGAAGAAGGAGGAGAAGGAAGGAGAAAGAAGAAGGAGGAGGAGAAAGAAGAAGAAGGAGATAGAAGAAGGAGGAGGAAGGAGAAAGAAGAAGGAGGAGGAGAAAGAAGAAAGAGGAGAAAGAAGAAGGAGATAGAAGGAGAAGGAAGGAGAAAGAAGAAGGAGGAACGAGAAAAAGGAGGGGGAAGGAGAAAGAAGGAGGAGGAGAAAAAAGAAGGAGGAGAAAGGAGGAGTAGGAACGAAAAAGGAGGAGGAAGGAGGAGGAGGAAGAAGGAGAAGGAGAAGAAAGACAGGGAGAGGGAGAGGGAGAGGGAGAAGGAGAAGGAGATTACCACCTCTGGTTTGGCCACATGGAAGTCAGTGGTGACTGGTTTCAATGGACCAGTGTGGGTGGATGTCAAGTTGAGAACATCAAGGAGGTAGGACAGTGGAGATGAAATGTGCAGACACATCTTCAGTGATGTGTGACTGTGAGAGGGAATGGAAAATTGGCGGCTATGAAGTCAAGGACGTTTGGTGCTTCTCATCAATTTACATGAGAGGTTTGTTTTTTTTTTTTTTCAATAAAGTAAGGTTATTATCTCCCAGTTTGTTTTTGGCCTTTAATTTCATTTACAAGGTTTCTGACATGGGTCTAATCTATTCATCTTTTCCTTCCAATGCTTTTAAACCTGGAAAGTCTTTCCCCATCCAAAGATCATATAAATGTTTGTGTATATTTTTCTAGTTCAAAATGTTTAACATTAAATTATTTAATCTATGGCCGGGTACAGTGGCTCAGGCCTGTAATCCCAGCATTTGGGGAGGCTGAAGCAGGCAGATCTCTTGAGGTCAGGAGTTCGAGACCAGCCTGGCCAACATGATGAAACCCCGTCTCTACTAAAAACACAAAAATTAGCCAAGCGTAGTGGCGGGCGCCTGTAATCCCAGCTACTTGGGAGGCTGAGGCAGGAGAATCATTTGAACCTGGGAGGTGGAGATTGCAGTGGACTGACATTGCATCACTGCATTCCAGTGAGACTCTGTCAAAAAAAGAAAAAGAGAAAGAAAAGAAAAGAAAGAAAAGAAAAGAAGAAAGAAAGAAAGAAAAGAGAAAGAAAGAAAGAAAATTATTTAATCTATGTGGAATTATTTTGACAATTAACTGTGAGATCATGAGCTCTAATCTGGTTTCTTTTTATTAAATGGTTAACCAATTGTCCCAGTTGACTTATTCTTCTTTTCCTCAATTGATGATAATCTTCTTTATCCCTGTTAAGTTTGCATATATATTTGGGTCTAGTTCAGGTAGGTTCTCCTTCTACCACTTACAAGGAAGAGCCTCAATGGGGAAAACCAAGTGTTCACTTAATTTACTAGCTCAGGAGTCCCAACTAATAGAGTAAGATCTACTCCATGAGGAGCTCATGTCATCATCTAGTACAGTTCTTATGGCTTCCCAATGTCCTCATCTTCCTTCTACCACCTTCCCACTCTCGTGATCTGTTGGGCTTTGCACTGGGGATAAAAATGCATCAGCACAGACCTAGTCTCTGCACTACCATACACACTCAGGAGACTCACTGCCAGATCCCATTGCCCCTGCATGGGGAGCCATACTTTCTCATTTCTCCTGGAGATGGTAAGGCTTTGAGGAAGTGAAAAGTAGATTTACCATACTGTTTAAAGCAAACTTCTAACTCATTTTTAGAATAGGCTGATGCTCTTCAACAAAATGATGTCTTCTGTATCCAATCCAAAGCACTTTGAATTCTGAATTCTTGATTGTTTTAAACAATTCTGATAAGCAATGGGAAAGATTAGTTTCCATCCCCAGTGCCAAAGGTATCGTGGGAAGGATTAAAACTCTGTAATCATATTTTGACATATACATGAAGTGTTACACAAAGAGAAGACAAGGAACTCTTAGGCAAAATGCCAATGACTCTTTGTAGGGTGGGAGTTAGAGAGGGCCAAAAAAACATTTTTAACTTCTATCAACCATAAAAGACTGTGGACAGTCTTGAACATCAAGCTGTCTAGCTGACCAAGAATTTTAAACATAGCCAAATTCAGTCTATAGTATTCTTTTTCAAGTAGCCCTTTAATCAGTAGTAATACTCTTGTCCTTCTCTTTCTCACCTTTTATTTATGGGAAGAGTAGTGAGGAAAGAAGGACTAAAGGGGAAGAGAATAAAGATGATGACGGGGACTCACAGTACTGAAATTTAACCAGAGACATGTTAATTGTGAAACTGGACTTTGATTTCTTCACCCTTTGAGTCAGCATCCTTGCCTGAATTTGGGTTACAGATGTTCTAATTTCTTGGAAAATTAAAACCAGAAAAAGAACAAATTCCCATGTCTTATATAAATAATCCATCTACAACCCTATAAAGGCAACAGTATAATAAAACCACAAATGGCCCCCAAATAGGCTAACACAGAGCCTTCCTATTTGTTAACTCCAATCCATGGGTAATGTGTTCCAAGACTGAGTCAGCAAATCTATTAACCAATGCTAGAATATTCCTCACAAGGCTTCTAATATTTATTAGTTACATTTGCTATTTACTAAAATATTTTTAAGAGTTCTTGTAGGAAAGTGCATCAAGATGTAACACGGGAAACTCATTGGCAAAGATTTCATAGAGCTCTGGGTATGGATACTTTCATATAGATATGTTTCTTCAATTTTATGATTAAAATTAATGAAGGGGGAATTTATTATGGTCTAGGGCTTCTTCTACGTGATCATTTGCAGGATGTTCTGACACAGACAGGCAGGGGTGTCTGCTTGTACAGGCATGTGCCTGAAGGTACCCTTTTGGTGTAGAAAGAGACATGGTCATTTTGAAGCTTCCTTCCATGAAAATGAGCTAAGGCATTCCCTAACTGGAGAGAGATACACTCAGCAAACTTATGCATCAGGGCTGAATGGTGTGATAAGGCAGGGGAAATGTTCAAATAAAATGGGACAAAATTCAGGAAACCTGAGTTTGGGTCTGGTCTTCTTTCACAATGAGCTGTGTGACCTTGGGAAAGACTTTTTGCCTAGTTGGGTTTCAGCCTTCTCATTTACAAAGTGGTGGAGTTGGAGAGCTTATCTTTGGGGTCCATTGCTGCCTGACATTCTGATTCAAATGAAAGTACCAGAAGAAAATGGAACAGTAAGTGGTGGTTGGCTTTGAAAAGCATCTCATTCTATCAGGAATTCTAGATTCGTGTTGCCCTAAGAACTTTGTTCATATATTAATACACCATTATGGCAATGGAAGAGCTGAATGAATGAATGAATTGAAAGTTTTCTGTACAACTATTATATAAATGGGCCAGAGAGAGCCCCTGTATATTAGGTGAAAATGGCCCCCATGTTGGTTACTTCCTTACACTAGGATAGGACCATTAGCCCAAAGAACACTGATGCCAAACTCCAATTTTCGCACACCAAATTGCTTTAAATATATTCCAAAATGAACAAAATTTTAGCCATTTAGAGCCTACCTACTTCATATAGACTGTGAAACTATTCCCAACATCTGCTAGCCAGAAATAAGATAAACTATTACCAGCATCTGCTAGCCAGCTATAAGACCTCAAACTGCTAATGTCCTTCAGAACTCTCTAATCCAGAGAAACCTCACCTTGCTGTTGAGTGATATCACCTGGACATGTAAGCCTCCTCTCTGATTTCCCCTACTCCTTCAGGTCTCTTGCCCTATTTCCTTTCTGAGGGGTGGCCTTGTGCCACTGTCTCTGGAAAATCTCCAGCTATGAAGAACTTTCCCTCTTACGCAACCTTGTCTGAGCACTGCCCAAATAAAGTTTGTATGTTACTGCTTCTCATGAAACTGTCTCTTCCTTGATCAACTCCCCAATCCCCAAATTTACCACATCAACCCATCTAAATACAGTATTCAAATAGGTCCTAAAAGTATTGAATATGGCCTCCTGTGTATCCACAAACAAGAGGAGAAGTAGTTCCCTGCTATTCAGCACCAGCTCAGAAAAATTGAAGAATTGACCAGATCTGCTGAAAGGCTGGAGCACTATGCAAGGGATCAGTATATATCCCCAATTCAGGTCAGGGATCATTCATGAATTCCTGTGCAAATAGGGAGTGGTCAGATCCTTGGCAAAATGACAGATGGGCCAAGGTTTTCCTTTTGAACGCTTCAACATGTATCTCTCCTCTTAAGCCTTTTCAGTCTTTAAAAGTTTCCAAGACAAAACCTTCTCTCAACAAAAAATCTGATTTCTACTGGGCTGTGCCAAACTGGTGAAGGACCTATGTGAGCATGTGATTAAGAGCACAGACCCTGGAGCCAGACCATCCAGTTAGAATCCCAGTTCTGTCACTTACTATATGTGTAACCCTAGGCAAGTTGCTAACCTCACTATGTTTCAGTTCCCTATCTCATTGTGAGAATTCAATTGCACACATTTTACATGCCTCCTCAGAGTCGCTCAGCCTCATTATAGCTCCTCAGCCCTTGGCCTCTTATGGAGACCTGTAGGTGCCATCATTGTTGCAACTGTTGACATCGCCAGATGCCTTGGCCTGTCCTAGCCGACTGTCAAGTTCTGACATCGTCTTGATTGTCCTCTCAGTGGTGGGAGTTCCAGAAGCTCCAGAGTCTGGGCTTGACCTAAGTGACCTACGGAGGCTCTGGATCCTCTCTTCATGCCCACACTTGGATACAGATCCAAGCCATAGAATGGGACATGTGGCCTATTCAGAGGCTGTCTGCAGGGACCGGGTGACACAAACCAGAAGGGCAGGGAATTAGCTCCCCATGGGCAAACTTTGACCAAAGAGGAATGGAAGATGTGGGGCAACAGACAAATTCTTGCTCCCTTAGAAAGTTCTGAGGTACAGCTTCCTGAACAGGCATCCTACATGGCCAAGAATCTGTCTCACTTCCCTTCTCCTTCACTCCCACTGCCCTGGGATTGCAAATAATACTTGCCTTGGGCTTTGTTTTCCAGAGAACCCAAGTTAAATCAGAATTAAAAGAATTGACACATATAAAGAACTCAGAACTTCACTGTCCAATACAGTTGCCACTCACTGCATGTGGCTATTGGGTATGTGAAATGTGGCCAGTCTGCACAGATGTGCTGCAAGTGTAAAATACACACTGGATTTCAAAGACTCGGTAACAAAAAGTGTGAACTATCTCATTACAATTTTATATTGGTTACATGTTGCAATGATAATATTTTGGATATATTGGATTAAATATGCTATTAAAATTAATCTTACCTGTTTTATTTTACTTTTTAAATGTTTACTATGAAATTTGAAGTTACATGTTGCTTCCATTATATTTTTATTAGACAACTCTGACTTAGAACTTAGCACCTCATAAGCCCATAAAAGATGTTGGCCACTTTCATTTCCCATCCCAAGAATTTCTAGAGATTTGCTGTCAGTAAAGACTAATGATAAAAGGGAATGTGGGAAAAGAAAAGATAGATAAGGGAAAAGGAAAGAAATATTTATTAAGTACCCTCTATGTTGCTAGGCACATTAAATACCCTACAAAAACCTCAAGGACTGTGTATTATCATCCCCACTTGGCAGATGAGGAAATAAAAGCTCAAAACAAATTTCCCAAGGTCAGAGCTGAGATTTGAACCCAGGTGTGCTTGACTCCACAGCCTATGCTCCTTTCAGTCCCTCATACTGTTGAAGGATGGACTCTAATGGTACAGTTTTAATAACATGACAGTGAGATTTTCTGTCATATGTTGGGCTTTTTAGAATCCCTTAAATCAGCCACACAGGAGGTCACCTACACCAACCAAGTTAAAAGCTGGTGTTAGACACAAATTTCTCTCTCTCTCTCTCTCTGTCTCTCTGGCCCTGGGTTCATGGAATTGAATTGGCTGTACACTATATTCCATGGCACAGGGTCATCATACATCCATGGGCACCCCTCTTGCTTTGTGTTATTTTCCTCCATCATCCCCCATCTCAAGACCATTCCCCATTGGCTCTCAGTTGAGCATATGTAATGGACATCCTTCCAATCTACCCACAGTGTATTTATTTAGATATATGGGTGTCCTTGAAAAATGAGTAGTATTGTGTGCTAAACTGCTTTCTTTTCTGATTTATTCCTCATTTTTTTCCTGAGAGCTAATAACTACAAGTGAATACAGCCCACTGCTTCTGGCGGCTACACCATATTCCATCATATGTAACCACCATATTTCACTTATTCATTCTCTCAGTGGTGAACACCTATATCAACTCTGACTCCTTTCTATTACTCACGATGCTGGGATGACCACTGTCATATGTCTGCTTGGTGAAGTTTTGATGGAATAAATACTAGGAATGAAGTTTCTGGGGCATACCCTATATTCAGTGTTAGCTTCATTGGATAATGTCAACTTGCTCTCCACAATGAACACAGTTACACCCACTTGCCAAACATGAAGTTTCCATTTCTTCCCATCCTTGCCAGCACTTCACAGTACCCAACTTTGTATTTTTTCTTAATTTGAAGGGTGTCAAGTGGCAGCATATTATTCAAATTTCTATGTTTCTGCATATTGGTGAGAGGAACATTTCTTCATATTCTTATCAGCTTTCCATAGTTGAGTACAGGATTTTCTTAAGATCTGGTGCCTGGAGTTACCACCAACACAAGCATAGAACTTTACACAAAGGAGAAATGTCTCCCCCCAAGAGAGTGGAGACGGTATGGATACACGGTTTTGTTCTCCCAACTATGTTAATGCTCTGAACTGAGCAAGTACATCAATTTTCTACAGATATGACTGCTCTAGGGCTTGGAGATTTGCTTGTGCAATAAAATTTCATGGAACCAAAACCGGTATTGTGATAAATGTGTCTTTTATTACCTTTTGGGACTATTTTTAAAGTGAAATGAATGAGAATTGAGGTTGAATGGATTCAAGTTTGGCAGACCTAATGGAGCCACATCCAGTCCAGGGGAGGCAACTCAGGCTACGATGCTCAGAAAGAAAAAAGAAAATCCTTATTCTACCCAAGCAAAGCAGGGTTAAAATTGGATAAAGATGCTTTGGCATCTTATTTAGAATGCAATTTTAATTCTAGTTTATTTTAATGTGATTTATAAGGGCAAGGGGTTTTAGATCAGAACTTTACTTTTGTCTTAGAAGTTTGATGATAGGAGAGGTTTATGTTCAAATTTGTGATATTTTAATATTTAGATAAAATGAAATGTGCAGTCTAGAAGACAGATATGCCTTGGTGTGAATTTAACAAAAAACTCTCCATATACATTTCACATCATTCTGGGGGTAAAATTGATCCTAGAGAACAGAAGTTAGTTTTTATGTGAGGGGGTCCACACTGATAAATTTCTCATCTCTTTCCTTGAGGAGGCAGTCATGGCTAAGCGTCCGACTCTAATATGTTAATAGAAAAAAAATCAGGGAATGTTCGAAGGAGCCTCCAGACCCCTCCCTAATATCCCCATGAGGCAATACTGCCAGCTGCTCTCTGCCTTTCTCACTAATCCCTGAGGATGAGGGGGAGGCAGGAGGTGGGATCCAGCTGGTAAGAGTAATTCAAGGGACTGAGTATGCTCAGCTCAGGCCCTTCTGAGCTCTTTTTCTTTCTCTTTCTCTCTTCTTCTGTCAAGAGGTAAGCCTGCCTCTGAAGAAGATGCCTGTGACTGTAGGTACACCTCTGCCTGGACGTGGTTAATGAAGCCGGGGAAGTATTAAGAAGCCCAACAGGTCTCAGATATAAGTCGTGTGCTTTTATCTAGATTTTACTGGTAAGAAAGATGATATTTGGATCCCTATCTGGCCAACTCCTCAGTCTCCCTCTCAATTCGTTCGGAACTTGGGAAGGAAAGAAAGACGTACAGGCATACCTTGTTTTATCACACTTCCTTTATTGTGCTTTGTAAATATATGTATTTTTTTTTTTTTTACAAATTGAAGGTTTGTGGTAACCCTATGTTGAGCAAATCTATGGGTGTCATTTTTCCAACAGCATGTGCTCACCTCACATCTCAATGTCACATTTTGGTAATTCTTGCCATATTTCATTATCACGTTTTCATTATCACTATATCTATTATCTGTGATCTTTGATGTTACTATTGAAATTGTTTTGATGCACCACAAAACTGTGCCGACATAAGACACATCGAACTTAACTGATAAATGTGTGTTCTGACTGCTCCCCTAACTGGCCGTTCTCCATCTCTCTCCCTCTCCTTGGGTCTCCCTGTTCTGAGACACAATATTGAAATGAGACCAATTAACAACCCCACAATGGCCTCGATGTGTTCAGGAGAAAGAAAGAGTCATATGTCTCTCACTTTAAACAAAAAGCTAGAAATGATTAAGCTTAGTGAGGAAGGCATGTCAAAAGCCGAGACAGGCCAAGAGCTAGGCCTCTTGCACCAGTTAGCCAAGTTGGGAATGCAAGGGAAAAGTTTCTGAAGGAAATTAAAAGTGCTACTCCAGCGAACACACAGATGATAAGAAAGCAAAACAGCCTAATTGCTGATATGGAGAAAGTTTGAGTGGTCTGGATGGAAGATCAAACTACCCACAACATTCCCTTAAGCCAAAGTCCAATCCAGAGCAAGACCTTAACTCTCTTCACTTCTGTGAAGGCTGAGAGAGGTGAGGAAACTGCAGAAGAAAAGTTGGAAGCTAGCAGAGGTTGGTTATTGAGGTTTAAGGAAAGAAGACATCTCCATAACATAAAAGTAGAAGGTAAAGTAGCAAGTGCTGATGGAGAAGCTGCAGTAAGTTATCCAGAAGATCCAGCTAAGATCACTGATGAAGGTGGCTACACTAAACAACAGATTTTCAATGTAGATGAAACAGCCTTATATTGAAAAAAGATTCCATCTATGACTTTCATAGCTAGAGAGAAGTCGATGCTTGTCTTCAAAGCTTTAAAGAACAGGCTGACTCTCTCTCGTTAGGGGTTAATGCAGCTGGTGACTTTAAGTTGAAGCCAGTGTTCATTTACCATTGTAAAAATCCTAGGGCCCTTAAGAATTATGCTAAATCTACACTACTTGTGTTCTAGAAATGGAAGAACAAAACCTGAATGAAAGCTATTCTGTGTACAGCATGGTTTGCTGAATATTTAAGTCTATTATTGAGCCCTACTATTCAGAAAAAAAAATATTCCTTTAAAAATATTACTGCTCATTGACAATGCATTTGGTCAACCAAGAGCTCTGATGGAGATGTGCAAGATTAATGGGCCTGCTAACACAACATCCACTTAGCAGCCCATGAATCAAGGAGTAATTTCAACTTTCAAGTCTTATTATTTCAGACTTGAAAGTCAAAATTACTCTTTATTATAATTCATATTAACAATTAATATTCAATAATTTAATTGATATTAATCATCATCAATTAATTATTTTATTAATTACAAGCATAATAATTATAATTATAAATTTCATAAGGCTATAGCTGCCATAGATGGTGATTCCTCTAATGGATCTGGGCAAAGTAAGCTGAAAACCTTCTGGAAAGGATTCACTGCTCTAGATGCCATTGAGAACATTTGTGATTCCTGGGAGGGGATCAAAATATCAACATTAATAGGAGTTTGGTAGAAGTTGATTCCAACACTAATGGGTGACTTTAAAGGGGTTCAAGACTTCAGCGGAGGAAGTCACTGCAAATATGGTGGGAATAGCAAGAGAACTAGAATTAGAAGTGGAGCCTGAAGATGTGACTGAATTGCTACAAGCTCATGACAAAACTTCATTAGATGAGGAGATGATTCTTATCAAAGAGCAAAGAAAGTAGTTTCTTGAGAGGGAGTCTCCTGGTGAAGATGCTGTAAACATTGTGGAAATGACAATAAAAGTTTTAAAATATCACATAAACTCAGTTGATAAAGCAGTGGCAGGGTTGGAGAGTACTGACTCCAATTTTGAAAGAAGTTCCACTGTGGGTAAAATATAATCGAACAGCATTACACGCTACAGAGAAATATTTCGTGAAAGGAAGAGTCAATCAGTGCAGCAAACAACATCGTTGTCTGATTTTAAGAAACTGCCACAGCCACCCCAACCTTCAGCAACCACCACTCTAATCAGTCAGCACCCATCAACACTGAGACAAGATTCTCCATCAGCAGAAACATTAGGACGCGCTGGAGGTTCAGATGATCATTAGCATTTTTCAACAAAAGTATTTTTAAATTAAGGCATGTACTTTTTTAGATATAATGCTATTGCATACTTAACAGACTACAAAATAGTGTAAACATAACTTTTATATGCACTAGGAAGCAAAAAAATGTGTGATTCGCTTTATTGCAATATTCCCTTTATTACAGTGATCTGGAACTGAACCCACAATATCTCTGGGGTATGCCTGTGTTCTTTTTGGTCTTCTCAACCTCAACTCCCTACATTTGACTTCCACTGAATTTTAGGCCCTCTTCAATAAACGGGTCTGCTTTTGTTTGGCTGACAGACTTTGTCAGTTAAAACCTACAAAAACACTTAATGACAGTCACCAGAACTCTTGCTCAAAACTTCTTTTGGACTGACATGTAACAGATGGCCTCAAATCCATATCTGATGCTGGGAAAATCCACCAGCCAAGTCTTGGTAGTTACCTAGAGACACTCAAAGTCTCCCAAGGCAGACAAAAACAGGTGGGTACTGACTCCTGACAAGCAGAGCTGCCACAGCCAGGAGTGGAGGCTGCTGAGGAAAAGAATCTGGCTGGGGGACTCAATTGGCAGAAAACCTAATGAAACAGAGGCAGGGAGCAGTTTACAAGAAATCTGTTTGGTGGAGACAGGGTGGAAAGGCCCAAAAATCAATGTTAAAGGAACCAAGATGGTGCAGAAACAGTGTCGGGTTTTCTTCCTCCTTTTCACTGCCCAGCTCTCCCTCTGTCCTGTGTATCGCTTCTTTGTAACTAGAGAATAACACGTGGGGGTGGGAGGTTGGGTGGGGAAGCCAGTATTGTTCTTAGAGCCCAGAGATGAGAAGAAAATTAATCAGAGGCAGGTGACTGAAGGCAGTGGGACAGAAGAGCCTTGTTCTGGACATCAAAATGGCTTCCTTTAAAAAAGAGGCATTTAAATTTCTCTAATTGCTATTTATAGTTGATCTAGGGTAGAAAAATTATGACCATCATGGTTTCCTTCCATAATGTTAAAAACGATCATCTTGAACAATGAGAACACTTGGACACAGGGCGGTGAACATCACACACCCGGGCCAGTCGGGGGGTGGGGTTCTGGGGGAGGGATAGCATTAGGAGAAATACCCAATGTAAACGACGCGTTGATGGGTGCAGCAAACCAACATGGCACATGTATGCCTATGTAACAAACCTGCACGTTGTGCACATGTACCCCACAACTTAAAGTATAATAATAATTAAAAAATAAAACAAAGAGAGCAAGGGGGCTTTAAGGTTTTACGAAAAAGAGGTAAATTGTCATTGTTTTATTTCTCAACAAACCTGGAGGAGCCAGATCTTAATCAGTCCATATTGTATTCCAAACATAACAGCCATATTAATACAAAAGACTCCATTAGATGGCATCGTGAGAGCATTGTGCTTGAGTTTTGTTGGCTCAGGGAGGGAGGTAAAAGGTAAAGAATACAGATGAGAAACTAGCCCAGGTGAAACGTCATCTGTATATTCAAGATATTTCTTTTTTTTTTTTTTTTTTTTTTTTTTTGAGACGGAGTCTCGCTCTGTCGCCCAGGCTGAAGTGCTGTGGCGCGATCTCGGCTCACTGCAAGCTCCGCCTCCCGGGTTCACGCCATTCTCCTGCCTCAGCCTCCCGAGTAGCTGGGACTACAGGCACCCACCACCACGCCTGGCTAATTTTTTGCATTTTTAGTAGAGACGGGGTTTCACCATGTTAGCCAGGACGGTCTCTATCTCTTGACCTCGTGATCCACCCGCCTCGGCCTCCCAAAATGCTGGGATTACAGGCGTGAGCCACCACACCCGGCCTATTCAAGATATTTCTAAAAACAAAAGAGAATAAATTTGAAAAGTTTAAAAAAACTAAGAGAGAGAAACACACAAATTACCAAATTTTACATAAGAAAGATAAGAACTTTTCCAATTTTCATACTTTAGAAAATGAACGTGTGTTTTGAAGGCCTTCTTAAAGCATTGGTTTATACCACTGAACACTGTTTCTCTGTGCAGAAACACCTCTACTCATGCTGTCTCCTTCTGCACCATCTAGACCAGGGGTGGCCAAAATGGATTCCCTGGGCCACACTGGAAGAAGAATTGTCTTGGGCCACACATAAAATACACTAACATTAATGATAGCTGATGAGCTCAAAGAAAAAAAAAATCACAAACAAAAATCTCACAATGTTTTAAGAAAGTATATAAATTTGCGTTGGGCCATATTCAAAGTTGTCCTGGGCCGCGAGTTGAATAAGCTTGATCTAGACATTCCACCCTTCTTCACCAGGTCAGTTTTCTCCTTTAGACTTAGGCCTGTTTTCTTGGACCTCCAGATTGGACTGAGCCTCCTCCTCTGCTTTCCCATTAGCCTGCCATGATTTCTAGCGTGCTGACTCACCACAGTATACTCATGCTATCAGTTGATATGTCTTTCCCTTCAACTGCATCCATCCAGCCCCCTGATTTTTTCACCTTTTCCCCTCATACCTCTATAGGGTCTTGCATGCAGCTGGCCCTCAGTAAATGTTTGCTGAACTCATCTCATTTTACTAAGCCAAAGGAATACTGAACAGCCCCCGGATCTGCAATGGATGGCAAAAAATGATTCCCTGTGATTTTTATGACAGAACATGCTGTTCCTTTAATCGTTACTATCAATGATTTAGAGCTCATTTGAGTTGAAATGTCTAAATACTTGGCTATCTTGGAGTACATATACCTGTCCACAGGAGTAGAATTCCTTTTCAAAACAGATTTATTGAGATATAATTTACATACTATAAACTTCTAATGCTTCCAGTAATCAGAATTTTATCTGAACCCGAATTTGCTCAACACATTTGAGTGTGAGTTTGATCAAATTATTCAAAAGCTACATGATCCCAAGGATTTCTGCTTTGGTCAAAATGAAGTACTGTGTTTGCAGCTATCAACAGCATAGCTTTATATATGCTGATACCAGTTGTTTTTTTGTTTGTTTGTTTGGTTTTTTGGTTTTTTTTTTGTGAGATGGAGTCTCACTCTGTCGCCCAGGGCCCAGGCTGGAGTGCAGTGGCATGATCTCGGCTCACTGCAAGCTCCGCCTCGCGGGTTCACACCATTCTCCTGCCTCAGCCTCCTGAGTAGCTGGGACTACAGGCACCCACCACCACTCCTGGCTAATTTTGTTTTTGTATTTTTAGTAGAGACGGGGTTTCACCATGTTAGCCAGGATGGTCTTGATCTCCTGACCTCGTGATCCGGCCGCCTCGGCCTCCCAAAGTGCTGGGATTACAGGCGTGAGCCACCACGCCCGGCTGCTGATACCAGTTTTTAAAATACTGACATCCACTTTATTCATATCCATAAGAGCTCAGCTTTTAATGCAACATGCAAGAGTCTCAAGACAGCTCTCTGAAGCTGTCCTGCATTTTTTTCTGTGGTTAGAAAAAATATGTAATGTGTTCCTGGGAAAAGACATACTATATCCTAAAAGGACAAGTCTTGATGGCCATAGAAGTGATTACAATAATATGCTAAAGTGACCACTAACCTTTATTGAAGTTGACACCTTGGGTTTTTTTAATAGCTTTTATTATGCTCTTAGTCTAAATTTCCCTGCTAAGTTACAATCCTGATCACTAGGGCCAACAAAGTATGAATGGCACAGGGTGTTACTTCTGGTTTAAAAGTGCACCTATCCATTCTTCATTCACTGGAAGGAGAGGGCTTGTCGCCACGACTGAAATGTACTTCTTAGGGATTAGGTCAGCAGGGACATCTTGAATGAATAAGAACATCTGGCACCCTTTGTGCACACCAAGAATGGTATTTCTGGGGTGAGTGGGCTGCCCTGGGCAAGAGGAAGCTTTTGTCCAGCTGATTTGAGCAGATCCTGACCACTGTTTATTTGCACATTCCTAACTGCAAATGAAGTGCCAACTATGGCTGCCTACCACAAGACAAGTTCTTTGAAGTTGCTGGGTACATTTCTTTGGTGTCTTCCTATTTACTAAACAAGACTAGCAGACCTAATTGTGCCTATTCTCAACAGTGAATCCAAGCCAAGTTTTGCACTTGTCTGTGGAATGTTGCTGATCATCTGCTCAGGCTACATGGCCTGTAGCAGGCACGTCCCGTAGAATGAACTGCTTCATGAAACCTGAGATGAGATGGACTGCATATAGCATGCTGGGGAGGCCACTGCACCTTAACCTCATGCCCTACTATTTAAAACCTTGTGAGAGAAGGATGCAAGAATATGCATACAACAAACGTTGGCCTTAGGCAAAATCCAGAGGTAGACAAACTTGGGTTTTTCTCCATCCCCATATTTTGCATCATTTCCTTCCTCTTGCCCTGCCATAACTCCACAAGTATCTGGTTGCCTATGCAGCCTGCATCAGGATGCCTAAATAGTTACTGCACTCTTACTATCCAAGTCTTTATACAAGCCATTACAAGACGTGATCCCTGCCCAATCTTTCTTTCCCTTGCTCCATCCACACAAGCAGAATTGATTCTCCCTATTCTGGAGTATCATGAGATTTTCACATACTGCTGTTTTCGTATTTCCTGTGTCACATTATACTTCTGCTGTTTGCCGGTTTCTCTCCCAAGCTAGACTGTGAGCATTTTTGAGGACAGTGGTTGTATCTTATTCACATTGTATCTCCAGGGAACTGCATGATGTACACACAGCAGGTGCCTAATAGGAATTAAGGGGAAATGGGACATGTAAATTAAATGCCGTCCGCCCAAAAATCTCATGAGTTATGAAGACAGAATGGCTGTGTGAATCTGGGCAGAAGTTGAGATGCTTGTCGGCCAGGACAGCTGAGAAGGCTGCACCAAAGAGAGGGGACCTGGGTTGGACCTTGGTGCATAGAAGCAAGGAGATAAAGATGGGGAAATCCTCAACTCCTTTTTTTCTACAGTATTTTGCAGAATTCTTTCTCCCTAAAATGCTCTGCTTCCTCCCTTGCCCGGTGTCAAAAAGAGACCAGGAAGCTCTCTGATTCATGCGGATATTTCCTTTACTTTCTCCCCCTATCTATCCATTAAAATACAGTTATAGAATGTCTTAAAAGGGGAATTTCACCAGAATTCATTAGGGTGATTGTGAATTTCTTAGGTGGAACTTTTTAAAGCACTTCTCATAGCATTGAATTAAACATGAACCATAAAAAAATCAATGGAAATAATCAGTGGAGAATGGAGTTGTTATCAGAAAGAAACATAAATTGCATCATCAAAAATCTTGGACTCCTAAAATGATAAAATCATATTGTTTCCAGAAACTGCCTCAAAGAAATAATGGCCATCCAATGTTTTAAAATGTCTATTTAATGTTGAATTTAACATTGAATATTACAGTATTTTTCTTAGCTCTTTTATATTTGTATCCATTTTTCTTATACTGAAAATCTTGATTTCTATAAACATTAACAAATTTACTAATTTGTTTTATTTCATAATACACATTAACTTGTTATGAAATTATAAAACCAACACTAACAACAAAGACTATGGAGTAAAGTTTAAAATATTTTTTGCTGTTCTTTTTGTCTTTAGAATATATCCCACTAAAATATACAGCCAGGACATCATGTTTAAAAGCCCTTCAAATAAATGTTTTCTCTGTGTGGTTATGTTGCCAATATCTTTATACCAATTTTAGATTCTTCACTTGTTTCTATTTGTTTTTGATTTTAAGACTTGTTTCTTTTTTCTTTTCTGGTTTAACTTGATATTTTAAATATGTAAGCATTTCTATCTTTCAAAAGTAAAAATTAAAAGACATACTGAGGGAAGTTTCAGGTCCATCCTTATCCCTGCTACCCTCACCCCAAAGGGAACATTTGTTAAATATCCAGTTTTTAAATCTATCACAGAGCGCTCTGATTTATAAATACAATAAATTAAAAGAGAGGTCTTTGGAAGGGAGAATTCCTTCCCAAGCAAGTGTTGTTTTTCCTTTGCTTGCTCTCTGGGACAGCTGGAGCCTGTTTACTCAAGCTCCCTATGTCAGAAACCCAGTGCCCCTCTCACACTCTCTGCCATTAGGAGAGTATCTGTTATTTTTCTTTTTTTTTAGCTAGATCCATGAACTTGCTGGAATATTTCAAAGGCAAAAAAAGTGTGCGCGTATATGTTACCTGTTTCCATGATTTAATAGTTTTTTTTTAATGCTACTTCAAAATATTGTTCTCCTGAGCTTGAGAAGAAAAGAGCAGCCTCCTGTGGGAAGAGTCCAGCTCTCTCCACATCACACAGTGGACGGAAGCAAATGCAGGAAGGCAGGTGAGGGAGGAGCTCCTTAAATGTGCCCAATATAATCAAAGAAGTCAAATTTCCCCTGAAAATGTTCTGAGTTTACTAAGATGCAAAAATGTTTTAAGTTTACCTTCCAGTATTCTGATTGCCCAAAACCCACTGCCGTTTGCATGTGCTATAAAAGTATTCCCCTAAAAGCCACATAAAATATATTTTTAATCAAGTTAAGGTAGAAGGAATACTGACAAAATTGCATTTTGGTGATAAAGTGTTTCAAATAACATCCAGCCCCTAAAAGTCTCTTGGATGAAAGCAAAACCTGGAAAATGTGGGCAGCTATTTCTCTCTAGTTCTGGTACAGGAAAAATCGTGTGTGTGCACCAGTGGCTTGCACACACAGTGGCTTGCACAGTGGCCAGGAGACTCCATCAGCTCTCCAAATCACAGGGGATTATTACAGGCTTGATTATAAATTACTTGTCAACCCACAACCAACACAGGCCAATTAGTGGGCAGGTTGCTCGTTGACTAGGAAAGAATTGCCCGAGGGACATGGGGTCTTCCAATGCTTGTACAGCTAAACCGGCAAGGGAGGGGAGATATCCACAAGAAATGCCTAGAAAGCTGATAAGTATATCCACTATTCTGGAGCTCAAGCCATGCCCTGAAAAGCCACATGGAAGAAGCTAAAGCAGATAAGAAGACACCTGCCTGTGGACTTCCAAGGGGAACCACAAGCCTCTGAACCTTTGTTTACCATTATTGTCACTGCTTGAAGAAACCTGCAAGAACAATTTGGGTCCTGCAAAAGAGTTCACATTTAAAGAAAAAAAAAAAAGATCAATCTGGCTTTTATTTCCTTACTTCCTAGTCCCTTAAATAGTTTATTTTATTTTAACATATAATTTAGCTAATTTTATTGTTCTCTTAACTTTTTAGTAAGCTCATTTTAAGCTTATTTCACTCATTCTTAATCCCTATATTGTCTATCTTCTTACTACTTTACCTTCATTTCTCTTATTCCAGCATCCATGTATATTTTAATGATTTCATTTACTCATTTGAAAATATTTATTGATCATCTGTTATCTCTCAGGCATTGTTTCCGGTGCTAAGTGCACAGTGGTATGATCTGAGTGAATTACATGAGATGTTTAGCAGGCATTTTTGAAAATTAAATTTTTTAAAGTTTGGTTATCATCCAACACATGAATATACAGACTGTCCATCAGAAGAAAGATTCTTTTGGTTACATTTGTAGGCCACATGAAAACTGCCCAAAGATTTTGTATGGAAGTGAAAATAGCAACCACTTGCAGAGGGCTTACTCTGCACCTGTTCTAAGTACTTTACAAGTAATAGCCAACCTAATCCTCCCAGCAACCCTCTGAGCTGGGTCATTATAATCTTCTCCATTTTACAGATGAGAACACTGAGGCACAGCAATCTTAAGTGACTTCTTCAGAGTGAGTCAGTGGTGAGCTGGCCTTGAACCAAGGCCATCTGGCTCCAGATTGCCTTTCTCTAACCCCAGTGGGGCTGAGGCCTCCTCAAGGTTTGCTTCTGACAACAGAATTTAGAGCAGCAGGAGGCAAGTAGAGGCGTGTTTTTGGAAAAAGAACTGTGTTCCAAAGAGAGCTGGCAATAATATTGCTGATTAGTTGTCTGATAAGGATGGAATGGGGTTTGGAGAATTTCATACTTTCATGAAATAAACATGTGATTTTGACCTTCCAAAAGTGACAGGAACTATTCAAACTATCCCATTTTAACCTTTTCTCCCTGTTCAGCCTTCACTTTAGACCATGCTGTCCTGGCAGAATCTTGTTCTGTCTTGGCTTTCCAAGGGTTGAATAAATGCTCAGACACATACAACCTGGGAAACAGGCATACAGCTACCCTTGGTAGTATCAAAAAGGCAGTTTTGTTGCTCATAAAAGCGACAGTATCTTATTCAAAACCCCCCTCACCTTTTTTGTGGATGTCGGGACTGAGGTCCAGAAAAGCTAAATAAGATTTGCCAAAATTCACAGTACTAGATCATTTGACATCTTCTATAGGAGCTTAATCAAATGATTTCTCAAGATGGGTAAACTCCTGTGTCTTGGATCCCATACCCATTATGCATGTTCCAAAGAGTGGTCCCCAGACCACAGTATTGGCATCACCTGGGAGCCTGTTAGAAATGTAGACTCTTAGACCCCATCTCAGATGTGCTGAATCAGAGTCTGCATTTTATCAAGACCCTCAGGTAATTCACATGAATATTAAAGTTGAAGAAGTGCTGGAATTATTGCTAATTCCATTTTCTAGGTATTTTAGTTGCAGAGATGGAAGTTGTTGTTGACTCTGTATTGGTTATAAATACACTAATCTCTTGAAATATATATTCTCAGCCTCACCTTGTAATTTAACCTAAAATTGTCTTCCTGATGCGAAACAATCTTCAGTTTCTTTTTATGGTAGGTCTAGACCTTTTAAGACCCAGTCATTCCTTGTTAATCAGATATTAAGGCTTCAGATGTGCAAAACTATGTTTCTTATGAGACCCACAACGAAATCACCAGTTGCTCCCTATCTTTAAAATGACTCTTACTGGTGTCCTTTCTTGAGTGCAGGTTAATAACCCTTCCCAAATCACAGCAAATCCCTTTAGCTTAGATGGCAGACATAAATCTCAGCCCAGCTCCTGTTCAAGTTACCGTAAATTAATCAAAATAATAACTGCCACTTATGTGATGCTTACAATGTGTCTGGCACTATTCTGAGAGTTTAATGTATAAAAAGTCACTTAATCTTCACAAAAAGTCCTATTTAATAGATGAGACACTGAGGTCCAGAGAAAGTAACTGGCTTGCCCAAGGCCACACAGCTATTTCATGGTAAGGATTCTAACCCAGGCATTCTATCTCCAGAGTCCATGCAGGTAACCACTGCACCACGCTGCCTCTTGAAATCTAAATTAATGCTGCCCATGGTTCCAAGAAGCGTTATTATTAAAATTCACTCGTAAGAAAGACTGGTCATTTACTTAGGAGAATATAATTCACTTCAGAGATTTTATTCAACAAAAATAAATAACAGAAGCTGGCAGGTACTAAGACATTATTTTACAAAGTTAAAACATTACCTCTGGTTTCTTATCCTTGGCTGTGATTACAAGACCACATGGTCTGCTGCTTGAAAGTGCTTTACTGGCTCCAACTTTAAATTGCCTTATGATTTCTATAAATGAGAAGTAGTTGTAAACTCTAAGGATTCGTGATATCACTGGCTTTGCTAATCAACTAAATCACTGGTCTGATTTCTCTTTTGAACTGCCAACAGTTCAACTCTTTTTCTAAATCAAATCTTATGGACAATCACAATATATGAAATCGGGCAAAGTCTTCTGCTTTGGTTGAAGCAGAAGGGGGCTTCTTGCCCTCTACTATCCATCTCACTATCCCCTAAAGGCATGTCCCTAAAACCTCAGAGTCCTGGAAACAGGGAAGGAAAATACCATGTGAGATGGAGTGAGCAGCTTCATATCTGTATTAATTCAGCTCCCTTTAGACCGCTCTGCCTGATACTATACTGAACAATATCTTTTGCTGCTACACCAGGAAGTCCTCACAGGATCTTAACCCTCTTCTGCAGAGCTCAAGGGAAAGAAACTCTTCACAAACAGCTGAAAAGGGCACTCACTGACCAATGCTTGGCAAAACAGAAACGAGTCACAGAAACACAACAAAGGGTCTTTTCCAATGGCAAAGTAAGCAATAGGTCTGCCAGGGGTGTGGACAGCAGTCAGGTATGCTTAACTTTGTGAACTTTGATTTTTTTGTCGTTGTTGTTCAATTACTTTTGTTTGCACTAGAAACACAAAACAAAATCATATACCTAGGCAGGGTACAGGTAAAAAAAAAAAAAACAAAAAAACAAAAATAAAAACGGTAAAACTTTGGTTATAGTTCAGGAAATACAAAAACTGGTAAGTCCCAACCAATAACCATGACCAATCTGTTAACCATCCCATGCATCCCATTGAGTGGTTGGTTAGTAGCCACTGCCAAGCCATTATCCCTGATGGTACACATCAAAAAATTAAAATTTACAGAAGTTAGTTTTAGATAGTTTTAAGTGCTGGTTGTGCACTGGGAGAATGGCAGAGTAACTCCCACTATCTTGATGCACTCAATGCCAGGTTCCATGTGTAGTACCCGATGTCAAGGCTTCTCCCAGATCCCCTCAGATCCCTTTTAACCATTTCTGTGCCTCCACTTCAAAGTTAATGGCCATAACCAATGACCATTGGGTAAGGGAGCATGAAAGCCCGGCTCCCTTGCCAGGGATGGGCTCGGACATCTCTGAGGCACGTTGATCTTTCAAAGTCCCTTGCAGGATCAAGGTAAAGCCACCCTCTTTAGGACTCTGCCTGAGATGGCAGCCTTGCTTCACTTCCTCCCCTAATTTGTCCTGATTCCTTTTACTGTTCTCCTAGGAACGCTTACTTAAAAATCTCTTGGATGGGAATCTTCATCTCAGGGTCTGCTTCTGGGAAACCCCACCTAAGAAAACACACTACCTCAGATTGGTTGGTGTGAGGAATCTTATGCTCCCCAGGAGCAGTTCTGGTGTGCAATTAACATGGCATTTGCCGCACCCCTTTCCTCCCACAAATATGTCCATAATCTTTAGCCTAAATTGACTTATTTAATCAAAAAGGTGAGACTATAAATCCAAATAATATAAAGTCCCAGTTGAAAAGAATGTACAGGGCATGTCGTGTATGGGTTGGACAAATTGTCAAGTTAAAATTTAAAAATAAACTTTCTGCAATGTAGTAGTGTGCTTTCCTTACATTACTAAGTTGGACATAAGTAATTTACATAAATCTTTGTGAAGTGGAGTTTAGTCTTGCTTTTTGGTTGTTTGTTTCTTAAAGGTAGCAATCCTGCTGTACTAAGGAGCTATAATTTAAAGCATAAAATTGCACTATAAGTGAAAGGAATTAGGCTAAATCAGCACACATATTAAGACATACTTTGAAAATTGCTCCTCGACCAAACTTTATATGAGCTTGCTTTCTTGTAATTTTCCTAACTCTATGGGTTTGTAGGCAGGAAAAATTTCTGAGTTTTCTTAGGTTGCACTTATTCTGACAACTATGAATCAAGTCCATCCCATGGGACATGAATTTTGGTAAACCTAGTGAGAGCTAACAATCCAGAAGGGGCCAGCCTTATGTCACTGCATGCCTCAGGTTAAATAGACACAATAGCCTGGCTTACCTTTATTCCCAGGGCTTCTCCAGAAATGACAGCAACTGTCACACCATCCTTACTGGGTTTAGGGATTTCTTCACTTTTCAGTTCCTGGTACTGAGGCTCCACCATCTTCTCTGAGCTCCTCAAATTAACCCACAGTTGTAGGCCATGGGCTGGCTCCTCTGAGCAAGGCATCTCAGCGTGCAGAATGCCCCGGCCCGCAGTCATCCACTGCAAACACAAAACCAACAAGAGGGAAATGTAACCAAGCTCCTAATAAGTCTATAGGTGGAACAATTACAACACCATCACTAAGTGAGACATCTTACCAGTGCTGCTATCAGAGCCCCTGGGCATCGAGGGGAATAATAAACATCAGTGACAATTGCTGGGGCCCTTTCCAGTTTTGCAAATGCTTCCTGTGCTTCCTCACTTGAAATCAACACATCGGAACTGGAATTCCCACAAATGGAAGAATCCTCTCTTTGACTTCCCTGAGTCTTAGATTAAGCTCTAAGATGGGGAGTTGCAGGAAGATAGTATACTGGGCTGTGTTCTCAGGAGATACAACTTAAGTAGTGAAAAAAGCAGGATTGGGCAGGGGGAGAAGCTCCCCAGCAATGCAGTTACTACAGAGGCTTTAGCCAATCCAACAGGGAGCTCTGGAGTTGAGATGAACCTTCAGAATTGTCCCGACTTGAGACAATGTGGCCAAGTTTTTATATCCCCACATCAGCAAACCATTGACTGTGGGCCATCCCCAGGTGGAAAGCACAACTTTGGGTGAGGCAATTCCCTGCTGCAGAGGGCAGTTCCTAGGAAGGGAAGCCGTTGTGAGCCATCAGCAGCCAGTGTTCCCAGACATTGGAGGATAAATATGTGGGCCTACAAATACATTTGGAGGTCCCCAGTATCCACTATACTGTGGATGGTTAACTTGTATCTGTACTTGCTCAGTTCCAGTAATGGAACCCTCGCTACTTGGAGAAACAATTATTGCCTCCACTGTTATGCAGATTCTTCAAGTGTTTGTTCATGTCTGTATTAAAAGCAGATTAGGGACCAGCCCCAAAGACTAAATCTTGGAATCTGGAGATGAAGGTATGAACATCATAGATGCATTTCCTACCTGTCTTAGTTTGAGTTCTCCCACAGAAGTTGTGAGACAAAGACATGTGCAGGTTGTTTATTTGGAAAGTGATGCAGAAAGCACAAGTGAGAGAGTAGGGAAGAGTGAGGCAAGGGAGAAAGCCAAAAAGAGTTGTTAATGAGAAGGTTATATCTGTGGACATCTGGAATTCAATCCCACTGGGAACCATATATGTACTTTGAAATTGTTGCATGGAGAAGAGGGGAAGCTAGGGTATTTAGACTCTAATTCCCATCCTTCACTGACCAAGAGTTCCCATGGGAGTGTTAAATCACTGACACATATGGTCTGCCCACATATGGTCAGTGAGGGCTGGAGAAAGCCCTCAGACAGAGTAACAGCACTTGAGATGGTACTGTACACATACGGGGACCATCACCACCTGAACTCACAGTTGGGCCAAAGGGCTATGAGGCAGGCCATCAACAGCATCTTCCACACAGCCCTCATCAGGAGAAAAATCCTTAAACAAACAATGTCATGCATATCATTATTGCCATTATAATTGTGCTTGTGCTTCGAAGAATGACAGGGTTCTGTGAGCACGTGAAGTGTCCTGCTCAGTTCAAGGCAGCTTATCTGAGGGTGCAATCTTCAGGCTGAGATCCAAACAAGGAGTAAGAATTAGCCAGGGGAAGGGGAAGAGGAAGAGGATTCCACAGAGAAACAACAGCATGTGAAAAAGAATCTGAGACAAGAATGAGCATTATTAGTTGAAGGATCTGAAAGGAGGCCAGTGCATACTTTAAAGATTTTTTTCTTCCATGAAGTCTAGATTTCCCTCTACTCCCATTTGAAAAGGCTTGTTAAACCTTCTAATGTAGGAGTTGGCAAACTACAGCCTGGGGGCCCAATCTAACCTGCCACCTGTTTTTGTAAAAGTTTATTGGCACACGGCCATGCCCATTCATTGACATACTGTCTATGTCTGCTTTCATGCTGCAATGACAGAGTCTGGTAGTGGCAACAGAGGCCATATGGTCCCCAAAGCCCATTTGCCCTTTATAGAAAAAATTTGTTGACCCTGCTCTAATGCAGTATAAGGTATACCTAAACACCCTCTTATGCTGCATTTCTTCTGTCTAATGATAGTTATTGGTGTCCCTCAAAGACATCCTCCCATTTTTAAGCATTTTCCTTTTCCCTTTAAAGTTCATTTCTTCATATTTTCAATACCTTGGTTATCCTTTTTAGATATGAGCTAGTTTGGCAATACTTTACCTAAAATGGCCTATATATTGGATCTGGAAGGGGAGAATGGGGTTCTCTTTCCATCCTCATCATTTACTAGCTCTGAGGCTATGGGCATCTGTTTTTAAAAACATCTTTAAATCCCCATTTCCTCATTTTTAAAAATGAGATGAGAATAATATTATGGTTCTTTTTGCTGGGCACAGTGGCTCATGCTTGTAACCCAAGCACTTTGGGAGGCCAAGGCGGGTGGATCGCTTGAGCCTAGGAGTTTGAGACCAGCCTGGACAACATAACGAGACCCCATCTCTACAAAAAAATAAAATTAGCCAGGTGTGGTGTTGTGCACCTGTGGTCCCACCTACTAGGGAAGCTAAGGTGGAAGGATCACTTGAGCTGGGGAGGTCGAGGCTGCAGTGAATAGTGAATGCACCATTGCACTACAGCCTGAGCAAGAGAGTGAGGCCCTGTCTCAAAAAGATAATAATAATACTACTTATCGCAAAGAGATCATGCATACAAAAACTCTGAATAAACTGAAAGACACTATGCAATCATCATCCTAATCAATGTGAAGTTATAGTGGTAGAAGAAGTGTTGACCACTGTCTCACACATATGGCTGCTAGGCAGCTCCATGGTGCAGATGGCAGAAGTCACCACTTCCACGATCAGGACATTTCCAGTCATCATATGTATCTTTGCAAGCAGTCTTCATTTCATGTTCTGCTCCAGTGAGAGGTTACTATTGACTTTTTGCCATGACTTTTTTCTTTTGCTTTTTTGTCTTTAAATTTCACTTTCATTGAAATATTATGATTCAAATATGTGAATTTATCATTCCTCAAAACATATACATATAAAATCCCAGACAGTACCTGGTATAGAGTTTCGACTTACAAAACTGGCAAATATGACCCAAGTATTTTGGGGGATTTTAATTGTAACATATCTCAGACAAGACTAGGATGATGGAGGGCTCGAGGTCATTGTCTTAAGTGATAACACCTAACCCTGCAAATGAGTTGGAAGATAAATAATACATTGTCTCAAATGCAGCAGAGAGGTCTAGAAAGATGAGGACTGAAACAATCACTGAATTTGGCAACTGGGACATCACAAGTGACCATTACCTGAATAGCTTCAGTAAAGATTTGGAAGGGGCTACTGAGAGGCCAAATCTGATCTCAGTAAGTACAAAACGAATGAAAGATAAGGAAGTTGGGATATCATTCCTGATTACTCTTTTGAGAAATGTAAGAAAAAGACTAGGTGGGAGCTAAAAAGTGATTGAGGGGTCAAGGAAAGTGTGAAAGAAGAATATAAGAGACCTGTGTGGTTTCCAGGCTGAGTAAAAGAATCTGTAGAAAAGGAAAAGTCAAGAATATAATAGAGAGAGTGTGGAAAGGGTGAATGTACTGGAAGTGGGCAGGATCAAGCACGTGCACCCAAAAACTACTAAACCACCAGCAATTCCTTGTCCTTGGCCATACCTGCAAATCTCCTGGGTTCATTTTACCAGTGTGTCCACAGAAGTCTTCATGGGCCATGCTGCCCCCTTCCAGGAGGTAGGATACCTTTGAAAAACAAACAGGAAAAAAAGTAGATCCTTTGCCTATTTTTAAATTGGGTTATTATTTAATTATCCCTACTGACTTGTATGAGTTCCTTGTATATTTTGGAACTTAATCCCTTATTGGATAATATGGTTTGCAAACATTTTCTCCCATTCCGTGAGTTGCCTTTTCATTAAAAAAAAAAAAAAAATAGGCAAAGGACTTGAATAGACACTTTCCCAAGGAAGACATACAAATGGCCAACAGGTATATGAAAAGGTAGTCAACATTGTCAGAAAAATGCAAATGAAAGCTACAATGAGATATCATCTCACATCTGTTAGGACAGCTACTAGCAAAAAGTCAAAAGATAACAAGTGTTGGTGAGGGTGTGGAGAAAAGGGAATCCTTATACATTGCTGGTGGAACGGTAAATTAGTATAGGCATTATGGAAAAGAATATGGAGGTTCTTCAAAAGATGAAAAATAGAACTCCTATACAACACAGCAATCTCATCCTGGGTATATATCCAAACAAAATAAAATCACTATCTCAAAGAGTTATTTTACACTCCCATGTTCATTGCAGCACTATTCATAATAGCCAAGATATAGAAATAACTAGAGTATCTGTTGACCAATAAATAGATAATGTGGTATATATACACAATGGAGTACTATTAAGCCTTAAAAAATAAGTAAATCTTGCCATTTTCAGCAACACGGATGAACCTGGAGGATATTATGCTAAGTGAAATAAGCCAGACACAGAGGGACAAATACTGCATGATCTCACATAAACAGAGTAGAAGGGTAGCTACCAGGGGTCAGGAGGTAGGGAACATGGGAAGATGTTGATTAAAGGGTACAAACTTGCAGTGACAAGATGAATATGTTCTGAAGACCTAAAGCACAGCATAGTGACTAGAATTAATAGTAAGTATTATACACTTAAAATTTCCTAAGAGAGTAACCTTCTGTGCTCTCACCACAAAAATAGGTAACTATGTGAGGTAATGGATACCTTAGCTTGATTGTGGTAATCATTCCACAATGTATACATACATCAAATCATCACGTTGTACACCTTGAATATAAACAATTTTTATTTGCCAACTGTACCTCAATGAAGCTTGAAAAAAAGGAAAAAGAAAAAGTGTTATTGGGTAGCTGTGAAGACGTGTTTGCTTTTTCCACAGAAAATTTGTTGAGGAAAGTGTCAGGAGCAACTAAGAGGAGTAAACTGAGATAAAGAATCTCTGTGACTGGGCCACATTAGCCATACAATGTCTTTGACAGAATCTCACCTAGGTGCCCCTTCCTCCTAGCAGATGCATCCCTGAGCCTGCCAGAGCTCACAGCTGAGTGAAAAGAGCCGCCACTCACCCCTTCAGCCCAGCAGATGATGGTCCTGGCATGGTGGGCCCTGGAGATTGGGGTGAAAGAGAGACAGCTCCTGTTGAACCAGCAGGGTCCCTGTTACCAAGGCTTGTTCACACAGGTGTGTGGGATGGCATATGTGAGGTCTCCACACCACCAAAAAGCTGCCTCAGGAAATCCAAAGGAAACATATTTCTGACACCAAGCACACAAACTCACTAGGTGCTCAATAAATGTTTATAAAATATGTTAAATGAATTCATAGAAAATAAGTCAACTTTTCCAGGGACATGTCCATACTAAATCTAAAAATGGAAAGAAATTCTATGCTGCCCAATAGAGTAGCCACTAGCGACATGCAGCTATTTAAGTTTAAATTAATTAAAATTAAATAAAATTGGCTGGGTGCGGTGGCTCACACCTGTAATCCCAGCACTTTGGGAGGCCAAGGTGGGCGGATCGCCTGAGGTCAGGAGTTCAAGACCAGCCTGGCCAACATGGTGAAACCCTGTCTCTACTAAAACTACAAAAAAATTAGCCGGGTGTGGTGGCAGGCGCCTGTAATCCCAGCTACTGGGGAGGCTGAAGCAGGAGAATCACTTCAACTCGGGAGGCAGAGGTTGCAGTGAGCCGAGATCGCACCATTGCACTCCAGCCTGGGCAACAAGACTGAGACTTCATCTCAAAAAAATAAATAAATAAATAAAACAAAAACAAAAAAAATTAAATAAAATTTAAAATTCAGCACCTCAGGTGCACCTGCCACATTTTGGGTGCTCAAAAGCCCCATCCGGCTAATGGCTATCATATTGGGTAGTGCAGATTATAGAACATTTCCATCTTTACAGAAAATTCCCTTTGATAGCACAGGTTTAGATAGAATGAATTTGAAAATCAGTAGTCAACTATGGTAGGCATTTTGTGTAGATAGAAAAACCTTCCCAGGACTTTCTGCAATCACAGTACCTTTTGGTAGAACAAGACTTGCATCAACTCTAAAAAGCAGAAGAAAAGTAAACCCTTCTTATTTCATTATTCTACTAAAGGGAAAAATCAAGCAACTCTAAACTTCTCATTTTAAGGCTATAGTGATTACTCTAGCAAATAAAGATTAAAAGATACCAAATAATTAGTAAGAATTTAAAATTACCTCAGGAACACGGCAACATTGTTATTTGAAATATATAATTTAGCACTTAAAGCGTAAAATGTTGTGTGTCAGGACATGGGCTCTTTTTGTGTAATCTATTTGGATTCGACATCCATTTTGTATGCATTTGGGAAATTTATCTGTTAACTCCTTCAAGAAATATCTAAATCCACAATAAAAAACAGAGTGGAAATATTGTAAGATATAAAGAAGAAAGAAAAAAAAATGCCCAGGAGGCAAGAGAAGAGAAAATATTTATGAATTTCTCAGCATATACATCAGATATTGCTGTTTTACACAAACAAAATTGTTCTTTCCTCCTCTATACAAGCACTCATCGAATAAGTCAAAGCCAGATTGTTTTTGTCGTCTATGTTTTTGCTTTATCCTAAGGCATAAAAAGTAGACCTAAATAGTCTTTTTTCACATGAAAATTCAAAAATTTGTTTTAAAAATCATAAACAGCAATGGTTATTATTTTGCCCTACATATTTGTATATTTAGGACATAATCATAAGATATCAATTCAAATATATAAAACCTATGATACAATAATTTTAAAATAATATATTGAGAAGGTAAGTGCACCAACAACATTCATTGAACAAATACTCACTGAAGTCCTATAATGTCCTAGGTACTGTGTTGGGAGATAAAAAAGTGGAGAAGACAGATACAGTAATTGTCTTCATGAAGCTTATATTCTCATGAGGAAGACATATAGTAAGTAGGACTGGTAGAGTTGAAAGTAGAAATTGAGTTTGCAGAGCCAAGCCCCCTCCTCTCTCCCTCCTCTTGAGAGTCAGCCTATCCACAGAAAGCAAGTGTCCTCTTTCTCTTTGTCTCCGTGAGAGGGACTAGCACCCGTGGTGGTAGCCTACAGGGGTCTAGCACAGCTGGTGAGATCTGAGTAAGTCTGCCTTATTTTCAGGTGCAGTATTCAGAAGCCCACCTGCCCGCAGATATAAGCCACCTTCTCCAGTATCAGCTTTATCAGAAATAAAGGTATTTTTGTCTGCCATCTTTCTTACTCCTTTATCTTCTCAATTGGTTGAGAATTCAGGCTGGGAGAACAAGTTATTATTTATTATGCCTCCTAATACCTAAACTAAAAGCAATAAAAGCCTTGCTACTGTCATGTTGTTGACGTTTTTATATTGCAGATTTATAATAAACTCTCCTCTTCCTGAGCTAACTTTATTGGATGCCAGTTCTTGAATCAAAATATTTATAGAGCACATAATACAGTGCAAATCAGGGCTGGCTGACACAAGGACTCTCCACGTTTCATCCTGCAGAATAATATCATTGAGGTATACTGTGAACAGAATAGCCTAGGCAGGGCCTTTACCCCAGCAGGTCACAGGCAGATGGCTACAAAAATTAGAGGTTCTAGGTTTGAAGTCTAAAACCCCCATCTGGGAACTCGCTATGGTAATGGCAACAATGCAACACTGGCACAGGGATAGAAGAGACCCATTTGTATGGGAAATTAATATATGAAAGTAGCAATTTCAAATCAGTGGGGCAAGGATGTATTTCCCAGTGAATGATGTTAGAACAAATGACCATATGAGAAAAGACAGTAATCCCCCACTACATACAAAAACATGTTCCAAATGGATGAAGGATTTAAATGCAAATAGTATACTTCTGAGATTTAAATCTAAGGAAACAAAAAAAACAAGATTTTCTGCACAATTCCATTCTCTGCAATATTTACTGCAATAGCAAAAGACAGGGACATTCTGGATGATAGGTTAATAAGTAACGCAACTAAATTACAGTGTAGCCATATAAGAGAATACTGTGCAACCGTTAAAAAGTGATATAGATCTTTATTTATTGACACAGAAAAAAATGAAATATTATTTAATTGGAAAAGCAGGTTACAGAACAGCAATTCTATTTAAAGGGGACAAATAAAACAATGTATTTAAATGGACTCATTTAAATAAAATTATCGAGTTGTGTTAGTATGCATGGAGGTGCCCGGATGAACATACATCACAATGTGAACAGTGGTCATCTCCAGATAGTAGAATTTCAGATATGTTTCTTTCCATTTTTCTGACAGTTTGAATTTTCTGTAATAATTAATTGACTTTTATACAATGGAAACAACTTTTTTGTTTTGGAAAAAAGAAAGATGCTGCCGCTAATCAGTGGATGAAAGTAAGTGATATAGTTTATTTTACATAGACGCTGATGAATATCTTGTTCCCTGCTTAGGTGAACTGGGGCTGGATAGAAAGGCAGTGAGACACAAGGAGAAACACTAAGAATCAGAAGAGTAGCTCCATATTACATGTAGGACAATGCAGCTCCGACTTTAACATGTGTTACTGTGTGGAAAAGACCTGCATTTTTTATAGAGAGCGCTTATGTCAGAATAGGAACAAAGCATTTAGGATCTAATACAAAGCTTAAAAATTTAAGAGGACAAACAAAAGCTTCCAGATTTCAAACAATCAGCCAAACTATAAGGAGTGGTGTCTAGAATTGCTTTGCTTTTCCTGCTGCACATGCATTTTTAATTAAAATAATTGCATGAGAAAGGCAATCTCCATTCTGTTTGGGCTGAAGCTCCCTTTTGGGCTCTCAAAGGAGTCCCTTTCAAATCATATTCTTTTCCATCCCCAAATATTTTTCAATTATCCAAGCCTAAGGGCTTTCAGGTTGCTAACCATCTAAAAATATGTCAAGCAACTTTAAAAAGTAAATTGTGGTGAGTATGACTCATTTAAGGATGAAAAATCTAAGTGGACATCAAGATTTTTTTTTCCAAATTTGATTTTAGGAAGCAATTTCAACACTTTTTTAAAAAGATTCAGGAAACAGTTATCCCCCCTTTCCTCTACTTTTGCAGTGTGGATGCTCCTTTCCCTGGTTATACAATTAAACCTCGTTGCTCCTATCCTAAATATCATAAAATCTGAATTAGAGAAGTCTGGTCAATGAAGTTTTATTGAATTCAAAATGCCTATCTTTTACTACTTGAAGCAAAAAACATACTTTCAGCCTTTGGGGAAAAAAAAATCAGAAACCAAGGAAACCACTGACCTTTTACTTATTATAACCTTTTATTTGTTTTTTTGCTAAGTAGTGTAAATGCTAGACTGAGACTTTACATATAAATTAATGTCTGTAGAGGATTTTTTAAAAAACTGAAGCAGTACTTCTGAGAGTTGACACAATCCAGATGATTTTTTAGGGCATTACATAATCACAAACACCTGGAGAATTGCCGTGGGTGGCTGACGAATTGTGAGTGTTATGTTTAAACTCAAGAGTTGCATGTGTCTAATTAAGTAAGAAATTTGTAATCTGAAACAGGTGTTTTCTTAAAGCACTTGACGTGCTTCTTGGTCCTGCTTCCTCTTTTCCTCCTTCTAATTCTTTCCGTGGGTCTTTACTAAATATTTTTGCTTCCTTGTCAGTTCTTATTTCCTTGTGTGTTTGTGTTTGGGGGCAGAAAGACAAAACACACAATAGTGATGAAAGAAAAGTGTCACTTGCCATGTGAAGTTTAGGAAAGGTGTACCTCAAGGAGCTATAAATTAATTCTGAAGAATTACAACGCAAGAGATAATATAGTTTGTTGTTTCTTTCTGGCTGGTATTTAGAAGGCAGAGTCTGAGTACCTCATTCAGTGTTTGGGAATAAGATGCAAGACCTGTTCTTTAAAGCAAAATGTTTATATTACAGGGAAAACTATGTTTTCCTTTAATTTCCATTTGCTTTAAAATGGTGGCTGTTTTTTTTTTTTTTTTTTTTTTGTCTACTAGTGGCTTGGTAGGAAAAAGAGAAAAACAAAACAAAACACGAGTTGAGGTCATGGCTGATGAGAGATGCCAGCAAGGAACATATTGCATAATAGAAGCTGCTAACTGGTCTTCAAGGATGTCTGAATCCATACAATTAAGGACTCAAGTTATTTTACAAAAATGTTTTCATGACTTGAGTAGAAACCGGGAAAATCACCCAATTGACTAAATTGACTCACCCAATCCCAACCCCACATACGCACCTTCACAAGTTCCAAAAGGTGGTTTTAACAAAAAGGAAAAGATAACCAACACGGTTCAGGTATTCGGCCAATGGATAAATCCGAGTATTTTAAAGCTCTACCAGGTCCTGCCTTACATTTCCCTGCCACCACCCTGCAGAAGCACCAGTGCTTCAGAGACTCCCGCCACTCTGCCCCCTGCAGGTGTGGCCCTGCCTCCAAAAACTACACCGGCTTTGGGGCTCTGGTGCAAACCTCAGGTTTGCCATTTACCAGGTTTGGTATGCAGGGTGAAGTCCCTTCACTTCTTGGAGGCTCAGTCTCCTCATGTACAGCATAGACCTGGGAGGTGAGCTCTCCGAGAGTGGTAAGGACTAAGTGAGTAATGTGTGCAAAGCACCTGGCCCATAACAGGTGATGGGTAAGTCCTAGAGTTGGCACAGCTACCACAGCTCCGTGGGCAGAGATCCCATTCGTGGATCTTCATTCACGCTTCCTGGAATAGTTCCCCCTACCCCCTCCAACAGTCTCATAGTTCACCTCCTCGCTTCACTCAGGCCTCTGTTCAAATGTTACTGCCTAAGAAAGGCCACCTCCAACCAGCCCATCTGGTCTAATTTATCAATCAATTCTGTATCCTCCAACCATGGTTTGTTTCTTCTTCCTAGCTTTTTCACCATGGGACACTATATTATGTAATTATTTGTTATTCATTTATTGTCTGTCTTCATTAAGAGAATGTAAGCCCCATGAAGGCAGGGACTTTTTTAACTTAGCTACTATGGTGCCTAGCATACAGCTGGCACTGAAGATTTGTTCAATGAATGAATGAATTGATCAATCAATCGATGGATGGATGGATGAATAGCATCTTATATTTGCATAGCATTTCAGCATTTACAAAGCATCTGATCCTGGAAATATGTGATCACCTATATATTACTGATGAAAACATCGTGGCTTAGTGAGATTAAGGTTACAGTTAACAATAGCAGAACAAAGATCTAAAACAACATTATCTGTCCCTGAGAATAAAACTACTTTCACTCCCCCACCCCCATGCTGCCTCACAAATGCTGACGGCATATTGCCAGTAACGTATGTGCTGGGAGCACAGGGCTTGTCTCAGAGGAGAAATCCCATGACAATTGCAATAGGAGCCAGAACTGCAGGGATTTCACACAGGTAACAAGGGGACTTTGCCAACTTCAATGGCTTCAGGCAAACTGGCTATTTCAGGCAAAGAAAGGGTCCTACTGCTAATATACACAAAGCTGAAAATAGGCCTCATGATTTCTGAGTGAAGGGAGTAGGTTTATGGAAGATCCCAAAGCTACAGGATCCTGAGATGAGGTGATCATGAAATCCTTCTTTGGTGTGGGTATCAAAGAGTTCTACCTACCATCTAACTACAAAGAAAAGAACAACTGACTTATTTGTCTCTTATTTTTTTACGTTGTTCCCATTCTCAAGTCTCCCAAACCTATTTTTTTCTTTCACTCTGATTAAAATTTCTGACATGGACATCAAGGTTCTATGATAATCATATTCCCAAACCTAACTACTCAAAAGAGCTGAATTACAAACTCCCTCAGAAACTTCCAGCTGCTTCTAGAACCCCAGGACCAGGCATGCCCCTTCTCCTTCAAACCCAGATCAGGAATAAATGTTTTGGGGAATCTCTTCAGACAAGCTATGCCTGGGTCGCCATGTAATCAGCAGCCCAACTTCTTAACTGGCACCACCTACATCTGGCAAAACTGTGCTCAAGATGTTCATTTCCATTGTTTTAATTTCCATGTTATACTGAAGGGGCCTGAAGGGAATGGTTTGCTAACTTCTATGACTACCCAAATTTCCACATAAACGGGTAGTCGGAACTATTGTTGCTTAAGAGAGCCCTCTGCTGACACAAATTATGTGTGCTCATTCTTTTCCTAAAATCAAACCTCACCAAACCAGACCTATGTCTCGCCAACAGATCCACTGATTACTAAATATGTCTTGTAGCACATGCATGGCGTCTCTGCTTAAAGACTGTGTGTCACTGTGGCAGGCTGCCATCTAGTCATTAAGGGATCAGCTATGTTGTGGCATAGAGGGAAGTTCTTCTGCTTAGTACAGTCTCCAGTTAAAAGTTGTTAAGGCAGATGCCTAAGAATGAAGTGCCTGAAAACACTTGTTTGCACATATGGTCTTGGGCAGGTTTGGGACTCACAGGGGTCTTACAGAGGAAGAGGTTTCAGAGACTCATGTCGATTTTCCTTTTAATATTTTGTTAAAATTTCATTATAACAATATTTAATTAAGCAGCTGACACCTTTTTATGGGTACGTTATTATTATGATTCCCTGATTCAATTCACTGTAGATTTAATTTCTCAAACTTTGAGTGAGTGTGATCATTGAACTTGATGTTATTGGGCCCCAGGCCCCAGGATTTTGGACATCAAGAAGCAATAAAACATTTTAAAATAAAGGGGTCTGAGAGAGGGATGCCAATTTTTTGCCTTCCTTAGTCTTTTAAAAATAAAAGTTAAATTTTGGAATAATTTTTAAGTTTACATAACAATTGTAAAGATAGTATGGAGAGTCCACCCAGCTTCTCCTGCCATTAACATATTATATAACCTCAGAACATTTGCCAAGACTAAGAAACCAATGTTGATACACTGCCATTAACTAAAGTATATCACTTATGTGGCTTTCACCAGTTTTTCTATGAATATCCATTTTTGGTTCAGGATCCATGTCATCATGTCCCCTTGGTTTCTTCCATCTGTGACAGTTTCTCACTCTTTCCTTGTTTTTCATGAGCTTGATAATTTTGAAGAGTACTGGTGAAGTATTTTATAGAATACTCCTCAATGGTGGGTGGGGGTGCCAACTTTTAAATTCAGATTGTGAAAGGTAAAAATTATCTACTATGGTCATCATTTCATAAAAGAAAGGCCATTCTAACAACCAAAAAAAGGAAGAATAGCAATATCTGAATAAAGAACAGTCTTTTAAATAAAATAAATTTATCTCTAGGAAAAGGCCCACTACTTTGCTAATCATTCCTCCCTCCCCTTTCTTTTTCTTTCTTTCGTTCTGGCCCACCCAAGATAAAATGTCATTACAAACTCACAAACAGGAAGTCAGGAATCACCTAGAAGGAACACAGTGGTCATTGCTTCCATACCTTCAGGGAGCTACCACTCTAGCAGAAGATAAACCACTAAAATATGCAGACAAGAGAAATGAAAGCTAAAGAGAAGTACAAGCAAATCTAGAAGAAAGATTGATTGTGACAAAGATTCCAGAGGAATGAGGGAGTAATTCGTGGAGGAGGAATCCTCCCAGGTGGGTCTTAAAAAGAAGAAATTTGGGGGAAAAAATTAAGGTAGGGTGGGGAGAAAAGGTATACAGAAAGAGGGAAAAATTAGGTTGTAGTAAGTTATAAGCGACTGAAACATGAATTTATTATCATGTTACTACTAGATCATGAACAGTGTTGCAGCTATAAGAAGTAAGGTAAATGATTGTCCTTAAATAGCCAGGTACAATCAACCTAACCCATTTCCTCATTATACTGGAAGTTCAGAGGACAAGTGAGAGCACTATTTTGGACTTACAGATAGGAAAATTCAGATCCCTGGACCATGAAAGCATAGGTCCCACAGTAAGTGAGTGGCAGAAGGAGTATGGGGTGTTTATTCATAGTTTTATGGTCTATGTCACCTGCACAATCTCATTTCTAATGGTATTAAAAATCTTTTAATCATCTGAATGTGTCAAAGTATTGAGAAAATATCAGATATATAGAAAGGGAACTTTGTTCCAGAAGGAGTGGTAGCAAAAAAGAGTGGACAAATGTGGGCCTGGGATCATATGGGCCCACCAAATCTTGCTCTGTATGGCCTGTGTGAACTTCGCAAGTCACCGCCTCCCTGAACCTTAGTTTCCTCATGTGTAAAATGGGGGAGATAACAATTTTTACTTTTCAAGATTGTTTTGAGGCTTACAGGTAACGTATCAACATATGAAGCTTCTCATATATCAGTAGTTAATACTGTTGCATGGCAAATTTCCTTCAAGTTTAATCCTGTGTAGTCAGGCCTGTGATTCTAAGAGTCTGTTGATTGGATGACTCTGAAGCAGCTTTGTTAATAGTGTGGACAATTTGCATGAAGCTTTTTATCATTTAATGATCTATGTTAATTTACTTTGGACTTATTTCTCGTTTCACTTGAAAAGCTTTATTTTATATTTGGTGATATAAAATAATGTTTTAATGATTGGCTTATAGTCTTTATTACATTTCCCCCCACTCAATTTTTCTTTCTTTCTTTCTTTCTTTCTTTTTTTTTTTTTTTTTTGAGACAGAGTTTCACTCTTGTTGCCCAGGCTGGAGTGCAATGGTGTGATCTCAGCTCACTGCAACCTCCACCTCCTGAGTTCAAGCGAATCTCCTGCCTCAGCCTCCCGAGTAGCTGGGATTACAGGCGCCCACCACCACGCCCAGCTAATTTTTTGTATTTTCAGTAGAGACGGGGTTTCACCATGTTGGCCAGGCTGGTCT